>NC_000006.12:34302424-34605454 GCF_000001405.40 Homo sapiens
TTATCTTGTTTAAGAAACACATCCATGGCCGGGTGCGGTGGCTCATGCCTGTAATCCCAGCACTTTGGGAGGCCGAGGTGGGCAGATTGCCTCAGCTCAGGAGTTTCAGACCAGCCTGGGCAATATGGTGAAACCAGTCTCTACTAAAATACAAAAAATTAGCCGAGCATGGTGGCGTGTGCCTGTAGTCCCAGTTACTCGGGAGGCTGAGGCAGGAGAATTGCTTGAACCTGGGAGGCGGAGATTGCAGTGAGCCAAGATTGCGCCACTGCACTCCAGCCTGGGTGACAGAGCGAGAGACTCCGTCTCAAAAAAACAAAACAAAAAACAAAAAAACACATCCCTATTCCTATGGCATAAAATTACAGTCACATATCTTTTCTAATTATCTGAGAGTTTTATCGTACGATCCATCTGTAATTTATTTCCAAATAGCCAATGGTCTAGAGACTCCAGAATAGAGCCACAGATATTACTGTTTTACTAATTTAGTTGTTAATTTATGTACTAATAGCATATGCATATGATTTTAACTAATACAACTTTATCTTAATACTTGGAATACCCTTCTCTGCTCTTCTTTAACAAAAACTTCTAAGCCATTTTTGTACCTTTATC
This sequence comes from Homo sapiens, assembly GCF_000001405.40. Lineage (NCBI taxonomy): Eukaryota > Metazoa > Chordata > Mammalia > Primates > Hominidae > Homo > Homo sapiens. Next base: position 34,303,043 of record NC_000006.12, read on the forward strand.
CATCCATATAAATGCCAAAAATCAGTTTTTTCAGATATTTTGGCAGTGGTGCAAACACAGCTTACTGCAGCCTTGACCTGCTGGGCTCAAGTGATCCTCCCTCCTCGGCCTCCTGAGTAACGCGGATCACAGATGCGTGTCACCATACCTGGCAATTTTTTTTTTTTTTTTTTTTTTTTTTTTTTGTAGAATTGGGGTTCTCATTATGTTGCCCAGGCTAGTCAGAACCAGAAATATTCAGCTGGTTTTCTTAGATATCAATCTTATCTCTTGCAGTCCTTCTAAATGTGTTCACTAATTCTATTAATAATAGTTCCTGTTGTTTTTCTTTCGTTTTCTAAGTTAATAATCACATCTTCTGTAAATAAGGACAATTTTGTCTCTGGAATCTTTACAATTTGTATTTATTTTTCTTGTCTTAATTGCAGTGGCTAGGATCACAGTTCAATATTAAATGTTAGCATAATAGCAAGCATAACTGTCTTATTCTTATCTGTCATGGGAATGCTTTGAACATTTCAAAAATACGATGTTTGCTATTGGTTTTATTAGATACTCTATCAGGTTAAGGAAGTTCCTTTTGTTTTTAGCTTGCTAACAGTTTTTATAATGAATAGATGCTGAATTTTAATAAATTTTTACTTAGAATTTGTGCAAATTCTCATTCATAAATGACAATTTACTGTTCTTTTCTAGTTTAATTATCGAGATCAGGGGTCAGCAAACTACAGCTTACAGGCCAAATCCATCCTGCCATCAGTTTTTGTAAATAAAGTTTTACTGGAACATAGCTGTGTCATTCGTTTAAGTATTGTCTACGGCTGCTTTCACATCACAATAGGAGAGCTGAGTGGCTAAAACAGATACCATATGAATTCTAAAGCCTAAAACATTTACTATCTGGCCCTTTATAGAAAGTCTGCTACGAGGCCAGGCGCAGTGGCTCATGCCTGTGATCTCAGCACTCTGGAAAGCCGAGGCAGGTGGATTACCAGAGGTCAGGAGTTCGAGAGTAGCCTGGCCAACATGGTGAAACCCCCATCTCTACTAAAAGTACAAAATCAGCTGGGTGTCGTGGCGCATGCCTGTAATCCCAGCTACTCGGGAGGCTGAAGGAGGAGAACCACTTGAACCTGGGATGCAGAGGTTGCAGTGAGCTGATTACGCCACTGTACTCCAGCCTGGGTGACAAGAGTGAAACTCTGTCTCAAAAAAAAAAAAAAAAAAAAGAAAGTTTGCTATCGCTGGGCATGGTGGCTCATACCTGTAATCCTAGCACTTTGGGAGGCTAAGGTGGAAAGACTGTGAGCCCAGGAGTTCAAGACCAGCCTGGGCAACATAGTGAGACCCCATATCGAAAGAAGGAAAGGAAAGGAAAGGAAAAGAAAGGAAAAAGGAAAGGAAGAGTTTGCTAATCATTAATCAAGATCTTACCAGTCTTACAAAAGGTATGTAACTATCCTCCTCTAAATAGTCTTCAAGAATATACATATTTTAAAATTTTAGTAAAATTAATCTAGTCTGATCTTGGTATTTTTTGGCAGGAAGGAAGGTGATTACTACTTAATTTAAGGACTAATGATCTATGTGTAGGTTTTCAAATTTTTCTTTTTCCTTTTTTTTTTTGTTTTTTTGGAGAAAGGCTCTTACTCTGTCTCCCAGTCTGGAGTGCAGTGGCGCAGATCATGGCTCACTGCAGCCTTGACTACCCAGGCTGAAGCAATCCTCCCACCTCAGCCTCCTGAGTAGCTGGGACAACAGGGTGCACCATCATGCCCAGCTAATTAAAAACTTTTTTTTTTTTTTTTTGGTAGAGATGAGGTCTCACTATATTGCCCAGGTTGGTCTTGAACTCCTGGGCTCAAGTGATCCTCCTGCCCTCGCCTCCCAAAGTGCTGGGATTATAGGCATGAGCCACTGTGCCCGGTCTGAATTTTTTTTTTTTTTTTTTTTTTTTTGAGACAGAGTCTTGCTCTGTCACCCAGGCAGGAGAGCAATGGCGTGATACTGGCTCACTGCAACCTCCATCTTCCAGGTTCAATCAGTTCTCCTGCCTCAGTCTCCCTAGTAGCTGGGACTACAGGCACGTGCCACCATGCCTGGCTAATTTTTTAATTTTTAGTAGAGATGGGGTTTTACCATGTTGGCAGGCTGGTCTCGAACTCCTGACTTCAAGTGATCCACTCGCCTTGGCCTCCCAAAGTGCTGGGATTATAGGCGTGTGAGCCACCACGCCCAGCCTGAATTATTTTAAAAGTAAATTTGGGTAGGATTTTCTGGAAAATTTCTATGAAAGTTTTCAGATCTTTCTGTTTGTAGCTCTTTGTAACATTCTTATAATTTAAAAACCTCTATTATAAATCTGTGGTTATTTCCCTTTTTTGTTCTTCATTTATTTCTGTCTTCCTATTTATCAGTCTTGCCAGAAGTTTATCTATTTTATTAGACAAATAAAAATAACCCACTTTTGGTTTTGTTGGTCATTTCTATTTTTCTATTAATTTCTACCCCTTTCCTTGTTATTTCTGTCCCTTTACTTCCTTTGGGCTTGCTCTTGTTTTTTCCAGCTTCTTGAGTTGATTGCTCAATTTACTTAACGTCCATTTAACTTTCTAATATAAGCATCTAAGCATCAAAGAACTGACTGAGCTGTATCCCGTAAGTCATGATGTGAAGTGCTTTCACAGCTCTTCTGCTCTATTTGCTTATTTCTATGATGATTTGTGCTTTAACTCATGGATTATTTAGAACATTTTTTTGTTTCCAAACCTGTGTTTCTCTCTCTTTCAAGCTGGCTCTGTTGTTGGTTTCTAATTCTACTGCATTCTATCAGAGTATATACAGTCTATAATACTGATGATGCTCTGGAATTTTTAACCATTCCTGTACAACTTAACATGTGGTTATGTTCTTATCCTTCCATGCATGCTTGAAAAAATTACGTATTCTTTGTTGGGTGGAAGCTTCTCTCTCAACATATCTATGTGCTCAATCTTGTTAATGGTGTTATTTAACCTCTATTTTTCTGTTTGCCACTTTTCAATCACTTTCTAAATGAGATTTTATTGTTCTTCATAGGGACTATCAAGCACAAAATGAGATGTTTTGAAGTCTTCAATATGGCTATTGAGTTGACTTTCCCCGTAACTCTGATAATTTTTACTTTATATTGATGGAGGTTTACTAGGTGTACATTAAGTTCATGACTACCATACTGTCTTGGCAGTCCTTACATTTACTTCCTGTGTAGCAAGCTTTGTGATAAGCAGCTTGTATTCATAAGTCCATGGAATTAAGAGAAAGCTGTTAAGTGGCAACAAGGCCGGATAAGTTACATTTGTCTAAATCCAGCAGCTGTTGGTAGTTTAACGATTGTGGAATCTCCAGAGGCAAGGGTTGCATTTAGTGTTTGCTGAAACCACTGTTAATTATATTGAAGTCAATGGAAAGTAAGCTGTGGATATATTTCCTAATGACTAAAAATCCTTTCCTGGAATGTGGAGCTGGATGGAAAAGCAAACACAACTGTTTTGGAAGACTCTTCTGGACTCATTTCATTTCGCAGAAGGCGACTGGCTCCTGTCCCAGTAATTCCACCTCTATTCAGGGTTCCAACACAAACCAGCTCAAATACAGTACTATATTCTCTCTAACAGGGCATATTCTAATCTGTACACTTAGCCACTAAACTTAATATTTGTCAATGGGTACCATTCAATGTATTATAACACAGACCACTAAACTGAGTAAAAAGATATCTTTAATTCCAGTTGTTAAAAAGTGGTTAAAAAGTAATTTAGAGTAGTTATTTGTACTAAAAGTGTGCTAACAGCAAAATACCTTTAAATTAGTCAATTTAAAATATCAGTTCCTCGACTAAGGAGCAATTCTTTTTTAAACGCTACTAGCTTTTGAGATAAATTATACACAGAAATGAGTGTATTTACAACAATGTGGCCTATGCGCAATTTGTGAAGAGGAGTCTATTAAAAGCAAGATACTCCTGTGCAGTATCTTAGAGAAGCAAAAACATTTATATCATTATTTTCAAGTCAAAGGAGAAAAAAGAGATATAATTCTGAAACATTGGGTGTGATGGTACACAACTGTAATCCCAGCCACTTGGGAGGCTGGGTAGCAGGACTGCATGAGCCCAGGAGTTCAAGACCAGCGTGGGCAACATATCAAGACCCTGTCTCTAAAAATAATAACAATAATAAAAAATAATAATTCTAAAACTTTAAAAAAAGTTGAGGCCAGGTGTGGTGGCTCATGCCTGCAATGCCAGCACTTTTGGAGGTCGAGGCAAGACGATGGCTTGAGGCCAGGAGTTCGAGACCAGCCTGGGAAACAAAGCGAGACCCCATCTCTACAAAAATAAAAAAATTAGCCAGGCATGGTGGCACGCCTGTAGTCTTAGCTACTCAGGAGGGTGAGATGGGAGGATCGCTTGAGCCCAGGAGGTTGAGCCTGCAGTGAGCTATGACTGCACCACTGCTCTCCAGTCTGGGCAACAGTGGGAGAACCTGTCTCTAAAAATTTTAACAAGAAATGCAGTGGTCAACTACGTATATTATCTCTTCTTCCAAGGAACCCATTAAAATGAAGGATAAGAACAAAAGAGAAAAATGAAATAATATAAGATGCTCAATTAAAACCACAAAAGGCAGAGAAAGAATGGAAGAACAGGAACAGAGAACAAAGGGCAATGGACAGAAAGCTATCAAACATGGGAGATATTAATCCAACTACACTTTAAACATCAATGGTCTAAATACATCAATTAAAAGACAGGGTTGGGTGCAGGGGCTCATGCCTGTAATCTCAGCACTTTGGGCGGCTGAGGCAGATGGATCACTTGAGGTCAGGAGTTTGAGACCAGCCTAGCCAACATGGTGAAACCCCATCTCTCCTAAAAATACAAAAAAATTAGCTGGGCATGGTGGCACATGCCTGTAATCCCAGCTACTCAGGAGGCTGAGGCAGGAGTATCGCTTGAACCTAGGAGGCAGAGGTTGCGGTGAACCAAGATCGTGCCACTGCACTCCAGCTGGGAGACACAGAGAAACTCTGTCTCAAAAAAAAAAAAAAAAAAAAAAAAAAAAAAAAAAAAAAAAAAAAAAAAAAGATAGGCCAGGTGCCAGGTGGCTCACACCAGTAATCCCAGCACTTAGGGAGGCGGAGGTGGGAGGATCACTTGAGCCTAGAAATTTGAGATCAGCCTGGTCAACATAGGGACACCCTCTCTCTACAAGAAATAAATAATTAGCTAGGCATAGTGGTGTGTGCCTACATGTAATCACAGCTACTCAAGAAGCTGAGATGGGTGGACAACTTGAGGCTGGGAGGTCGAGACTGCAGTGAGCACTGATTGCACCACTGCACTCCAGCCTGGGAGACAGCGTGAGATCGTCTCTCAAAAAAAAAAAAAAAAAATACTGAGACTGTCAGAGTGCATCACAAAACAAGAGTCATCCAATATGTTTAATATGTTGTCTACAAGAAAACCACTTTAAGTATAAAAACACATACCTTGAAAGTAAAGGGATGGAGAGTGATACATACCGTGCTAACACTAATCAAATGCAAGCAGGAGTAACTAACTACACTAATCTCAGAAAAAGCAGACTTCAGAGCTTGAAAGCTGTCAGGAATAGAGAAACATTACACAATGATAAAGGGGTCAGTTCTACAAGATGACATAATAATCCTTAATGTGTATATGCCTAACAACAGAACATCAAAATACATGAAGCAAAAACTGACAGAACTGCAAGGAGAAGTAGATGAATCCATTATTACTGTTGGGGACTTCAATACCCCTCTATCGAAACAGGCAGATCTAGGTGGCAGAAAATCAAATTGACATAAGTGACCTCTATAGACCACTTCATCCAACAACAGCAGAATACACATTATTCTCAAGCTCACATGGAACATTCAACAAGACAGACCACATTCTGAACTACAAGACACACCTTAACAAATCTGAAAGAATAGTAATCATTAAAATGTATGCTCTCAGACCACAATGGAGTTAAGAAATCAATCAATTTGGCTGGGGACAGTGGCTCACACCTGTAATCCCAGCATTTTGGGAGGCCAAGATGGGAGGATCACTTGAGCTCAGGAGTTCGGGACCAGCCTGGGCAGCATAATGAAACCCTATCTCAAAAAAAAGAAAAAAAAGAAAGAAGTCAATAACTGAAAGATTGCTGGAAAATCCTCTAATATTTGGAGATTAAACAACACACTTCTAAATAACATATGAATTAAAGCAGAAATCTCAAGAAAATTTTTGAATAAAAATAAAAATATAACATCAAAATTTGTGGGATGCAGTGAGAGTGGTGCTTAGAGGAAAACTTTAGGCTAAATGCATATATTAGAAAAGAAAGATCTAAAATTAATAATCTAAGCTTTTACCTTAGGAAACTAGAAAAAGAGCAAATTAAATCCAAGTAAGCATAAGAAAATAATTAAAAATTAGAACAGAAATCAAAGAAGTTGAGAAAGAAAATCAATTGAGAGGATGAACATAACCCAAAACTGGTTATTTAAAAGGTCAGTAAAATTAAAAAGCCTAAAAGTATACAAACGTATGTTTAAAATATGTAATAAAAATAAAATCATATAAAAATTGATAAGTCTTCAGCCACGCTAATTAAGAAAAAAAGAAGACACAAATTACTAATATTAGACATGAAAGAGGAGACATCATTAAAGATGCCATGAACAAAAAAGAGGAAAATAAAAGAAAACTATGAACAACCCTGTGCCCATGGATTTCACAACCTACATGAAATGACCAATTCCTGGAAAGGTAGAATCTGTCAAAACTCACGTAAGAAAAAACAATCTCAATAAGCCTGTACCTATTAGAGAAATTAAATCAATAATTAATAACTGGCTGGGTGCGGTGGTGCATGCCTGTAATCCTAGCACTTTGGGACGCTGAGGTGGGAGGACTGCTTGAGGCCAGAAGTTTGAGACAAGGAGGAGCAAAACCAGTGAGACCCATCTCTGCAAAAAATAAAAAAATGAGCTGAGCATAGTGGTCTGTTCATGTAGTCTCGGCTACTCAGGAGGCTGAGGCTGGAAGACTGCTTGGGCCCAGGAGTTTGAGGCTCCAGTGAGCTATGTTTGTACCACTGCACGCCAGCCTGGGTGACAGAGCAAGACCCTGTCTCAAAAATAATAACAAAAGCAGGGTATGGTGGCTCACGCCTGTAATCCCAGAACTTTGGGAGGCCGAGGCAGGAGGATCACTTGAGGTCATGAGTTCAGGACCAGCCTGGCCAACACAGTGAAACCCTGTGTCTACTAAAAATACAAAAATTAGCCGGGCGCGGTGGTACATGCCTGTAATTCCAGTTACTCTGGAGGCTGAGGCGGGAGAATCACTTGAACTGGGAAGCGGAGGTTGCAGTGAGCTGAGATCATGCCACTGCACTCCAGCCTGGGCAACAGAGTGAGACTCTGTCTCAAATAACAACAACATCCACCACCACCACCACCACCATAATAACCTTCCAAAACAGAAAACACCAAGCCCAGATGGGCCACTGGTGAATTCTACAAGTTAAGGAAAAAATTACACCAATTCTCTACAATTTCTTTTAGAAGAAAGAATACTTCCTAACTTAGTCTATGAGGCCAGCGTTACCCTCATACCAAAACAGGACAAATACATCACAAGAAAACTACAGACCAATATCTTGTAGTAAATCAAATCCAACAATGTGTAAAAATAATTACACCTAAAACCAAGTGGGATTTATCTCTCCCAAGGCTGGTTCGATGTTCAATAATCAATTAATGTATTCCATCGCATCAACAAGCTAAAAGTCACATGATCAGGTATAGATGCAGAAAAAGCATGTAACGAAATTATACCTACTCATGATAAAAGAAACTCTCAACCTCCAATCACAGTTGGACACAGAAGGAAAAAAAAAAAAAAACTCTCGACAAACTAGGAACAGAGGAAGACTTCCTCAATTTGATACAGAGTAAGTACAAAAAACTATCGCTAACATCATGCTTAATGGTGAGAAACCAGAAGCTTAATGGTGAGAAACTAGAATAAAACAAAACTGTATTCGTTTGCAGATGACATGATTTTAATTTTTTAAAAATCCAAAAGGATTGACAAAAAAATTGTGAAATTAAAACAATTAGCTTGTTTTTAGGCTGCAAGATACAAGGGTAATGTACAAAAGTCAATTGCTTTTCTACATCCCAAGAATAAACAAGTAGAATTTCAAATTAAAAACATATCATTTAATTTACATTAGCACCTCCTAAAGTGAAATAATTAGGTATAAATTTAAAACACACATGTACAAGATCTATATAAAAAAACCACAAAACTTTCAGATATCAAAGAAAAACTAAATAAATGGCAACAATCCATGTTAATGAATAGGAAGACTCAACATTATTAATATGTCAGTTCTTCCCAACTTGATTTACAGATTCAACACAATCCCAATTAAAATCCCAGAAAATTATTTTGTGAATATTGAAAAAGTGATCCTAAAGTTTATAAGGAGATGCAAAAGCCCAGACAGTCAACTCGTTAAGAAAGGAGAACAAAGTTGGAGAACGGATACCCAACTTCAAGACTTACTATAATGCTACAGTAATCAAGACAGTGTGGTTTTAGCAAGAGACAAATAAATAAATAGATGGAACAATAGCAAGCCCAGAAATAGACCTACATCAATACAATACACAAATCTTTGACAAAGGAATAAGAACGATACAATGGAGAAAAAAATTGTCTTTTCTACATATGATGCTGGCATTTTTGCCTGGCCATCCACATGCAGAAAAATCAATCTAGACACAAACTTTGTACCCTTAAAAAAAATTAACTCAAAATGGATCACAGACCTAAATGTAAAACGCAAAACTATAATACTCCCAGAAGGTAACACAAGGGAAAATATAGGTGATCGTTGGTTTGGCAATGAATTTTTAGATGCAACACCAAAGGCAGAATACCTGAAAGAAAAAATTGATAAGATGAACTTCATTAAAATAGAAAACACCTATTAGGATAGCTAAAATTGGCAGGGTGTGGGTGGCTCACACCTGTAATCCCAGTACTTTGGGAGGCTGAGGTGGGCGGATCACTTGAGGTCAGGAGTTCAAGACCAGCCTGGCCAACATGCCAAAACCCCGTCTCTACTAAAAATACAAAAATTAGCCGAGTGTGGTGGTGCGCGCCTATAATTCCAGCTACTTGGGAGACTGAGGCAGGAAAATCGCTTGAACCTGGGAGGTGGAGGTTGCAGTGAGCTGTGATCTTGCCACTGCACTCCAGCCTGGGCAACAAAGTGAGACTCATCACCAAAAAAAAAAAAAAAAGATAGCTAAAATCTAAAACACTGACAACACCAGATGCTGGTGAGGATGTGGAACAACAGGAACTCTTATTTGCTCTCTGGAAAGAATGCAAAATGATACAGCGACATTGGCAGTTTCTTACAAAACTATACATACCATTACCACATAAAGCAATTGCACTCCTTGGTGTTTACCTAAATTAGGAGGTGAAAGCTTATGTCCATGCAAAAACTTGCATATCAATGTGGGTCTATTTCTGGGCTCACTATTGTTCCATTTATTTATATGTCTCTTACTAAAACCACACTGTCCTGATTACTGTATAGCAGCTTTATTAATAACTGCCAAAACTCGGAAGCAACGTCCGAGTCCACGATGTCCTTCAGTAGGTGAATGGATAAATAAGGTGTGGTACATTTACACAAAGGATTATTATTCGGTGCTCAAAGAAATGAACTATCAAGTTATGTATGTAAGGACATGGAGAGGGCCAGGCATGGTGGCTCACGTCTATAATCCCACCACTTTGGGAGGCTGAGGTGGGTGGATCACCTGAGGTCAGGAGTTTGAGACCAGCCTGGCCAACATGGCGAAACCCCCTCTCTACTAAAACTACAAAAATTAGCTGGGCATGGTGGCGCACGACTACAGGCCTGTACTCCCAGACACCAGGGAGGCTGAGGTAAGAGAACTGCTTGAGCCTGGGAGGCAAAGCTTGCAGTGAGCTGAGACTGCACCACTGCACTCCGGCCTGGGTGACAGAGCGAGACCTTGTCTCTGAAAAAAAAACCAGAAAAATAAAATAAAGACATGGAGGAATCTTAAATGCGTATTACTAAGTGGAAGAAGTCAATCTGAAAAGGCTACATACTGTATATTCCAACTATAAGACATTCTAGGAGAAGCAAAAGTATGAAAACAGTAAAAGATCAGTGGTTGTCAGGAGTTTAGGGGAGGGAGGGATGATACACAGAGCACAGAGGATTTTTATAGGGCAGTGAAACTATTCTGTGTGATACTATAATTCTGGATACATGTCATTATGCCTTTCTACAAATCCAAAGAAAGTACAACACCAAGAGGGAACCTTATGAAAACGAGGGATTCGGGGTGATTATGATGTGTCAGTGTTGGTACATTGACCGTAGCAAATGTACTGCTGTGGTGTGAGATGTTGATAATGGGGGCTATGCACACGTAGGGTCGGTGGGTATATGGGAACTCTGTGTGGTTTGCACTCAATTTTGCTGTGAATCTAAAACGGCTTAAAAAAAAAAAAGTTAAGGCCGGGCGCAGTGGCTCACGCCTGTAATTCCAACACTTTGGGAGGCTGAGGCGGGCAGATCACGAGGTCAGGAGATCGAGACCATCCTGGCTAACACAGTGAAACCCTATCTCTACTAAAAATACAAAAAATTAGGCCAAGCGCGGTGGCTCACGCTTGTAATCCCAGCACTTTGGGAGGCCCAGGCGGGTGGATCATCTGAGGCTGGGAGTTCGAGACCAGCCTGACCAACATGGAGAAACCCCGTCTCTACTAAAAATACAAAATTAGCCAGGCGTGGTGGCACATGCCTGTAATCCCAGCTACTCGGGAGGCTGAGGCAAGAGAATCACTTGAACCCAGGAGGCGGAGGATGTGGTGAGCCAAGATTGCACCATTGCACTCCAGCCTGGGCAATAAGGGTGAAACTCCGTCTCAAAAAAAAAAAAATTCTGAGCATAAAAAAATTAAATAAACCTTGGCTGGGGGCGGTGGCTCATGCCTATAATCCCAGCATTTTGGGAGGCCAAGGCGGGTGGATCACTTGAGGCCAGGAGTTTGAGACCAACCTGGCCAATATGGCAAAACCCCATCTCTACTGAAAATATAAGGCCGGGCGCAGTGGCTCACACCTGTAATCCCAGCACTTTGGAAGGCCGAGGTGGGTGGACGACCTGAGGTCAGCTGTTTGAAACCAGCCTGGTCAACATGGCATAACCCTGTCTCTACTAAAAAAAAAAAAAAAAAAATTACCCAGGCCTGGTGGTATGCGCCTGCAGTCCCAGCTACTCGGGAGGCTGAGGCAGAAGAATCACTTGAACCTGGAAGGTGGGTGCTGCAGTGAACCAAGATCCAGCCACTGCATTCCAGCCTGGGCAACAGAGTGAGACTCTGTCTCAAAAAAAAAAAAAAAAATTAAACCCTAATGCCAAAAGTAGTTTCTTTCCTAACTACATAAAGGAACCTAAAATTATTTATATACTTCATTAACTTAACTAGCATCCTCCTAACAACGGTAATAGGGTGATGGGAGGAGAAAAGAGAAGATGAAAGCCCAGGGCTTTGGGAGACACTCCTGAGGGTTCAGGTCATAAGTCACTGTGTGATTCGGGGCAAATTAGTCTGTTTTTCTAGTAATAATAATACCTAGCATTTGAGTTCTTACTAAATGTCTACCTGTGAAGCAGATATTATATCATGATATCTATGCTCCGGACAAGAAAATTGATATCTAGAGATGATAAATAATTTGCCAATACTATGCAGTTAAACATCAGCACCAGGATTAGAACCTAGGTGCCTCTGATTTTAAAGCATATACACGTATCAACCTCCTGATCTCTGCCGCTGGGAAAATAAATCAGGACACCTTCTGCAGGGGAGATAAGTTTATTTAAATGGAACATTAAATTATTTTTTGAATTTGCAGTTACTACAGGGGTATTACATAAATCTTTTGCCTTTTAGACTACCTGAAAAATCCACATTAAGGACCAGGTTTAAAAAGGGAGTGGGGGGAACAAACACTTAAGAAAAACTGGTTTTGAATTCTTAAGTGATTCTGGTTCTCTTATTACCTGAAAGCCTCCTCAATTTTCTAGCTTTCATTTTAAAGGCAGAACTGCCAGTTTCAGTTTGAAATGACAAAAAAATTCAACTTTGCCAAATACCACTACAAAGGTGGTCTTGTTCTTTCTGAAACATTTAATATCACATCTATTCTATTCACTCACCAGAGATGAACGGTTTATTTGAAAGCTGCAATAAGCTGCATCTACCTTTCTTATTCTCAATCTGCTAAATGACATCATTTTTTACTTTAGACATTCTAATAGGTATGTAGTGGCATCTCACTATTCAATGGCATTAAAGGTAATTTATTTCATTAAATTTTTTTAAGACAGAGCACAACCCTGTTTCAAAAAAAGTTTACTCATTTAGATCATGTACAGACATATCTGTTATAAATATGTATTCAAAAGAAAAAACTGAAGGCCTGCAGTTATAGGTTTCTGTGTGACCAAAAGTATAGATTTAAACTAGATAACCTCTTGACATCCTTTCAACAATGTGATTCTATGACCCCATAAAAATAAATTCCACTTAATATCACAGTCTCTATACACAACAGGCATACTACCTTAGACTTCTCAAGTTTAAGGATTTTCTAAGTGATGTCCTCATTCAGTTTTACACCCAGAGCTTTGCTAGTCACATGGCCATAAATAGCTGATCGTCTTTCTTCCTGCTTTCATAAATCTCCGATAAAGCATGTCATGGAGGAGCTCTCGTCATCCTGGTTAAAAACAACCTCTTCCCCTTTTTGACTGCCTTACTCGCCACTCTAGAAACCCACTTCAAAAGCCTGGCTCTTTTCACTTTGTTTCGTAGAGACAGGTCTCTCCGTTGCCCTGGCTGGTCTTGAACTCCTGATCTCAAGCAATCCTCCCACCTCAGTCTCCCAAAGCACTGGGATTACAGGTGTGAGTCACCACACCTGGCCCAAAAGCTTGGCTCTTTTGAGAGTGTTTTTATGGCTTATTTTGAAACTAAAACCGTATCTATTTTAGGGCCTGATGTGGACCCCTACCAAGTCTCTTAACTGACAGAATCAGTTATTCAGATGGCATCCCAGACTGCCCTCTAATTCACCCTCAATCACAAAAGGTAGTAAAGAGGAACAAAAATGGAGCCAAATGAAATGAACACTTTAGTGGCATTAGAGAGTCTCCTAGAAATTCCCACCTCATCTAAAGGACAGGACTGCTTCATATAGAAGAGATATAAATGAGCAAGAATGGCAGGTAGGTGGATGAAAAACAGTATTTCATCTGGCATAGGTGTGAATGCTTGGACTTGCTACTTCTAGTATAAACACATTCTGTTATTTGAAACTTAATTTCCCATCCTCAGTACCATGGCATTTCTTCACCAATAAAAGGCACTTAAAAAAGCAACAGGATGAAGTCTCTCTCCTCCAGGTTTAATGTAAGATTGTATTTCCAACCATGGTGATTTAGGCAGAGGGAACAGCAATTACAAGGGCACTGAGAGGGAAAAGGCCTGGTATTAGAGGAGCAGCAAGGGGGCTACCAGTATTGCTGGAGCACAGTGAGAAAGAGAGGGGAGTGAGAGCTGAGGTCCCAGAGGGAGACAGATCATAGGCCAATCTGAGGGCTTCAGCTTAGAAAGCCTTTGAGTGACATGATCTGATCTGGTTTCTTTTTACAGGATAATTTTGCCTACTGTGTTGAAAGTAGTAGACTGAAGAAGGCAAGGGTGCAGGGGGTGTAGCTAAGGAATTGAGGTGAGTGGTGATGGTGGCTTGGACCAGGGGGATAGTGAGAAGTGGCTGAAATCTAGACACACGTATTCTGAAGGTAGAGCCAACAGGATTTGCTGATGAACTAGATATTAGGTGTAAGAAAAGAACAAAAATCAAGGATGACTTCTAGGTTTTGGGTTAAGTAACTTAAAGGATGGACTGCCACTACTGAGATGGGGAAGACTGCTGGCGAAGCAGGTTTGGGGGAAGGCAGTAGAATCAAGGCTTATACATACTGAGTTTCAGATGGCTACTGAACATTCAAATGGAAATACCAAGTAGGCAGGTTAAGAATAGCAGTGGTTAGGGATAGATTACTCACCCATCCACACAACTACCTACCTACCCACTAATCCAACCACCTACCTACTGTATTTAAAGCCTCCAGATTGGGAGAGATCACCAAGGAATAAATGAGAAGCAGACAAAGAAAAAAAAAAGACCAAGGACTGAATCCCAAGGCATCTAATGTTAAGAGGTGGAGAGAGAGGGAAAAATGAGCAAAGACAACTCAGATGTAGGAGAAAAACCTACTGGAAGCCTGCTGGAAAAAGGTATTCAAGCTTTTCTCCCACCCCCCCAACAGTATTTTGCTCTCAGCCTTTGATTCTTTTAGCTGAGGCCCTAGACAACATGGTACATGGCTGTACCTTGTCTGAATTCATGTCTGACAGAAAGCATGAGATAACAAATGATTATCCTTATTTTAAGTTTTATTAGGTAGCAACAGATAACTCATCATTTTTCAATACATAAAAGTCAGCATCACCAACATAAGTCACATAAATATATACAAGAGCAATATTCTCTAGCTCTCAGGCTGATTAACACATCTGATAGTTCTTCATGGATTACTTCTAGTCAAAGTGTCTTTTAACCCTTTAAAGATTAACCCAGTCCTCTGGAAACATACTCAGCTATCTCAATGATCTCCATGTGAACCATCTCTTTCCCAACTCATCTTATCCTCACAAACAAAACATTTTAATTTAAATTAAAAAAATTAAAACTCTAAGAATAGCAAGGTCAGGTTTAAAAGCTGAAAATAAACTTGCATCAAAAGCAAAAACCTAACTGAAGCTCTGCCATCTGCCCCCAGAGACATCTTTGCTTTCATTTCCTTGTACCCAAGGAGAAGACAATATAGAACGGAATTTCAGCAATTCTAATTTTAACTTTTCTAAGCTCAAATATATCCCTTTAGAATTCTTGGGGGAAAGGATGGCTGTATCCTTAAGCACTTTAAATACTAACTTTTACAATTGCTCGATTGCTTCACATTTCTGCCCAGACTCTGGAAAAGATGATGGGGTTGTAAAAAAATTTTTTAAACTTTAGATAAAGTAAAAGTTTCCATGGCTTCCTTCCAGTCCCAATTCCTTCCCCAGAGGTAATCACTCTAATCAGTTTAATATTTTCCCTGCCAGATTCCACTCTATATATTTACATATATATGAACACACACAAATACGTTTTTGTACATTTTATTTTACCCAGATGGGATCATGCTTGCCAACTAACCTTATCTTCAACAAACATTTAACTATGTGTCTTACAGGACGCTCTATGTTGGGATATAAAGATTTCCTATATTATTTTTAAACTGCTGGATGGTAATAAAAAATACAAATGTGTCATATTTGACACAACCATTCTCCTATCGGTGGACATTTAGACTGTTTCTAATTTTTTGCTATTACAAATAAAGTTGTGATGAACCTCTTGTACATGTTTCTTTAAAAAAAATTTTTTTTTTAACTGGAGATGAAGTCTCGCTATGTTGCCTAGGCTGGCCTCAAACTCCTGGACTCAAATGATCCTCCCACCATGGCCTCCCAAAGTGCTGGGATTATAGGTGTGAGCCACCATGCCCAGCCTGTACATGCTTCTTTGTGCTCATAAATAAGCACTTCTCAGCATATGCTTAGAAGTGAAAGTGCTAGGGTGAGATATAACCAAAAGACACAGAAAGTTAGAAGATTTAGTCAATGTGTCCAAGCCTGTGGCAAGAGAGGAGAGATAGGGCTTTTCTAGGAAAACAGAGCTGGGACAGTAAAAAAAAAAAAGGGCTGGGATGGTAGAAAATGACAGCTGTAAGGCAGGGAAAACTCAAACCATGTTTTTTCTGTGCTCTCACACCAAACAATCAACACAGAAGGCTTCTGTAACAAAATGTGTGGAGGTTTTCCTCTCCCACACCAAGCAGGGATCAGTTCTGCAGTGGATGCCAGCAGGTTGTCATCCAACTCAATTCTGAATCTATCTACCGGAAGACAGCCCCAGAAACCAAGGTTGAGGGCTCAGTCCCACAACACCCTCCTTCCTACCAGTCACAAGTCCAGGCCTCTAGAACTTCTGACCAACTAGCTTCAAGTTGGGATTTCCATGACCCCCTATTTGGGCTCAATTGCTAAAGCAGCTCACATAACTCAGGGAAACTCACATTTACCAGTATATTACAATGAATATAAGCCATACAGATTAAGAGATGCACAGGGCGAGGTTGGGGGAAGCTGCACAGAGCTTCCATGGCTTCCCTGGGTGTGCTGTTCTCTAGGAACCTCCACGTGTTCAGTTACCCAGAAGCTCCCTGAACTCTGTCCTCTTAGGCCTTTTATGGAGACTTCATTGGATAGGCATGATTGGACAACCATGTTGAAATGTGATTGAACACAAAGGGTATGAGTTAATACTAATCGACTGAGTAGGAAAACCTAGCAAGGCCTGTTTGTTCAGATTCTTCTTGGCCTTTCTGTGCAGGATTTCTTCCTCTAACATATGGGGTATGACCTTCTCTGGAATGAGGATCTTGTGACCCATCATCATAAAGGCGGGGAAAGATTAGAGTCCTGCCTTGGGCAGGTAAAAGGAGGGCAGGAGAAAGTCAGAGACAGAGATTCTGTTTTCTGAGGCCTGCTCCTGAGGCCTAAAGTGCTCCAACATTATAACAAAAGACTGTTAACTCCAAAAGGCTATGACAGTTAGGAGCCAGGAACCTGAGACGAAAACATCTATATATATGTGTCAATATCACAACAGTAAAGAGAAACTTCTGTCTCCTTTTTAATAATTTACATGAACCTCCTAGTTCACTTCTGTATCCAATATTTGAAAATACTCTTGAAAAGCCCACAGTCAAGAAGGAGGGCTGTTAATAGGCGAAAACTCACACAAAAGGAAATATATCAAAATGTTACTAGTGGCGAGTATGAAAATTTTAAATTTTGTTCTTTTTACTTTTCTGCTCTTTTTTTTTTGGAGACGGAGTCTCGTATGGTTGCCTGGGCTGGAGTGCAGTGCTGTGATCTCGGCTCACTGCAACCTCCGCCTCCCGGGTTTAAAGCGATTCTCCTGCTTCAGGCTCCCAAGTAACTGGGATTACTGGCGCCTGCCACCACGCCCAGCTGATTTTTGTATTTTTAGAGATAGGGTTTCACCATGTTGGCCAGGCTAGTCTCAAACTCCTAACCTCGTGATCCGCCCACCTTGGCCTCCCAAAGTGCTGGGATTACAGGCGTGAGCCACTGCACCCAGCCTACTTTTCTGCTTTTAAAATGTTCACACTAGGCTGGGCACAGTGACTTAACGCCTGTAATCTCAGCACCCTGGGAGGCCAAAGTGGGTGGATTTCTTGAGCCCGGAGTTCGAGACCAGCCCGGTCAACATGGTGAAACCCCATTTCTACAAAAAATACAAGAAAATTAGCCAGGCGTGGTGGCATGCACTTGTGGTCCCAGCTACTCAGGAGGCTGAGGTGGGAGGATCACCTGAGCTCAGGAGGTCGAGGCTGCAGTGAGCTATGATCACACCACTCCATTCGAGCTTGGACAAAGTGAGACCCTGTCTCAAAATAAATAAATAAATAGTCCACATTAAATATACAGGAAAAACACACTTGAAATTTACATTACAATGAGATGGTGAAAAAAGCACTTACATATCAGCATGGAAAGTCATAAAAGCTTTGATAAAATGTAGTGACTAAGCTGAAAACCCAAAGAGGCGTCTCTAGGTGGCAAAAGGATAGGGCACGGTTTCTAGCAGGAGGGACAGGAGGGAACCGCATGCATTATGTCAGATGTGTGGGGTCCTGGAAAGCAGTTAGAATGACTGGCACATAGGGTCCAAGATAGCACAGACATCCTTAAGGTTATAATATGTGTTGTCTCAGGCCAGGCACGGTGGCTCACGCATGTGAACCTAGCACTCTGGGAGGCCGAGGCAGGTGGATTGCCTGAGCTCAGGAGTTCAAGACCAGCCTGGGCAACACAGTGAAACCCCATCTCTACTAAAATACAAAACACTAGCTGGGCGTGGTGGTGCGCACCTGTAATCCCAGCTACTCAAGAGGCTGAGACAGGAGAATCGCTTGAACCTGGGAGGCAGAGATTGCAGTGAGCCGAGATCGTACCACTGCACTCCAGCCTGGGCAACAGAGCGAGACTCCATCTCAAAAATAATAATAATAATAAAATAATAATAATAACGTGTTGTCTCCTTCATCATTAATAGAATTAGTTTTAAAATCTTGGCTAATGTAGTAAGAGCAAGATACCAGCTTGCTTTAATTTGCATTCATCTGATAATCAGTGAGGTATAATATATATATTTTTCGCTTATTATTTCTTCTCTGCTTAGAAGTGGCAAATCTCAGGGAAGATCGACCACCACTATCTTTCCCAATCCATTCCATGGGTATGCAAGTCACTGAGCAGTACTACACTCTCACCAAGGCGCCCAGGTACTAGAACCTCCTCAAGTGACATGAGCATCAGGAAGCACACAGCATACCTATGTGCAACTCACCAAAAATATTTATCCTAAATCTAATCAAGCCTCCAAACCTGGGCTGTTCAAAACGGTGAACATGATATACATGTAGCTACTGAGCACTTGAAATGTGGCTAGTGTAACTAAGAAACTGAATTTTGTATTTATTTAATTTTAATTAGTTTGTTTTTGTTGTTGTTGTTTTACCGCTTCTTGTGAAGCAGAACTATCCCATAGGCAGTGTGCCCAGAAAGCCTTAATTAGTTTAACTAGCCACGTAAGGCAGCTAGTGGATGCCATACGGAACAACGAAGATATAGAACTTTTCCTTCACTTCAGAAAGTTCTATTGGATGGCACTGTTTTAGACTAAGTTGCTGGAAATACAGAGGATGGGGAAACAAGTTAAAGGAAACCAGGAAGAAACAATCAAACAAAACCAGGATGTGAGGCATTTTATAAGACAACTACCCTGGACTCTTTTTTTTTTTTTTGAGATGGAGTTTCGCTCTGTCGCCCAGGCTGGAGTGCAGTGGCACGATTTCAGCTCACTGCAACCTCCGCCTCCCGGGTTCACGCCATTCTCCTGCCTCAGCCTCCCGAGTAGCTGGGCTATAGGCACCCGCCACCACGCACAGCTAATTTTTTGTATTTTTAGTAGAGACGGGGTTTCACTGTGTTAGCCAGGATGGTCTTGATCTCCTGACCTTGTGATCCGCCCACCTTGGCCTCCCAAAGTACTGGGACTACAGGCATGAGCCACTGCGCCCGGTCACTGGACTCTTATAAAACAGTCAGTATCTTTGGGGACAGGCATATGGGAAGAATGGAAATACAGTTCTATGATAAAACAGCCTAAAAAGACATACAAGCAACAGTAATGTGTGAACCTAGGTTAAGGCCTAGTGAGGAAACAAATATAACAAACATTTCATGATAACTGGGGACATTTGAATATAGAGTCAATACTGGATAATATCATGGAATTATTACAAATTTCTTTAGATGTGACAATGGTATGTGGTTATGTAGGAGACTGGCCTTATTCCAAAGAGATGCATGCTACTATTCACAATAGCAAAGAGGTGGAATCAACCCAAGTGCCCATCAATAGTGGACTGGATAAAGAAAGTGTACATATACAAAATGGAATACTATGCAGCCATAACAAAGAACGAAATAATGTCCTTTGCAGCAACATGGTTACAGCTGGAGCCCATTATCCTAAGCAAATTAACACAGAAACAGAAAACCAAATACTGCATGTTCTCACTTATGAGTGGGAGTTAAACACTGGGTACACATGTACACAAAGATGGGAACAATAAACACTGGGGATTCTAAAAGTGGGGAGGGGGGAAGTTGAAAAACAACCCATCAGGTATTATGTTTGCTATTTGGGTGACAGGGTCATTAGAAGCCAAAACCTCAGCAACATGCAATATACCCATGTGCACATGTATCCCCCAAATCTAAATTTTAAAATGGAAAGAAGGAAAGAGAGGGAGGAAGGGTGGGCGGGCACAAAGAAAGACGGGCTGGGCACAGTGGCCCATAATCCCAGCACTTTGGGAGGCCAAGGCATGTGTATCTCTTGAACCCAGGATTTCAAGACCAGCCTGGGAAACATGGTGAAACTCCATCTCTACAAAAAATACAAAAATTAGCTGGGTGTGGTGGCTTGTGCCTGTAGTCCCAGCTACTCAGGAGGTTAACGTGGGAGGACTGCTTGAGCCTGGGCGGTAGACGTGACAGTAAGCAGAGATTGCACCACTGTACTCCAGCCTGGGTAACACAAGGAGATCCTGTCTCAAAAAAAAAGAGAAAAGAAACAAGAAACAAAGAAGAGAAGCGAAGCGAAGCGAAGAGAAGAGAAAAAAGAGAAAAGGAAAAGAAATACATGCTAAAGAATAGAATTTAGGAGTGATGTGTCACACTATCTACAACTTTACATTCAAATGGAATAGCCAAAAAAGTAACAATATAGAAAGATAAAGCGAGTACGCAAAAGGTCAAAAGATGTTGTATTTAGAAGAAGGTATAGTGTTTATTGTACTATTTTTGAATTTTTCTTGTATGCTTGAAAATTTTCATGACTGAAAAGTTCAGAAAAATAATTAGCCATGGAATTAGGGTAATATATAATCTTCTTTGCGCTGTCTTTTCATTCTACTAGGAACACGTATTATTTTTATGAACAGAAAAAAATGGTAAGCTATAGTGGGCACTAGCTTAATCAAGTGATCAAACTTGGCTACACTAATACACTAATAGCATCACTAAGTGCTTACCAGGAGCACTTAAAAGCCTTCAGAATGGGCTGGGCGTGGTGGTTCATGCCTGTAATCCCAGTATTTTGGGAGGTGGAGGTGCACAGATCACCTGAGGTCAGGAGTTTGAGACCAGCCTGGCCAACACGGGAAACCCCGTCTCTACTAAAGATACAAAATTAACCTGGCATGGTGGCACACACCTCTAATCCCAGCTACTCAGGAGACTGTGAGGCAGAAGAATGGCTTGAACCCAGGAGGCAGAGGTTGCAGTGAGCTGAGATCACACCACTGCACTCCAGCATGGGCGACAGAGCAAGACTACGCTTCCAAAAAAAAAAAAAAGCCTTCAGAATAAGAGCCTTGTTTAGATCATATAATTGTTATTGTTGCTGTTTTTGAGATAGGGTCTCACTTGTGCCCAGGACAGAGTGCAGTGGCATGATCATAGCTCACTGTAATCTTGACTTCCTGGCCTCAAGTGATCCTCCTGCCTTGGCCTCCCAAAGTATTGGGATTACAGGCATAAGCCACTGCACCCAGCATGTCTCCATTTTTAGGGTTAAAACTTTACAAATCACTCTAATGGTCTTAGTCAAAAGCACCTATATATTTAAAACTAAAATGGTCACTAACACAAATATGTAATAACATTATGAATACCACTTTTTATATAGTCAATAGTATCTACCATGAATTTTTGCAAACACCAGAATGACAGAGCCACTAAAAAGTCAATCATCTTAAGGATGACTCTAGAAGTAATCAAGGTAATAACCCAGAGGCAGCCATTTACCATTTAGTAACAGCCTCAGAGCAGAGACGCTTCTCTGAAAAGAGAGAGAGGCGGTTCTACTAGGAATATGGCTGTGGGGCCAGTGTTGAATTACACTCGGCCACGTGAGCACAGAGCAAAAGCTGAGCACAGGAATCATCACAATTGCAACTCAGCCAGGCCCTTCACTGGAGGCTATGTCTATGCCAAGGCTTGCCTTCATCCCCGAACTGTAACTGAGAAGGAAGGCCCTTTCTAAGTTCTCAGCTGCCAGAAACAGGAGATTCAATACCGATTTACTTAAGGGCCTGAAAGGTAATGCCAGAGATCTATGGGATTCATTCTGTCTTCTAATGTAAAACTGCCTCACACCACCTTCTACATTAAAACATGATATGCTTTCACTGATTACTTTATATAATGAATTTTTTTTTCTTTTTTCTTTTTTAAAGAGACAGGGTCTCGATCTGTTGCCCATAGCTTGCTGCAGCCTCAAACTCCTGGGCTTAAGCGATCCTCCCTCCTCAGCCTCCTGAGTAGATGGAACTATAAGTGCAAGCCACCATGTCTGGTTCCTTTTTAAAAACTTTTTGTAGAGATAAGGTCTCCCTTTGTTGCCTAGGCTGGTCTCAAATTCCTGGGCTCAAGTGATCCTCCCACCTGGGCTTCTCAAAGTGCTGGGATTATAGGCGTGAGCCACTGCACCCAGACAAAATTATTTTGCTAAGGATAAGCTTTTAACTTCTTTTGCTGTATTTTTGTGTATGAGTTTTCCTAGGAGGGCGGAATAAAGATGCTTCCTCACACAAAAATATATGTTCATGTTAGGTGAACAAAGGTTTTCCTGAAATTTTTACTACGGAGCCACATTTCCCACTAAATCCTTTAAAAAGAATAAATTATCAGAATAAGATCCTCACATATAATGTACTAAGACATGATGATTCTTATATATTGTAGTGCTGTGACCAAAGGAGATAAAAATATCTGTCTTCTTATCAAGTAAAAATAAAGACACGGTAGTGCTGACAGACATGGCAATGTTGACAAACATACAATCTGTCTTAGGGAAAGTGGCATCTGTCACATCACCGTCCTTTGTAGCTTCCAGCTCAGGAACTTGAATATAGCTGGTATATATATAATAAGTACTTACGCTTATTTTCTCAACTTTTCATTTTGAAAAATGTCAAACATACAGAAAAATTATTTGCCTATTTTAGTTCTGATTTTAAAGATAAAGCCATAGGCCATAGGCCATACATGTACATTGTTATTAGGAATTCATGTTCATGTGATTTAAAATCCTTAAAAAATTAAATAATGGAAGTTCGAGAATGCCATCTACATAAAGCCTGCTTTTAAACAAACGGGAGCAACTCATGGTCTCTCCTGACTTTTTACATCTAGATACACTTTCTAATTTTAAGAATTTACATCTAGATAATTTTAGCAAACTACATCTAGCTACACTTTCTAATTTTAACATTTTTATTTAACAGTAAAATATTCCCAAGGTTAAAAACCTTTATTTGCTTTCGGAGACAAAAAAACAAAAACTATCTTCTAAGAGGTTGGAGTTTATCAATTT
This sequence comes from Homo sapiens, assembly GCF_000001405.40. Taxonomy (NCBI): domain Eukaryota; kingdom Metazoa; phylum Chordata; class Mammalia; order Primates; family Hominidae; genus Homo; species Homo sapiens. Next base: position 34,326,391 of record NC_000006.12, read on the forward strand.
ACAGTTTAAAATAAAGTTAAAATTCGGAACACAGCTCATTCATTTAATTAACACATACTTTGGTTGTTTTTCACTATGAGCCTTTCAGTCCTACTACTGTTGGTCTTTTTAATCCATATGCAGACATTACTCTAACATTTTTAAAAGCCAATTTTTCAAATTAGTTGCCCACATTGAAAGATCAGAAGATCTTACATGATAATCCAGCTTTTTTTTTTTCTTTTTTTTGACACGGAGTCTTGCTCTGCTGCCCAGGCTGGAGTGCAGTGGCGTGATCTCAGCTCACTGCAACCTCTGCCTCCTAGGTTCAAGCAATTCTCCTGCCTCAGCCTCCCGACTAACTGGGATTATAGGCACCCGCCACCATGCCCAGCTAATTTTCGTGTTTTTAGTAGAGACAGGGTTTCACCATGTTGGTCAGGCTGGTTTCGAACCCCTAACCTCAGGTGATCCACCCGCCGTGGCCTCCCAAAGTGCTGGGATTACAGGCGTGAAATGTAGGGTCCCGCCCTACGGGGCTTGACGGGTGTTCTCCCCGTGTGTGGAGACGAGAGAGAGATCGTACGAAATAAAGACACAGGACAAAGAGATAAAGAGAAAACAGCTGGGCCCGGGGGGACTACTACCACCAAGACGCGGAGACCGGTAGTGGCCCTGAATGGCTGGGTGCACTGATATTTATTGTATACAAAACAAGGGGGCAGGGTAAGGAGGGTGAGTCATCCAAATGATTGATAAGGTCAAGCAAGTCACATGATCATAGGACAGGGGGCCCTTCCCTTATAGGTAGCCGAAACAGAGAGGGAAGGCAGCATACGTCAGCGTTTTCTTCTACGCACTTATCAGAAAGATCAAAGACAGGCCGGGCGCGGTGGCTCACCTGTAATCCCAGCACTTTGGGAGGCCGAGGCGGGTGGATCACGAGGTCAAGAGATCGAGACCATCCTGGCCAACATGGTGAAACCCTGTCTCTACTAAAAATACAAAAAATTAGCTGGGCATGGTAGTGCGCACCTGTATTCCCAGCTACTTGGGAGGCTGAGACAGGAAAATCGCTTGAACCTGGGAGGTGGAGGTTGCAGTGAGCTGAGATCGTGCCACTGCACTCCAGCCTAGCAATAGGGCGAGACTCCGCCTCAAAAAAAAAAAAAAAAGAAAGAAAGATCAAAGATTTTAAGACTTTAACTATTTCTTTTACCGCTATCTTCTAAGAACTTCAAAAAGGAACCAGGAGTATGGGAGGAACATGAAAGTGGACAAGGAGCGTGACCACTGAAGCACAGCACTACAGAGAGGGGTTTAAGCTTCCAGATGACTGTGGGCAGGCCTGGATAATATCCAACCTCCCACAAGAAGCAGGTGAAGCAGAGTGTTCCCTGACTCCTCCAAGGAAAGGGAGACTTCCTTTCACAGTCTGCTAAGTAACTGGTGTCTTCCCAGGCGCTGGCATTACCGCTTGACCAAGGAGCCCTCAAGCGGCCCTTATGTGGGTGTGACAGAGGGCTCACCTCTTGCCTTCTTGGTCACTGCTCACGATGTCCCTTCAGCACCTGACCCTGTACCTGCCAGTTATTCCTTGGTTATATTAGTAATACAACAAAGAGTAATATTAAAAGCTAATGATTAATAATGTTTATGCTAATGATTGATAATGTCCATGATCATCTCTATATCTAATTTGTATGATAACTATTCTTATTCTAACTACTTTCTTTATTATACTGAAACAGTTTGTGCCTTCAGTCTCTTGCCTCGGCACCTGGGTAATCTTCCGCCCACAGTGAACCACCACGCCCGGCCAAGAATCCAGCTTTCAAGTTTCTCTTGAAACATCAGAGGATCTGATCACACTGGGTCTTCCCCTTACCCCCATCTTTATTTAGGTCTAACTGACAAATAAAAATTATATACATTTACGGTGTACTGCATGACGTTTTGATGTATGTATACACATTGGGACTTAACTACCACTAGTGTATTAGTGTAGCCAAGTTTTATCACTTGATTAAGCTAGCGCCCACTCCACTATAGCTTACCATTTTTTTCTGATTATAAAAATAATACATGTTCCTAGTAGAATGAAAAAACGGAAAGTACAAAGAAGATTGCATATTATCCTAATTCAAGCATCTGTGTATACTTTTTTTGTTGTTAACAAGGTCTTGATCTGTAACCCAGGCTGGAATGCACTGGTGCAATCACAGCTCACTGCAGCCTTGATGCTAGGCTCAAGCAATCCTCCCTCCTCTGCCTCCCAAGTAGCTGGGACTACAGCTGTACCCACCTTGTCAGAGGTGTACTTACTGTCAACTGCCTGTCCCCTTCCTGACAAGTTTATGAGCCGGAGACCCCTGACCATATTAATTCCTCATAATTCCCCAAACTGCTATACTTATGTTGAAATGATCAAAAGTATCCTTAATATATTATTCATAAAGTTTTGCTACTAAATGATATATAATTTTGTGATTAAAGTTCTGGGTTTTAAAAATGCATGTTATTTCTCTGATAAATCCTATGATAGCCTACACTCCACTTTCTATTCACAACTGCTCAGGCTGGGTAAAAGGTACAGATGAAAATACAACACAGTCATACTGTGCCTTCACTTTTTTTCCCCCACTCCAGAGCCAAACATTAATGAACTAAAAAACTGGTGACAATGAATATCTTAAATTACTCCCAAGTAGTCACAGATTTTTTAAGTGTTCTACTCTTGTATAACATGAAACATGAAATTCTGCTTTCCTGTTAGAGACTGTTCTGAGATACCATATGGAGCCTTCTGGTTGCTCTGTGTGTGTTGTGTATATATATAGAGAGATATACATAAAAATACATATATACATAGATATACACACATATACACAAATATATATATAAAAAAGAGAACAACCATTTTTTTTTGAGATGAAGTCTCGCTCTTATCCCCCAGGCTGGGGTGCAATGGCGCGATCTCAGCTCACTGCAACTTCCACTGCCCGGGTTCAAGCGATTCTCCTGCCTCAGCCTCCCGAGTAGCTGGGATTACAGGCGCCTGCCACCACGCCTGGCTAATTTTTGTATTTTTAGTAGAGATGGGGTTTCACCATGTTGGCCAGGCTGGTCACGAACTCCTGACCTCAGGTGATCCGCCTGCCTTGGCCTCCCAAAGTGCTGAGATTACAGGCGTGAACCACCGTGCCCAGTCAAGAACAACCATTCTTTTGCAGGGACAGGGAATACATGGTACAGGAATTAGGATGAGAAGATACTTAAAAAAAAATTTTTTTTTATTATACTTTAAGTTCTAGGGTACATGTGCACAACTTGCAGGTTTGTTACATATGTATACATGTGCCATGTTGGTGTGCTGCACCCATTAACTCCTCATTTACATTAGGTATATCTCCTAATGCTATCCCTCCCCCAACCCCACCCCATGGCAGGCCCTGGTGTGTGATGTTCCGCACCCTGTGTCCAAGTGTTCTCATTGTTCAATTCCCACCCATGAGTGATAACATGTGGTGTTTGGTTTTCTGTCCTTGTGACAGTTTGCTCAGAATGATGGTTTCCAGCTTCATCCATGTCCCTACAAAGGACATGAACTCATCCTTTTTTATGGCTGCATAGTATTCCACAGTGCCTATGTGCCACATTTTCTTAATCCAGTCTATCATTGACGGACATTTGGATTGGTTCCAAGTCTTTGCTATTGTGAATAGTGCTGCAATAAACATACGTGTGCATGTGTCTTTATAGCAGCATGATTTATAATCCTTTGGGTATATACCCAGTAATGGGATGGCTGGATCAAATGGTATTTCTAGTTCTAGATCCTTGAAGAATCACCATGCTGTCTTCCACAATGGTTAAACTAATTTACAGTCCCACCAACAGTGTAAAAGTGTTCCTATTTCACCACATCCTCTCTAGTACCTGTTGTTTCCTGACTTTTTGATGATCGCCATTCTAACTGGTGTGAGATGGTACCTCATTGTGGTTTTGATTTGCATTTCTCTGATGGCCAGTGATGATGAGCATTTTTTCATGTGTCTGTTGGCTGCGTAAATGTAGAAGATACACATTTTTTAAATAAAGTTCACTATGGCATTTTCCATATTCTTATTAGAAAATAAAAATGGTGCTGGGCATGGTGGCTCGTGCCTATAATCCTAGCACTTTTGGAGGCCAAGGTGGACAGATTGCTTGAATTCAGGAGTTTGAGACCAGCCTGGGCAACATGGTGGAACCCCAGCTCTACAAAAAATACAAAAATTAGCTGGGTGTGGTGGTGCATGCTTACTTGTAGTCCCAGCTACTCAGGAGGCCAAGGTGCGAGGATCACTTGAGCCAGGGAGGTGGAGGTGGCAGTGAGCTGAGATCACACCACTGCACTCCAACCTAAGCAACAGAGCAAGACTCTGTCTCCAAAAAGAAAAAAAGAAAAAGAAAAGAAAATACAAATGGAATCAAGAGGAGTTAAAATAACTTCTTTTTTTTGAGATGGAGTTTCACTGTGATGCCCAGGCTGGAGTGCAATGGCACGATCTTGGCTCACTGCAACCTCTGCTTTCCAGGTTCAAGCAATTCTCCTGCCTCAGCCTCCTGAGTAGCTGGGACTACAGGCACATGCTACCACGCCCAGCTAATTTTTGTACTTTTAGTAGAGATGGGGTTTCACCATATTGGCCAGGCTAGTCTCGAACTCCTGACCTCAAGTGATCCACCCACCTTGGGCTCCCAAAGTGCTGGGATAATAAGGGTGAGCCACCGCACCTGGCCTAAAATAACTTCTTGATAGACTGCGGATAGATTAACAAGGCTAGAGATAATTGAGCAGCTCTGAACTCTTGCGGTGCCATTAGGAAGGCAACCTCAATTATTCTACATTAAGGTATTTAGACTTTCAAACTTTCTTTTTTTTTTTTTTTTCCAAACTTTCTTTTTAAGTTGTCCATGACCTGCTGGATTTTTCTTTTTTCTTTTACAACTTTCTTTAATGAAGGTTAATTAAGTAAAACATGCTGTGGAATTTTTATTTTATGTATGACACTGTACATACTAACTTGTACAAAAACTTGAAGGAGGGCAGCAAAGATACAGGGAAATCTAAGCAGATATCACCAACCTGAAGATGGACTGTTTCTATGGCAAAGCAACAGGTGGCATGAGCCAGAGGAGTAGCACAGAAGTACTATTAGGATAGAAGTGAGGAAGTCACAGAGAACTAACCACACTTTTTAAAAAAGCAATGGCTGTGTCACAAACTATCAGGGTGACTACAAATACAGTCGGCCCTCCGTATTTGTGCACTACACGTCTGTGGATTCAACCAACTGCAGATCAAGAATTTTTTTAAAAATTGTATCTGTACTGAACACGTACCGACTTTGTTCCCTTGTATTTCCTAAACAATATAGTATAACTACAGTTGATCCTTGAATAATGTTGATCCTTGAACAAGTTGGTAGGGTGCCAACTCCCACGCAGTCAAACATCTGTGTATACTTTTTTTTTGTTAACAGACAGGGTCTTGATCTGTCACCCAGGCTGGAATGCACTGGCACAATCATGGCTCACTGCAGCCTTGATGCTGGGCTCAAGCAATCCTCCCTCCTCAGCCTCCCAAGTAACTGGGACTACAGGTATGTGTCAACACGCCCAACTAATTTTTTTTAAAATTTTTTGTTTTTTGTAGTGATACGGTCTCACTATGTTGCCCAGGCTGTTCTCAAACTCCTAACCTCTAGCCACCATGTCCGGTGGGTATATAATTTTTGACTCTCCCAAAACTTAACTACTAATAATCTACTACTGACCAGCAGCCTTACCAATAACAGTTGATTAACATATATTCTGTATGTTGTGTGTATTATTTACTATACTCTTATATTAAAGCTAGAAAAAGAAAATGTTATTAAGAAAACCATAAGGAAGAGAAAATATATTTACTGTTCATTAGGTGGAAGTGGAGCCCAGTAAAGGTTTTTTCCTCGTCATCTTCACATTGAGTAGGCTAAGGAAGAGGAGGAGGAAGAGGAGGGGTTGGTCTTGCTGTCTCAGGGGCCACCTCAGAGGCAGAAGTGAAGGAGGTAAAAGAGGAAGCAGGAAAGGCAGGCACACTCAGTATAATGGTGTAACTTTTACTGGAAAAAAATCCACATATAAATGAACCCGTGCAGTTCAATCCCCTGTTGTTTAAGGGTCAACTGTATTTACATAGTGTTTACATTGCATGAGGTAGCATAAGCAATCTACAAATGATCTAAAGTATATGGGAGGATATGTGTAGGTCATATGCAAATACTCTGCCACTTTATATAAGGCGCTTGAGCATCGGCAGATTTTTATATCCATCAGGGGTCCTGAAACCAATACCAAGGAATGGCTATACTGTAGGCACATAATTTTCTCCTCCTGTTTCTGTTTTTGGATGTTCTCTATTCTTGTGATAATACTCTTGGGATGGCTGAGGTGAGAAAAGGTAAAGGAAATGGGAATGTAAGACGAAGAGAAGACAGAACGGTTTCAGACACAGCTTCCCTTTTTTCCCCTGTCAGACAAGAGTTTTACCTTTCCCACTGAATTAGCAAGAAAGAATAGCTCTGAGATCATACAAAGAGGTGCTTTTCTTTTTTATTACAGAAAGACTATCACATGGCTGGCTCACACAGCTTCTGCTGCCCTAGTCTAAAGAGGCACTGTTACTAAAGCCCATGGCAGGCCATGGGAGCAAGCCTGTTCCCCTAACCCTGTAAGGGGTCACTCTAAAAGGATTTTGACCACAAGCAGCTAAAAAAAGGAAGCTAATTTGCAAAAGGGAATATTTTAGCCCTCCCCTTACATGTGATTGCTAATGTGTCAAATGCTTCAGATTTATCTGTTTCTGAAATTCAGCCAATATGCTAAAATTTTTAAGCTGGGCTGAACAAAGCTTTAGAACAGGTGGAATTTAATGAGACCTAGGACTGACAATGCCATGATAAACTACTGAATAATCTCAATCCTTTCATGTTTATATAAAAACTTTTTCTAGTAACAAAAGAAACATACACTCAATGCAGAGAACTTGATAACCTATGAACTAACAAAGATAACCACTGCAAACATTTTGGTGGACATCTTTCAAGGAGCCATAGCATTAGGAGTGTCGGGGACGAAAGATGTCCTGGATTCAAATCTTACCTTGAGCATATTAGGCTGGACCCAACTTGTTGGGGCAAATCACTCAACCTCAGCCTTTTCTCTCCTGTAAAATGTAGATAATAACAGTTCCTACTACATACACAGGACCTTTGGAAAAGGTGCTGCAGATGGTACTTAACCATGGGTTGCCATGCTTTTATAGCACATGACTTCACTACTCTGAGCACAGCTAAGAGAATTAAAAATCAGCAACTGATGCAAAGGTAAGGTAGACATTTTCAAAATAGCCAGAAGCTGATGATGTGACCTGGCAGCTCTGCCCAAAGGGGCATACTACATGAAGTTGTCACTAGGCAAAACCAATCAGGTCCTCTCTTAGGAAGGCTGAATACAGAGTCAACAGACACGTAAGTTTTGCATAAGACAGGAAAAACACAAAATAAAAGCAGTAAGCTAAGAGGCTGAGAAGAGATGAGATAGGCAGGTCCTCCGCAGTGGAAGAGGGGGGCTGAGCCATTGGCGCGTGACCAGGCTCCTTGAGCCACTCTGCATTTCCACTGTTGTTCCACCTGTCACGAGTGATGCCTGCCGGTGCACTGTGACCCAAGTTTCCAGCTTTGTACAGCCTTGGCTGGGCAGTTGCTGTGACAATGTCATGTTCTTCCTCACTTAACTGAGGCATTTGGAGAGTATGTCTATTTCTGACAACCTAAAAGGGCACATTGCAGTTGCATTTCTGTAGCTGTTCTAACAGTGAGGTCAATAATTGTAGCACTCTATTAAGCACTTGAGATATGTGTTGAGCACTGGAGATTCGACAATGAGCAAGAAAAAATGGGACCAGGGGCGGTGGCTCACACCTGTAATCCCAGCACTTTGGGAGGCCGAGGCAGGTGGATCACCTGAGGTGAGGAGTTAAGAGACCAGCCTGACCAACATGGTGAAACCCCGTCTCTACTAAAAATACGAAACTAGCCGGGCATGGTAGTGCACACCTATAATCCCAGCTATCTGGGAGGCTGAGGCAGGAGAATCATTTGAACCCAGGAGGCGGAGGTTGCAGTGAGCCAAGATCGTGCACTCCAGCATGGGCGACAACAGTGAAACTCCATCTCAAAAAAAGAAAAAAGAAAAAATGGGGACCAAGTACAACGGCCTACACCTGTAATCCCAGCACTTTGGGAAGCTGAGGGAGGAGGGGCTGGAAGCTAGGAGACCCTCGGCAACATAGCAAGACACTGTCTCTAATAAATAATAATAATAAATTAGCCAGGCATGGTGGCATGCACCGGTAGTCCCAGCTACTCAGGGGGCTGAGGAAGGAAGATTGCTTGAGCCCAGGAGTTTGAGGTTACAGTGAACTATGACCATATCACTGCACTCTAGCCTGAGAAGAAAAGAAAAAGAAAAAAAAAAAGGAAAAGGAAAAGAGGAAAGAGAGAGAAAGAGGGAGAGAAAGAAAGAGAGAGAAGAGAGAGAGAGGAAGGAAGGAAGACTACACAGAGTATAAAGTCTAGCACAAAAGACAGTAATTAAACAAGCAACATCAATAAAGCATGAACAATACCACAGTACTAGAAATACAGACTGCAATGGAAACATACAGCATGAGTGAACCTACTAGAAGGAATCACAAAGATTTCATGAATGAAGTAACCTTCATGTTGATGGACTAAATTTGCTATGTTGATTCATGCTGTGTGAACTCCATGACCCCCAGCCTTGTGATGTTATGGAGTTTTGATGAAGCAAAAGTGAACGGGGTCAGTGTGGCCTATCAGGTCACCTAAGAGTCGTGGCCTCATTTAATAGGAAGGCTCAGTTTCTTCAACAGGTAAGCATCTTTCAATCCTAGAAACATTTAGAATTAAATATAAAAATGTTTAAGGGAATCAATAAATATTTTATAATTTATAATATTTTACGTCTTAAATATTATAATGTTTATTACCACAGAAGTATTTTTGTGTTAAGGAGACCAAACATAATCTAAGATTTTGTAATGCTTACAAGAATGTTACTTATTCTGGCTGGCAGTCTTGTGGCCTCAAATTTTAAAAATATAGTTGAATAATTTATTTCTGACTCATGATTTTAAGTTAAAAATCTTAAGAAGCTTATATATAGCATGGGAATATTTAAAGACTCTAAAACATCTTATTTCTAAGTGTAATATGTGAGACTTACAGGAGTTTGTAAAAAAAAAAAGTGTTTTTTTCTTTGAAAATGCTGTGTTTTTTTTTTTTGTTTTTTAAGATGAGGTCTTGCTACGTTGCCCTGGCTGGTCTTAAACTCCTGGGCTCACGTGATCCTCCTGCCTCAGCCTCCCCAGTAGCTGGGACTACAGGCCCATACCACCAGGCCTGGCTATAAATGTTTTTATTATTAATTTTTATTGACACATAATAATTTTAAGTATTTATGGAGTACAGTGACATTTTGCTACATGTATACAATATATAATGATAAATCTGGTTGGGTATAATATGGCTGTAATCCCAGCATTTTGGGAGGCCGAGGCGGGTGGACTGCCTAAGGTCAGGAGTTTTAGACCAGCCTGGCCAACATGATGAAACCCCGTCTCTACTAAAAATACAAAAATTAGCTGGGCATGGTGGTGGGCATCTGTAATCCCCGCTACTTGGGAGGCTGAGGCAGGAGAATCGCTTGAAACCCAGAGGCGGAGGTTGCAGTGAGCACTCCAGCCTGGATGACAGAGCGAGACTCCATCTCAAAACAAACAAACAAACAAACAAACAAAAGGTTATATACACATTTGAGTGGGGTGGGGGAGTTTGGGAGGGGTGTTGCTGCTCCTAATCCCTGCCTTGTTCAATGTATTTTTTGGCCATTTGTCTTCTTTTGAGAAAAGTTTATTCACATCATTTGCACATTTAATACTAGATTCTTTTTTTTGCTGTTGAATTCTTTGTATATACTGAATAGTAATCCCTTGTTGAATGAGTATTTTGCATATATTTTCTCCCATTCTGTAGACTGTCTCTTCACTGTTGATTGTTTCCTTTGCTGTGCGGAAGGTTTTTAGTTTGATACAATCCAATCTGTCTAAATTTGCTTTTGTTACCTGTGCTTTTGAGGTCTTACCTATAAAATCTTTGTCCAGACCAATGTCCTAAAGTGCTTCCCCCTGTGTTTACTTGTAGTAGTTTTTCACAAGACTTTTTTTCATTGAAGAGCTTTATAAAGTTTTTTTTTTAAGTAGGACAACTGAAGTTCTTTAAAAAAAAAATCAAATATATTAAACGTATAAATGCAATCTGAAACATCTGAAGGTTTTCAACTAATTGGTATAGAGGTATTATCCACAGAGCCCCTCAAAAAGTGGCTATTAAAATCTCCTACATTTACAAATAAAAAATCAGATCTGAAAGCATAAACATCTTGAAAACTAAGTGAATCTCTAAACAGTGCTTTGTTTACAAAAGCTTCCCTTCAAGGACAATAAAAAACATCTATCAACATTTCAAGTCTCCGATTTCAAGTCTAATTCTCTGTTGATAAAACTGGAAAATCCACTTCTTTCATTCTGTTTTGATGGAAGCCACTGAACTGTTTCTGTAATGACATGTTCTCTTATTTTTATTGTTTGTACATTTTATTTGGATACTTATTCTAAAGTTCAAAGCAGTTCACAGACATTTCTTTATCCTCTCAATAATGCTGGAATAAAATATGAGATATGATGATATGATTCTCCTCTGACTGCAGAAAAAAAATTAGCTCAAAGTCAGGAAGGATTCTTTAAGGCTGAGAACGGCAGGCAGAGCATGCCTGCAGTCAGAAAAGAATCACATCATCATATCCCATACTTTATTCCAGTATTATTAAGAGAATAAAGTTTCACGATCAGGATTCCTTCAAGACAGGAGCTAGGTAAGATACTAAACATGAGGAGTGTAGTTTAATTATCTGTGCTGGATCTTTCACTTCCTTGCTTCAAGATTATTTTACTCCTATTTCACACTATTCTCCCTTTTACCTATAGAAGGATAGTATGCAATTTCCAGGAAACAAAAGTACAATACCCTATATCCTTCCTACTCCCTCAATGCATTTCCTGTTGCAAACATCTGGTTTTCTATATCTTAGCTGCACTTGTATAACCCAGGGACAACTCAACTGTAACACTCAAAAACAGAACAGCAACAGTGACAACAAATAAGGTGAGCTTTCCTGAAACAGACACAAATTCCAAATGTGCTCTACAAAAGTAGAACTGCCAGAGATATTCCAACCACAACTCCCAAAACCAAGTATCAAGTCTTTGCACAAGGTCTTTGAACTTTTTCCTCTCTCTCTATTCCAGAACCATCACTCCATTTCAGGTCTTGTAATAATCTGTCTGAATACACAACTGCATGGTCACTCTCAAACACCATTTTTGCCTTAAGCACCTTAGAACCTACAGAAGCCAACTGGATTTAAATCAAAATTATTCAGTTTAGGCCCACCAACTGGCCCTACCACACTTATTTGAACAGTCAAACTCTCAGTTCCTACAGAAAGAGTCAGGCAAAGGTTCTGGTGCCCTCAGGCCTAGGGATGCAAAGTACACAATCATACCTGCCCTTCAGGGTGTGCCTACACCCTTCTAATTCCACATTATCCCAGGTCTGACAGGAAAGTGGGAAACCAATTCTGCTTCAGAGTAAAGAAAAGCTCACTAGCTACTTCATCCCTCCTCTATCTAGTCTCCCTTATGTGGGGATAACATATATAAGACCATCATCACACTACCTACTGCATCCCCAAAGTCCCTCCAAAATGGGAAAATCTTAAATGAGCAGGTCTATAACCATCCAGACATTCTCCTAGGAGCCAGTCTTTTGTGCCAGAGTTAGCTACTCTGCCAACAAGCCCCCGGCATGCCGTACAAACTGTTCCCTCAAAGTTTAATTTTCAAATTATAGTTTCCTATTAACTCTGTATTCTTGGTGAGATGTTAAGCTTATGTGATGATGGCAAAACCCAAATTTCTGTATCCCCAATTTGTGGCCCAGTGTTTTGTGCAAGATGGATGGGCACTCAATATTTGCTGAACGGACAAATAACATTCAATCAGTAAACAGCTATGAGGAAGGTGCAGACTCTGAACTGGATTCTGTCACAGCTTCACTTTCCCACAGAAACAGGTCTGCCTGATTAAACTACTGACACACTGTAGATCAGACAGCTCTCTCACAAGCCACTGGACACTCTTCTCTAGAGGGGGATGCTTTGCAAAGACATCTCAATTCCTTGATGGGTTAGCACAGCCAGGCAGAGGAGAATGTCTGATACAACTAAAGCAGCTGTTATCATTCACAGGGAATCTGGTTGGGTCAAAATTCTTAATTGCAGACAACAGAATCCAACTTGATTAGTTTAAGATAATGATTTATTAAGGGATAAAAATAGTTTACAGAATCACTAGGAGAGCTCAAGAAACACAGGCCAAGGTTCCAAGAACAATTCTTAAAACCACATTGCAGAACTGGACTGCCAAGGGAGTTGCTGTCTCTGGGGTGGATCAGGAAGATGCCAAATAAAAGCCACCAGCCAAATCAGGAAGTTAACACTATAGCTGCCAATTCCAAAACCATTATCTCCTTTGTCTAAATGTGTGCCACCAAAACAGATGGGCCTGCTGCTCTCAGAACACGCCCTCCTTGTGACTAAAGCAATCTTGTTCAAGTGCTTTGTATTGGGGATATCTAAATATCATCAAGGAGACTTAGTTGCATTCCTTACCTGAGTTTAGGAAAAGTGCTTTTTAACTTTCTAGTCTCTCCATGTCAGAAGAGTATTGGAATGGGTGTGGAGACCACCAAACCACAGTCCATCCCTCAAAGAGCATTTCTCTCCACAAGATCCATCAGGAGAAATTCTCAGAACACTCACTGGTAACAATTCAATACTCTACTGCAGTAGTATCTCAAAATCACCAGAGGTCCTATTAAAATCAGATTCTGATACAGTAGATCTGGGTTGGGGTCTGAGATTTTCCATTTCTAACAAGCTCCTGGCTGATGCTGATGTTGCTGGTCCATCAATTACACTCTGAGTAGCAAGAGCTTAAACCAGGGATTATCTATGGTTCACCACCGTTTTTATAAATAAGGCTTCACTGGAACATAGCCAGGCCCATTTGTTTATGTATTGTACTGTCTATGGCTACTTTTGCCCTATAATGGCAGAGTTAAATAGCTGTGACAGAGATTGTATGGCCTGTATAATAAATTTTTTCTCACTCTAAAATTACATATTATCTATCCATTCTTTTTTAGAGTAAACATATATTGGCACATTCCAATGTAAGCTAAATTTCTAACAAAATAAACATTTTATCTTCTCTTATTGGCCATGCTTTTAAATTGCTTTAAAGTCTAAGAGGTTTCTCAAAGTCAAATCCTAGACGGTGACGGCTTAGTAGTTTAAACATGGAACCGACATTCCCTTTGCCAGGAAGTTTAAGCATAAGCATACAAAGCAACTCTGAAACACCGACATAAAGAGTCTGCTGGGGGACCCTTTGGGGAAAATTTCTTTTCTCTCAAATAAAGAGACCCATGAGGTGAAACTGTGTGTCCTGCATTTGAAAAGAATGTGTAAGGATAGAGCTGTGATAACCATCTTGTCACTACAAGGAGACAAGCCCGCAAACAAAAGCCAAGGATGGCAGAAGAGAAAGAAGGGAAGCACTTGGGCTCTTAATACTGCTGAGTCAGCCAACCTGGGACTTCTTATTATGCGATATAATAAGCCTGTTACAGAACAGTAAGGGGCATAATATTATTTTCAGCTGCATACATCCTAAGTGGTAGAGTGATACATAATTCACAAAGGACATTCATACTCATGTTCTCGTTTGAACCTCATATTCCCCTCCCCTCCCTCCATGATGGAGTAAAAAGGAAGATATTCAAATGAAGGACAAAAGTCCAGGGTGTTTAAAGTTATTTTCTCATAGGTCACGCAGCTATTAACTGACAGTAACAGAAACCAGGATTCCCACGTCAATGTTCTTTTCATTACACCCTCTCTTGATTCCATTTGGTTCTACCCGGGTTAGCCTCCTTACCACCCACTGTAAGAATGCCTTCTCACATCCTCTCTGTCAATGTTTATCACTTTCTATACTCTGACAATTTCCATTTAGGGTATTTCTTCAGCATCTGCATTGTTCCAACCATTGTTCCATCTATCAAAGAAGCATGTATTAATTACTTTCTGTTCACCTAGCTGTGTACTAGGCATGGAAAGTAAGGATTTTTGATGGGAAACGTGATTTTTGCCCTCAGAGAGAACAATCTAGTTATGGGTATAAGATAGATGCTACAATGAGAGTGACATAAGCCAATGTAAGTGTAGGAATTCAGAGTGAGGAAAGAATTCCTTGGATATTCCAAGGGTAAGATTATTCTAAGAGCACTTCATCAAAAGCTGGATCCAAAAGAAACATAGGAATTAGACTTGTTGTAAGTGCTTTTTTATATGTTCTTAGAATCAATCTTATATTCCCTCTGGAACAAGGAAATGGATTTCAAAAGCACTACCTATGTGGCCAGGGCGAGTAAACTGGGGCGATAAAGCTTACACAACTGAGTTATGAGTCCTAAATGAGATAACAAGAAAAGCAGAGCATGGTGTCACCACAAGAGGCTATGGAAAAATAATAGTTCGTTTCTCTGGGTTTTCAATTGCAATCTGTTTCTCAGTTTCCCCCAGGCTGTAAATTCTTGAAATAAGAGAACTAAGAGTCCATGACTTTACTTCTTTTATTTATTCTGGAGTATCTAGTAGGATATCATGGCCCAGGAACTCAACACATGTATGTGGAACATCATGTGACTAAATAAAAAAGAAGATACTATTCTCTCTCAAGTTGTACCATTAACAGTATCTGGCTAACATAATCACTCCTTTAGCCACAGTTCCATGGCTAGGATGCAGTAAGCACAGGAAAACAAGGGCCTCCTCCAAAGCTTAATGACAATGAGTCATTTATACTAATGCTGCCTGTTCCTCTTACTCCTTAGAGGTCAGGAACTATTTGCTTCTTGATTTTGTGCCACAGGTAACAGGCAGTGTTGGAAGAAATCCATGGGAAGTAACAAAAGTCTGGCATAAAAAGTCATGGGAAGTCTGGCACAGAGTGCCGGTTAACATTACCATGTCACAACTCCATCACCCGGTAATAAAGGAGGGACCGGATAACCATTCATTGCCCTTTTTCTGTGACTGTATATTTATTCAGTGAGTGCTGACATATTAAAGAACTACACAGATAGGACAGGTTCATGATGACGAGGCACAGCTGTGCCCTCTCTTCTCCATGCATACCTCCTCACAGACTTCACGAACTGCTGCCACACTTGGCTCCTCCTCGGGCTCCATGCCTCCTCCAGGGACAATCCATCTGTCTGGATGGCGACTACTGCTCACGAGTAGCACCTGTTAAGTCACAAAGGTTGCATGGGGGGGTTAAAAATTCAAAGACACATCCACACAAATTCAGAGTTTAAACACCACAAACATCAAAGTAACCAAGACCCATTCTTTGTTTATGCCTTCCCAAATCACTTCTTGCAAAGTAGCTTTCGTTTCTATTTGAAAAAGTAGGCATCAGCTAGTAAAAGCAGAAGGGCATCTGAAGGCCATTATCTCTACACTCCCCTCAGATGCTCAATCACCTGCTCTATTTATCCCCTCCTTGTTCCTTTTGCTAGAGCCCTTTGAACACAGACCTGACAAGGTGAATAGAAGACTTCAAAAAAAAAAAAAAAAAAAAAAAAAGAGGATTGTCACTGATGAGCCTGTCAGCACTGAAAAAGCTGGCCAGAAGACAAAAGGCCCTTGGCCATGATTGCCATCATGGTCCAACACTTTCCCTCCAAGTTTCTCACCCATGAACTGGGAGCTGTATCCCAGTTCCTGCTCCATCAGATGGCCACAGGCCAATACAATACACCACCCTAGACTCTAAGGGACCCTAATTCTCTTGGCCACATGAGAAGTAGAAAAATTCCTTTCATCACATTTTCAGCTAAACTAAAACTGGACTTTTTTAAAAGACTTAGCCAGCATTCTGGTCAGAGTTGAAATAAAAATCTAGAATTTGCCTAGTTCCTTTTCCTTACTTACCCCTCTCTGTAGGAAAGATGCTAAACAAAGTCAGTTAGACTCCCTGTTTGGAGGCTGAGTTGAGTTGGCATTATTTCCAAAACTAAAGGAATCTTCAACTGCTCCCTAAACCATTACTTTCTGATGATGACCTGTGAGCCTACAAACCAAACTCTGCAACCATCCTTGTTGCCTCAAATGAAATGCTACTTCCTTCTCTGGCCCTTATAGATTCCACCACTGCCTTCTAGTTACTAACATTCCAGTCATCCCCAGCCTCTTCCCTGAGGTCTCTGCAGCTATGGACCCTTGGAAACTCTACCTTCATCCTCAGTCCCTCTTGTTCCTGTCATAAGAGATTCTTCTGATGCTCATCTACAAAATATGTGATCTGTAGATTCAGAGAAGATCATGGTGTTATGGGAAGGAAATCCATGAATCCATACTCAGTCACTAATATATAGGCCATGGACTGAAAACTTGTCTTAAACTTACAAGTACTATTTTTCAAATATATTTATAAGCTCTGCTTTGATTAATACAATGTGAAATAATTTAAAATACTATGAAATCCACAGTAGTTTTTGGTTGATATGTATATATACTCAGTTAAAAGATACTACAAGAGCCAGGTGTGATGGCTCACACCTGTAATCCCAGCACTTCGGGAGGCCAAGGCAGGAGGACTGCCTGAGCCCAGGAGGTCAAGACCAGCCTGGGCAACATGATGAGACCTCGTCTCTACAAAAAAAAAAAAAAAAAATTAGCCAGGCTTAGTGGTGCACACCTGTGGTCTCAGTTACTTGGGAGGACTGCTTGAGCCCAGGAGTTTGAGACTGCAGCGAGCTATGATCAAGCCACTGTATTCCAGCCTAGGCCACAGAGTGAGACCCCCATCTCAAAAAAAAAAAAATCCTCTCATTGGACTGTCTCAGACCTTATACAAAATCAAAATGGACCAACAACCTAAATGTAAGAGCTAAAACTATAGCACATTTAGAAGAAAACACAGGGGTAAAATGTCATGATCTTGAATTTGGCAAGATATGCCAAATTCTTAGATATGAAGCATGAGCAACAAAAGGGCAAACAAGATAAACTGGAATTTATTGAAATTAAAAACTTCTGTGTAACAAAGGACATAATCAGGAATGTGAAAAGACAACCTACACAATGGGAGGAAATATCTGCAAATTATATATTTAATACAGGTCCAGTATCTAAAACAATAAAAAGATAAACAGTATTTCTACAGAGAAGACATACAAATGGCTAATAAGCACATGAAAAGATGCTCAACATCATTAGTCATTAGGGAAATGCAAAGTAAAACCAAAATGAGATACTACTTCACACCCACTAGGATAGCTATAATTCAATCAACCAAACAGCATAAGAAGTGCTGGCAAGGATATAGAGAAAATGGAACCCTCATACATTGCTGATAGGAATGTACAATGGTTCATTCAGCCACTGTGGGAAACAATTTGGTTGTTCCTCAGTAAGTTAAACATAAAATTACCATCAGATCTAGTAACTCCACTGCTAGGTATACAACCAAAAGAACTAAAAACAGGTACTCAAACAGACACTTCCATACAAATGTTTATAGCAGCATTATTTACAATAGCCAAAAGGTAAAAACAACTCAAATATCCAATAAGAGTGAATGAATAAACAAAATGTGGCCTATACACACAATGGAATATTATTCAGCCATTAAAAAAATGAATTACTGATAGATGCTACAACATGGATGAACCTTGAAAACATGCTAAGGGAAGGAAGCCAGGCACAGAAGGCCACATATTGTATGATTCCATGAATATGAAATACGCAGAATAAGCAGAATAAGCAAATCCAGAGAAACAGAAACCAGATTGGTGGTTACCAGGAACTGGGGGAAGGGGAAAATGAGCAGCAACTGCATAACAGGCACAGGGTTTTATTTGGGGAAAATGAAAGTATTCAGAAAGTAGATATGAAATGGTGATTGCCAAATGCCAATGAATTGTTCTTTTTTTTTTTCCGATGGAGTCTCCCTCTGTTGCCCAGGCTGGAGTGCAGTGGTGCAATCTTGGCTCACTGCAAGCTCTGCTTCCTGGGTTCACGCCATTCTCCTGCCTCAGCCTCCCGAGTAGCTGGGACTACAGGCACCTGTCACCACGCCCAGTTAATTTTTTGTGTTTTTAGTAGAGATGAGGTTTCACCGTGTTAGCCAGGATGGTCTCGATCTCCTGACCTCATGATCCACCCACCTCGGCCTGCCAAAGTGCTGGGATTACAGGCGTGAGCCACTGCGCCAGGCTGAATTGTTCATTTTAAAATGGCTAATGGTATGTTACATGAATTCCATTTTGATTAAAAAAAAAGAAAACTAGTTTTGCAATCACAGTTTTTTGTTTTGTTTTGTTTTGTTTCTTTGAGACGGAGTTTTGTTCTTGTTGCCCAGGCTGGAGTACAGTGGTGCAACTTTGGCTCACTGCAATCTCTGCCTCCCGGGTTCAAGTGATTCTCCTGCCTCAGCCTCCCGAGTAGCTGGGATTACAGGTGCCCACGACCACGTCCAGCTAATTTTTTGTATTTTTAGTAGAGACGGGGTTTCACCGTGTTGGCCAGGCTGGTCTTGAACTCCTGACCTCAGGTGATCCACCTGCCTCGGCCTCTCAAAGTGATGGGATTGTAGGTGTGCGACCATGCCCAGCTGATCACTGTCATTTTTTAAAAGCTGAAGGGAGTCGGCTGGGCGTGGTAGCTCACGGCTGTAATCCCAGCACTTAGGGAGGTCGAGGCGGGCAGATCACAAGGTCAGGAGATCGAGACCATCCTGGCTAACACGGTGAAACCCCATCTCTACTAAAAATACAAAAAATGAACCGGGTGTGGTGGCAGGCACCTGTAGTCCCAGCTACTCAGGAGGCTGAGGCAGGAGAATGGCGTGAACCCGGGAGGTGGAGCTGGCAGTGAACCGAGATTGCGCCACGGCAGTCTAGCATGGGCGACAGAGCGAGACTCCGTCCCAAAAAAAAAAAAAAAAAAGCTGAAGGGACTCAGTGCTACTACTTTTTTCCCCCAGAGTCTACACCTCAATGGAGTAACCTTCCAGAAGGTTATCCTTACTTTTGTTTTGTTTTGTTTTGTTTTGAGACGGAGTTTTGCTCTTGTTGCCCAGGCTGGAGTGCAATGGCATGATCTTGGCTCACCGCAACCGCTGCCTCCCGGGTTCAAGCAATGCTCCTGCCTCAGCCTCCCGAGTAGCTGGGATTACAGGAATGCACCACCACGCCCGGCCGATTTTTGTATTTTTAGTAGAGATGGGGTTTCTCCATGTTGGTCAGGCTGGTCTCGAACTCCCGAACTCAGGTCATCCGCCCGCCTTGGCCTCCCAAAGTGTTGGGATTACAGGTGTGAGCCACCGCGCCCGGCCAAGTTTTATATTACTAAATCATAAAACTACTGCCACACTCATTCTCTTCAATAACTGTGACCAATCTTACATTTTACAACATTCTTTATCAAAAGAAAATAAACCCAAATATAAGCATGTAAGTTAATTCGAATTACAAGGTTAAAAAAAAAGGCCTCCAAAGACTGTAGACAAAAGCATTTAAGTCATATTTATCCAACTACAAAAAGATTCAAGAAGAAAAAGTAGTAAAATGGGTTAATCCTCCAGTGACTTGTTGTATAAATAACAACACGTAGTCTTTCTTCCCTTACTTCCCGGTAAAGTGTTTGCCAGCCATTATAAACCTAAGCATTGCTTCAAAGGCTGACTAAGGCCATCCAATGAAGTTACAGTCCAAAAGAAAAACCTTTACAGGAATATTTCAAAGATAAAGCAAAGAAAAGGAAACCTCTGACAAAAGATAAGCATTCAATTTCTAAATTTCAATCAATGTGAAATACTAATTAGTAAATCTAGCAAGTGTTATTGCTTTGCACAGTCAGCCATGACTATATGAACTAGGACTACAATAATGAGGCTGAAGGAAGCAAGCCTCATTAGTTTGTAGCCACACTTCAAAGCAAACACTGTTACTGGTAAATAGCTCTCCTCGGTAAGTTTCCTTGACAACCTATTGAAAATTTACTACAAAAAAAAAAAAAGTTTCTGTTTCTGCTTTTTGTAGAGACAGGGTCTCATTCTGTTGCCCAGGCTGAAGCGCCGTGGCAGGATCAAAGTTCACTGCAGCCTCAAACTCCTTGGCGGTAGAGATCCTCCAGCTTCAGCCTCCCGAGTAGCTGGGACTACAGGCACACACCACCATGCTCGGCTAATTTTTAAATTTTTTAAACTTCATTTTTTAGAGATGGGGGTCTCACTATGTTGGCCAGGTTGGTCTTGAACTCCTGACCTCAAGCAATCCTCCTGCCTTGGCCTCCCAATGTGCTAGGATCACAGGCATGAGCCACTGTGCCCACCCACAAAAATTTTTTACTTTAGCCAGTGGTTTTACTCCTTCCTATCATATAAAGTACTAAATGGTGTTCTGTTCAGTAAATTCTTATTCTGAAGTTTGATTTTGACATATACAATTATCTGAAAAGAAATTAAGTGCAAAAGCTCCAAAAAGATTTCAAAAATAATACACTAAGGGGAAAAATTACCTACTCAACAAACGTTCATTAAGTAACATCATGAGCCAGGAACTGGAGAGGAAGAGATTAACTGCACTGCAGTTTGCAGGCAGATCAAAATGGGAAACCAGCTGACCAGGTATCAGACCTTTTTGAAGCTTTAGTCATTGAGACAGGTGATATCTACGCAGAAGTGGATAGAGAGACCCACAGAACACACCCATCCATAGATAGACTCTTGGATTCATGATATAGGTGGCTCTGCAGAGCAGGCAGAAATCAACAGGTGGTGCAGTGACAACTTGTTTTCCACATGGGCACAGAAGAAAAAACATTTTATTGATTAGTGACATGTGTGCAGTGAAATGATAAATCTGTGGGAATGATAAACCTAATGAAGGGAGGGAGAAATACAGCAGGAACACCATTGTTTTATTTCTTACAAATTGTTGTGGGGTTTTTTGCTAAATAGTGCTTAATACAAATTTTTAAAATATAAAAGAAACCCATAGTCCCTGCCCTATAGGAACTGAGTATCTAGTGAAAGACCAAAAAAAGAGTAATTATACGGAGTGAGAAATACTTAGCTTGAGGATACCACAGTGATAATGAAAAGAGATACCTGCCCGGACGTACTGGCTCATACCTGTAAACCCAGTAGTCCTAGTTACTTGGGAGGCTGAGGTAGGAGGTGCACTTGCCAGGAGTTCAAGACCAGCCTGGGCAACATACTGAAACCCCCATGTCTACCAAAAAAATAAATAAATAAATAAATAAATAAAAATAAAAAATTAGGCCAGGTGCAGTGGCTCATGCCTGTAATCCTAGCACTTTGGGAGGCTGAGGCGGGCAGATCACTTGAGCTCAGGAGTTCAAGACCCCGTCTCTACAAAACAAAAACAAAAACAAAAAAATTAGCTGGGCACGATGGTGTGAGCCTGTAGTCCCAGCTATGCAGGAGGGTGAGGCAGGAGAATCGCTAAAGCCCAGGAGGAGGAGGTTGCAGTGACCCAAGATTACATGACTGCATTCCAGCCTGGGCAATGGGAATGAAACCCTGTCTCAAAAAAACAAAAGCAACAACAGAAACCGCCCCCCACCAAAAAAAAAATAGCCAGGCGTGGTGGTGCATATTTACAGTTCCAGCTACTGGGGAGGCTGAGTTGGGACGATTGCTTGAGCCCAGGAGGTCGAGGCTGCAGTGAGCTATGATCCCACTACTGCACTCCAGCCTGAGTGACAGAGCAAGACCCTGTCTCAAAAAAAAGAAACAGGCTGGGAGCGGTGGCTCACACCTGTAATCCCAGCACTCTGGCAGGCCGAGGCGGGTGGATCATGAGGTCAGGAGATCGAGACCATCCTGGCTAACACAGTGAAACCCCGTCTCTACTAAAAATACAAAAATTAGCCGGGCGTGGTGGCGGGCGCCTGTAGTCCCAGCTACTCAGGAGGCTGAGGCAGGAGAATGGTGTGAACCCGGGAGGCGGAGCTTGCAGTGAGCCAAGATCGCGCCACTGTACTCCAGCCTGGGTGACAGCGCAAGACTCCGTCTCAAAAAAAAAATAGAAAGAAACAAAAGAACAAGTCAGACTTGGGGAGTAGGGGATGCATCATAATGGAGAAATGATATGGGAAGGTTTCTCTTTTTTTTTTTTTAGACAGGATCTCGCTCTTTTGCCCAGGCTAGAGCGCAGTGGTGCAATCGTGGCTTACTGCAGCCTTGGACTCCTGAGCTCAAGTGATCCTCCTGTCTCAGCCTCCCAAGTAACTGGGACAACAGGCATGGTTAATATTTTTTATTTTTAAAATAATATATTTATTAACCACCAAGCCTGGTTAATATTTTTTATTTTTACTTTGTAGAGACGGTGTTTTGCCATGTTGTCTAGACTGGTCTTGAACTCCTGGGCTCAAGGGATCCTCCTGAGTTGGCCTCTAAAACCCAATTTGAGTTTTAGAAAGGTTACTTTGACATATGTTGGAGATGGGACAGCATGCTAATGGAGCAGGTTCCTGCAGTAATTCAGGTTGAGAAATGATTAAGACAGTAGGAGGCAGAAGTAGAAGGAAGTGATAGGTTTCCAGATACATAGAAAGAAGAGTCTATAAGACCAAGTGACTGACAGGACGTGGGAATATGACTCCTTGGATATGGGCTGGGTCAATGGTGTAGCAGCCTTCCAAGGAGAATATGGAGGCGTCAGTGGAGGAGGGAACCACAGGGAGGAGTTGTGAAATCATCCTCTGAACATATGAATTTGAGGGTTCAGTGAGACATCTAATGAGTATTTCTAGTGAGAAATTATATGAATGTGGGACTGGAGTTAAGAGGGAAACCGACGGTGATTTTGGAAACAATGGTATCAGAATCTTCCAGCCAGAATGAGACTAACGGAAGGGGAACATGGGCATTTGCAAAGCTCTGGCCAGAGGATCTGACCCCTTTCTCCCTATCCACCCACTATCCACCTTGGTATCAGACAAGTCTCCATTCCTACTGCCAAGGGTATAGTGGGCATAGATATACTCCAGAGATCCTAGGTTAAAGTTCTGGAAATACTCTCCTTAAATAAATTAGATTATCTAGGCCAGGCACGGTGGCTCACGCCTGTAATCCCAGCACTTTGGGAGGCTGAGGCGGGCGGATCACAAGGTCAGGAGATCGAGACCATCCTGGTTAAAACGGTGAAACCCCGTCTCTACTAAAAACACAAAAAATGAGCCAGGCGTGGTAGCGGGTGCCTGTAGTCCCAGCTACTCGGGAGGCTAGGCAGGAGAATGGCGTGAATCCGGGGGGTGGAGCTTGCAGTGAGCCGAGATCGCGCCACTGCACTCCAGCCTGGGCGACAGAGCGAAACTCCGTCTCAAAAAAAAAGAAAAAAAAGAAAAGAAATTAGATTATCTATGGTGATAATCTATGCCATAGGAAATCTTGATTAACAAACTACATGACTGGACATATTACTGATTTCTGGAGAATCAGTTGCATACAGTAAAGCACTCAACATGATCTTGTTTCCAACAATGCAATTCCCTTGACATCTGACAAGCCCCTTAGCACTGCCAATACTGCCAGAGTGCTCTGCTGGTACCCCAGATGGCACCAGGACCAGATCCTATCAAATTTGTGATATGCTCTGCAAATTGCATCTTCAGATGAGCCCTTTAAATAATTTATGTGTCCCTTCATAAAAATAAGGCCAAGATGAAAGTGAGTAATTATCTGTACTTGTTTGGATTCCAGATAAATGGACGTATACTATATTTTACACAGTGTTTTAAAGAACAGCTGTCACAAAGTCTTGTGCATGATGATCCCATAAAATGTTTAAAAGATGAGTAAAGCTGAGTATGAGGTTAAATAACTTGCTGAAAGTAAATCAATAAATTATCACAGGGCCAAGCACAGAAGTTTCAGTTTCTAGAGCTTTAAAGCCATTCTACTATTTTTAATAGTTATTTTAAAAATTTAAAACTATTTTTTTTAGCTACAGAGGAACTAAAAAAAATGCTAAAAGGAGGAACCCCTAGACATAAACAGTCAATTTACAAAATGCCTTATAAACATTGCTTCACCTTAGTTAGCTTATCAGGCTGCTTATTTAATCAAAGAGGAAATTCCCTGCCTAGTACAAAGAAACACCATACTGTGCTATGAACAGATATTCTGACAGTTTTTATCTTGGGAGCAACAAGATTATTTTAAGAACAATATGAAAAGGTTTCCACAGATACAAACTATTACACAGATATCGGCGCCAGGCGCAGTGGCTCACATCTGTAATCTCAACACTTTGGGATGCGCACTGACAGAAATTTAAAAAAGGAAAAAAGAACACTTTGGTGGCCAGGCGCGGTGGCTCACCCCTGTAATCCCAGCACTCTGGGAGGCTGAGGTGGGGGTATCACTTGAGCCTAGGAGTTTCAGACCAGCCTGGGCAACACATTGAGACCTCGTCTCTACACTCCCCTGCCTAAAAAAAAAAAAAAAAAAAAAAAAAAAACACTTTGGGAGGCCAAGATGGGAAGATCTTTTGAGGCCAGGCGTTCAAGACCAGTCTGGGCAATATGGAGAGACCTGTCTCTACAAAAAAAATTAGCCAGACCTAGTGGCTGGCTGAGGCAGGAGGATCATCTGAGCTCAGGAGATTGAGATTACAGTGAGCTATGATTGTGCACTGCACTCCATCCTAGGCAATAAGGCAAGACCATGTCTTTAAAAAAAAAAAAATTAGAGGGCCAGGCGCGGTGGCTCATGCCTGTAATCCTAGCACTTTGGGAGGCCAAGGCGGGCATGTCACCTGAGGTCAGGAGTTCGAGACCAGCCTGGCCAACATGGTGAAACCCTGACTCTACTAAAAATACAAAAATTAGCTGGGCGTGGTCGTGGGCGCTTGTAATCCCAGCTATCGGGAGACTGAAGGAGGAGAATTGCTTGGACCCAGGAGGTGGAGGTTGCAGTGAGCCGAGATCGCACCATTGCATTCCAGCCTGTGCGACAAGAGTCAAACTCTGTCTCAAAAAAAAAAAAAAAAAAAAAGAAATAGAAAAAATATACATACACACAGATGTATCATTCTTAAGTGAGTCCCCAGGGTGTACAGAGATTGCCTCTGTACAGTGCAATTGGCAGTGCTAAGGATGAGGTGCTTTACTTTAAAACCTTGAGTATGGCTTGAATATTTTAGAACAAATATTTAAGATGTATAAATGGAGGTGGGCATGGTGGCTCACACCTGTAATCCCAGCACTGTGGGAGCCCAGGAGTTCAAGACCCACATGGGCAACATGGCGAGGTCCTGTCTCCACAAAAAAAACAAAAAACAAAAAAAAACTTATAATTGGCCAAGAAGAATCCCAAACATTATTTCCTAGGAAAATTCTGAAAGCCAAATAAAGTGAATGAAATATTTAAAATGCTCCAGTTTCTTTAGGTTATTTTATTATATCATTATTTTTTGAGACAGGGTCTCACTCTGTCGCCCATGCTGGACTGCACTGGTGCCATCTTGGCTCACTGCAGCCTCAACTTCCCGGGCTCAAGCAATCCTCTCAACACCCCCCACCCACTCCAGCAGCTGGGACTACAGGTGTGCACCACCACACCTGGGTAATTTTTGCATTATTTGTAGAGACAGGGTTTCACCGCGTTCCACAGGCTGGTCTCAAACTCCTGAGCTCAAACAATCCATCTGTTTCAGCCTCTCAAAGTGCTGGAATTACAGGCATGAGCCACCATCCCTGGGCCTTGAGCTTATTTTAATAAACAAAGCCACAGCAACATTTCCTGACATCCATGAATTGCATAACTTTCCCACAGTCTTAGAACTACAGGAATACACTGTAAAATCCCTGCTCATCAATATGCTGATTTTGCCAAGCCATGTACCAAATGATAGCCTCCATAATACATGCTCAAACAGAAGACATTCACTGTAAACTCAAGGGCAGGTATTGTGTTCCCAAGGTAGCATGAACTTATTAACCACAATTCAGTCTAATTTAAGATGTCAAAGTTTAAACCACAAATGTACACTGTCATCTTTATAGAGGAGGACAGTCAGGAGACTTTGGGTTACAGGTCTGCCTCTGACACCAGTCACATAAATGCAATGAAAAAATTATCTCTCTCTAGACTTCAGCTTTTTTAGTTTTAAAATGAGATGGTCCAAATCTAAAATTCTTTCAGCATTAATATTCTGTTGTTCTAAACTGATAGAGGTATATGTGTCTA
Source organism: Homo sapiens (assembly GCF_000001405.40). NCBI lineage: Eukaryota > Metazoa > Chordata > Mammalia > Primates > Hominidae > Homo > Homo sapiens. The sequence continues at coordinate 34,352,957 of NC_000006.12, forward strand.
GAATTCGTCTTCCTAATTCTACTCTTTTCAAACATCTATTTTTTTAATAGTACATAATGTATATATTCAAAGGGTATAAAAAAACATAATGAAAAGCAAGCCTTTTCTCTTAACTCTGTCCCAAGAGGCACTTCTTGTGAAGACTTCTAGAGATATTCTAACATATGAGTATAAACAAATACATATTTATTCTTTTCTTTCCCCTTTGTCAACCCCAATAGTAACCCATTATACACATTGTTCTACTTTGCCTTTTCACTTAAATCCTGGAGATCATTTTATCAGTACATTCTGAGAGCCCCTTCCTTTTTTTAAATAACCACAGGGTATGTTTTTAAAACTTATTATTTGTTATACACAAATTTCAAACATGCATAAAAGCAGAGAGAAAATATAATGAATTCCTAAGTAGTCACTGTCCAGCTTCAATAACTATCAATGTTTGCCAATCTTGTTTTACTTACCTATACACAACTCCCAAGTATTTTTTTTTTTTTTTTTGAGACAAGAGTCTTGTTCACTACAACCTCCAACTCCGGGGTTCAAACGATTCTCTTACCTCAGCCTCCCGAGTAGCTGGGATTAAAGGTGCGTGCCATCACATCCAGCTAATTTTTCTATTTTTTTGGTAGAGACAGGGTTTCACCATGTTGGCCAGGCTGGTCTCAAACTCCTGACCTCAAGTGATCCGCCTGCCTTGGCCTCCCAAAGTGCTAGGATTACAGGCATGAGCCACACCCAGCCTTGCTTTTGTTTTTGTTTTTAAGACAGGATCTCGTTCTGTCACCCAGGCTGGAGTGCAGTGGTGCATCATAGCTCACTGAAGCCTTGACCTCCCGGGTTCAGGCAATCCTCCCACCTCAGCCTCCTGAGTGGCTGGGACTACAGGCGCCTGCTACCATACCCGGCTAATACTTGTTTGTAGAGACAGGGTTTCGCCATGTTGCCCAGGCTAGTCTTTTTCTTTTTTTTTTGAGACAGAGTTGCCCAAGCTGGAGTGCAATGGCATGGTCTCGGCTCACTGCAACCTCTGCCTCCTGGGTTCAAGCGATTCTCCTGCCTCAGATTCTCCTGCCTCAGTCCCCCAAGTAGCTGGGAATACAGGCACCCACCATCAAGCCCGGCTAATTTTTATATTTTTAGTAGAGACAGGGTTTCACCATGTTGGCCAGGCTGGTCTCAAACTCCTGACCTCAGGTGACCCGCCCGCCTCGGCTTCCCAAAGTGCTGGGATTACAGGCGTGAGCCACTGCGCCTGGTCCCAGGCTAGTCTAGAACTCCTGGACTCACGGGATCCACCCACCTTAACCTGCCAAAGTGCTGGGATTACAGGCATGAGCCACTGGGCCTGGCCAGGAGTTTGAGGCTGCAGTGCTCTATGATCATCCTATGAACAGCCATTGCACTCCAGCTGGGCAGTATAGTGAGATTTCATTAAACACACACACACACACACACACACACACACACACATACACACTCTTGGCCGGGCACAGTGGCTCACGCCTGTAATCTCAACACTCTGGGAGGCCGAGGCAGATGGATTTCTTGAGGTCAGGAGCTCGAGACCAGCCTGGCCAACATGGTGAAACCCCATCTCTACTAAAAACACAAAAATTAGCCAGGCGTGGTGGCAGGCACCTGTAGTTCCAACTACTTGGGAGGTTGAGGCAGGAGAATTTCTTGAACCCGGGAGGCGGAGGTTGCAGTGAGCTGAGATGGCACCACTGCACTCCAGCCTGGGCGACAGAGCAAGACTCTATCTCGGGGGGGAAAAAGTATATATATATATATATTTATTTACTTTATATTTGTATTTATTTTATATTTGTATACTTTATATTTTATATTTGTATTTTATATATTTATTTTATATTTGTATACTTATATTTTATTTTATATTTGTATACTTTATATTCTATGCCATACTAAATTCACTTATTTGTTCATTTGTTCTAGTAGCTTTTTGGTGGATTCCTTAGGATTTTCTATATAGATGATCATGTTAACAGCAAATAAAGATAGTTTTGCCTCTTCCCCTCTAATTTATATTTCTTTTATTTCTCATTCATGCCTTACTGAACTGGCTGGGGCTTCCAGAATAATGTTGAATAGAAGTGGTAAGAGCAGACAACCTTATCTATTCCCAGTATTAGGAGGAATGTATTCATTATTTCAATATTAAGTATGATATTAGCTGTTTGGGGTAGATGCCCTTTATTAGGTTAAGGAAGTTCCATTCCTAGTGCTGAGATTGTTTTTTAATTATTATTATAAATGGACATTGGATTTTGTCAAATGCTTTTTCTGAATCTATTGATACGATGATATGGTGGTTCTTTTTTTTAGTCTGTCAGTGTGGTAAATTACACTGACCAGTTTTTAAATGTTAAACCAGCCTTGTATTTTTGGAATAAATCACAGTTAGTCACGATGTATTATTCTTTTGGTATATTGCTGGATGCAAGTTGCTAATGTCTAGTTTAGGGTTGGGGTCTCTGTTCACGAAGGATACAGTGTCTGATGTTCTCTTTTCTTGTAATGTACCATCTTGGTATCAAGGTAATACTGGCTTTATAAAATAGGCAAACATTCCCTCTTCTTTTCTAAAAAATAAAGAAATTATACTTCTTTTATTTTCTAAAAAGTAAAGAAATTGTGTAGAATGATACTACTTCTTAAATATCTTTAGAATTCACCAGCAAAGCCACCTGGCCCTACAGCTGTTTTTTTGGGGGGGTGGGGGGTGGGGGGAGGGTTTAACTACAAATTCAATTTCTTTAATAGACATAGGCTTATTTATTTATTCTTAAAGAAGCTTTAGTAGTTTGTATCTTTCAAGAAATTTGGATAAAAACTCAAGAGGAAAGGGTTTGGGGAACTTCCAGATAGCTGAACATGTGAAGGTCCCTAGAGGGTGGTGTGCCCAGGGAAGGCATGGAAGCTCGGTCCCCTTCCCCCATACCTCCCCTATGCATCTCTTCATCTGTATCCTTTGCAATGTCCTTTATAATAAACCAGTAAACATAAGACCCTGTTTAGGAGTAGAATGGGACAATCTCAAGAGAGAAAGCATGACAGGAGCCACGAAGGGACTGTGTATTTTAAATGCAGGACACACAGTTCCTGGCTGTGTCTGTGATACTGGACATCTTAGGAACCAGATACTTAACAATGTAAGAAGGCCCTGGAAAGAAAGGATAAATGCCTGAGGTAATAGGTACCCCATTTACCCTGATGTTATTGTTACTCATAGTATGCCTATATCAAAATATCTTACGTACCCACAAAAATTAAAAATTACATTTAAAAAAGAAATTTGCCCATTTCATTGAAAATACTGATTTGATTGCCTTATAGTTGTTCACAATATTCCCTTATTATCCTTTCGATATCTGTAAAACCAATACTGATTCTTTCTACAGAATACTTTCATTCCTGATACGGCTGATTCCATGACCAACAGGAAATATACAATATAAGTCTAAAACATCTTGTCAAATCAGATACTGAAGAAGCTATCAAAACCCACTAGGACTGTATCAAAAGGATTCAGGAGTTAACTTGAAAAGGCTCACACTGGTCAAAAATGGGCCAGTAAGAATAACAGCAACAGACTAGAATATCAAATATATTTAAATCCATGAGTTTATACTAATAATTTTTAAGAAATAAAAACAGAACTGGTAACCACTGAAGGATGCCAATGAACCAACTCACTAATTTGGGGAATAATGACAAACTGAGGGGGAAAAAAAAATCAATCATTTATTTTGTGTTTTCTATATAATTATTTTTAGGTATAATTATGGAATTGTGGGGGTTTTTTTTGTTTTCTTTTGACGGAGTCTCGCTCTGTTGCCCAGGCTGGAGTGCAGTGGCGCAATCTTGGCTCACTGCAAGCTCCGCCTTACAGGTCCATGCCATTCTCCTGCCTCAGCCTCCTGAGTAGCTGGGACTACAGGCGCCCGCCACCATGCCCGGCTAATTTTTTGTATTTTTAGTAGAAACAGGGTTTCACCGTGTTAGCCAGGATGGTCTCGATCTCCTGACCTCGTGATCCGCCTGCCTCGGCCTCCCAAAGTGCTGGGATTACAGGCGTGAACCACCACGCCCGGCCAAATTGTGGTTATTTTTTAAAGACAGTATTCTGTTTTAGAAGTACTTACTGAAAAATTACAGATAAAATCATACAGTGTTTGAGATTTGACCCAAAATAATAGTGGAGGGGGAGGAGTGATTACGAATATACATCCTACAAAATTGGCCACGAGCTGATAACAGTTGAAGCTGACTGAGGAGTACATGGGGGTTCACTATACTATTCAGTCCACTTTGGGAGAGGTTTTAAGTTTTCCATAATAAAAGGTTTTTTTTTAGGCCAGGCATGGTGCCTCATGCCTGTAATCCTAGCACTTTGGGAGGCCAGGTGGACCGCTTGAGCCCAGGAGTTCCAGACCAGCCTGGACAACAGGGCAAAACCTTATCTTTCTAAAAACTAAAAAATTAGCGGGGCATGGTAGTGAGCACCTGTAGTCTCAGCAATACTAGGGAGGCTGAGGTGGGAGGAGCGCCTGAGCCTGGGAGGCTGAGGCTGCAATGAGCCGTGATCATCCCACTATACTGCATCCTGGGTGACAGGGCAAGACCCTATATCCCCTGCACCCTGCAAAAAAAAAAAAAAATTTAATGCATTGGTTATTCTTAGCCATTTATACTTTCGTATATTTTAGAATGAATTTATTATTTTTTAAAAGAAACCTGCTGAGATTTTGATTAGTATTATAAAACCAAATAGATTTCAGAAAAAACTGTATGTCTTCTAATCCATAAGCAAGGTATAGCTTTTCATTCATGTAGGTCCTTCAAATCTTTTCTTCTATAACTTGAATTAGCATAATTAGAAGGTCCTGCCTCAGTCCAAGATTACAATGAAATTATCCCAGGTTTTCTTCTAGTAATTTATGACCGTAGTTTTTAATGTTTGTACTTCCCATCTATGTAAAAATTATTCTGATTATAAATATGAGGAAAGAATCCAACTATACTTTTTTCCAGGTATTGCCAGTTGTTCCTATATGCATTGAAGTCTACTTCTGGACTACCTATTCGGTTCTATTGATTCATTTGCCAATTCATGATCCAGCTTAGTAGTATTCTATTTTAAGTATCACAGTCTGCAATATGGTTTCATGGGGCTAACATCACCATACTTGCCCTTCACTCTTCTTTTTCAGAGTTTTACTGGCTTTTCCTCCAAGGTTTCTTACCCATTTGAACTCAGAAACTGCATGAGTAGTTTACACACACACACACACACACACACACACACACACCCCTTATAATTTCTACAGGAATCAAGTTGAATTTATAGATTAATTTACAATAATCGACAGGATGTTGAAACTTCCCACCTAAGAGCAAGATACTTTTTCAAGTTTTTTCAATAATATTTAAAAAGTTTTCTCTGCACAGACCTTATCTATGTCTTAAGTTTATTCTTTTTTGTTACTGTTATAATGGGTTCCTAACTCCATCCTATGGCTTATTATTTCAAAGGAGTCACAGAAAATTTTCACAGGTTAGTATTAAAATACTAATTCCACACATAAGCACAATCAAGTGATTATGTGGAAATTATTTTTTAAAGTAAAAAAGAAATTTTTACTTTATACCAACAGATTGTAAACCATGATGGCCTGGCCAGATGCCCAGCTAGAGCCATGAAATATGAAACCCACGCCTCACAGGGGGGCCAGAGCTAGGACTGGGCAGAGGAGCAATAACCAGAGAGTAGACAGGGCACAAACAGCTCTTCACGGATGTATGAATTCAAGTTTATCGTTCTTACAAACATGAGAACAAAAAAAAGAGCCAATCATATGGTGGACCAGGAATAATACAGTAACTATATAGGAGAAAATTAAGATAGAAAGATAGTTATTGCAAGGAAAATATTTTTATGTAATTTCAAGTACTATGTCACAAATTTTTGTGTTCTGAAATGAATTAAATTTAACCATCAGACTGTTTTATTCTACTGGAAATAACATTTACTCAATTTAGGAAGATAAGGAGTTATCACAATAAATCACAGAAAAACCTAAGTAACGACCACATTAAGATTGAGAATTCGGCCAGGTGCGGTGGCTCATGCCTGTAATCCCAGCACTTTGGGAGGCCGAGGTGGGCAGATCACAAGGTCAGGAGATCGAAACCATCCTGGCTAACACGGTGAAACCCAGTTTCTACTAAAACTACAAAAAATTAGCCGGGTGTGGTGGCGGGCGCCTGTAGTCCCAGCTACTTGGGAGGCTGAGGCAGGATAATTGCTTGAACCTGGGAGGTGGAGGATGCAGTGAGCCGAGATCGTGCTACTGCACTCCAGCCTGGGGGACAAGAGCAAGACTGCCTAAAAAAACAAAAACAAACAAACAAAAAAACTCATACCTATTTAGCAGTTATTCCCTGTCCCCATCCTCCCACTTCCTGGCAACCATCAATTTGTTTTTTGTATCTATGGATTTGCTTATTCTGCATACTTCATATAAATGGAAGCATACAATAAATATGTGACCTTTAGCGTCTGTCTTCTTTCACTTAGCATATTTGAAAAGTTCATCCATATTGTAGCATGTATCACCACCTCATTCCTTATAGCTGAATAACATTCCAATTTATGTATACACCATATACCACAATGTGTTTATCCATTCATCTACTGGTTAACATTTGGTTGTTTCTACCTTTTAGCTATTGTAAATAGTGCTGAACATTCCTCTACAAATGTTTGAGTACAAGCTTTTCAATCCCTTTAAGTACATACCTAAAAATGAAACTGCTGGATCAAACATAATTCTACATTTAAGTTTCTGAGGACCCACTAAACTTCCACAGCAGCTGAGCCATTCTGCATTCCCACCAGCAATGTATGAGGTATCCAATTTCTCCACATCCTCACTAACACTTGTTATTTTCCACTCTAGTGGGTGTGACATGTTAAAACTAGTTTTAAGAATGTCTATACGCTGGGAGGCTGAAGTGAGCAGATTGCTTGAGTCCAGGAGTTGGAGACCAGCCTGACAAAATAGAAAAACCCCATCTCTACAAAAAATACAAGAATTTAGCCAGGCATGGTGACACATGCCTGTAGTCCCACACACTCAGGAGGCTGAGGAAGGAAGATCACCTGAGCCTGGGGAGGTTGAAGCTGCAAGGCTGCAGTAAGTGGTGATTGTGCCACTGCACTCCAGCCTGGGAAACAGAGTGAGACCCTGTCTCAAAAAAAAAAAAAAAAAAAAAGCTAAAAACAAAAACAAAACAAAACAAAACAAACGCCGGGCACAGTGGCTCACACCTGCAATCCCAGCACTTTGGGAGGCCAAGGTGGGTGGATCACCTGAGGTCAGGAATTCGAGACCAGCCTGGCCAACATGGTGAAACCCTGTCTCTACTAAAAATACAAAAATTAGCCAGGCATGGTGGTGGGCACTTGTAATCCCAGCTACTCAGGAGGCTGAGGCAGGAGAATCACTTGAACCCAGGAGGTGGAGGTTGCCGTGAGCCGAGATAATCAAGATTGTGCCACTAGGCGACAGAGCAAGACACCATCTCAAAAACAAACAAACAAAAAAGATTGTCTATAATAACTACTTAACTTTTGAAGGAAAGCAGAATGACCATTTAGTAAGACTGGAAAAAGTTACTCTTATTCTCTCGCCCTCCGCCACAGACACACATGCAGAAAAAGCTCAAATAACTAGTTTTTTTTTCCCCTGGAAAATAAGTTAAAATGTACTACATACCAAGTGAATGAGAAGACACAAGCCACAAGATGGAAAAAAAATATTTTCACAAGACTTATCTGATAAAGGATTCATCCAAAATATACACAGGACATTTAAAATTCAACAATAAAAAAACCCAATTAAAAAATGAGCAAAAGATGTGAACAGACACCTCATGAAGAAATATATACATATGGGGCCAGGAGCAGTAGCTCATACTTATAATCCTAGCACTTTGAAAGGCTGAGGCAGGAGGACTGCGTGAGGTCAGGAGTTTGACATCACTCTGGGCAACATAGCAAGACCCCATTTCTATAAAAAATTTTAAAAATTAGCCAGCATGGTGGTGTGCACTTGCAGTCCCAGCTACTTGGGAAGCTGGGGTGGGAGGATCACTTGAGCCCAGGAGTTCAGTTACGGTGAGCTATGATCACACCACTGGCACTCTAGCCTGGGTGACAGAGTGAGACCCTGTCTCTAAAAAATAATTTTTAAAAGAACATATGCAGATGGTAAATGAATATAAAAAGATGTTTCACATCATATGTCAACAGGGAAATGCGAATGAAACAACAAGAAGACACTACTTAACACCTATTAGAATAGCCAAAATCCAGAACACTGAACACCACCAAATGCTGGTGGGGATGTGGAGCAACAGAAACTCATTTGCTCACTGGGGTGAATACAAAATGGTACAGCAACTTTGGAAAACAGTTTGGCAGTTTCTTACAAAACTACATATACTCTTACCCTATGATAACACAATCATACTTCTTGGTATTTACCCCAAAAAGTCAGAAACTTAAGTGACACAAAAACCTGCACATGTATGTTTATAGCAGCTTTATTCATAATTGCCAAAATCTTGGAAGCAACCATGACGTCCTTCAGTAGGTGAATGGATAAATAAGGTGTGGTACAACCACATAAAGGAATATTATTCAGTACTCAATCAAGCTATGAAAAGACATAGAGGAAACTTTAATGCATATTACTAAATCAAAGAAGCCAACATGAAAAGGCCACATACTGTAAGATTCCAACTAGATAACATTCTGGAAAAGGCAAAACTATGAAGACAGTAGATCAGTGGTTGTTAGGGGTGAGCAGAGAGGGAGGGATGAATAGGTAGAGAAAGAACAGAGAATTTTTAGGGCAGTAAAACTACTCTGTCTGGTGCATACATTTGTCCAATCCATAGGAAGTACACCAGCAAGAGAGAACTCTAATGTAAAGTATGGGCTTTGGGTGATAATCATGTGTCATAGTAGGCTCACTGATTGTAACAAATATACCACTGTGTTCAGGATGCTGATAGTGAGGGAGATTGCCTGTGGAGGCAGGGGACCTATGGGAACTCTGTACTTTACACTCAATTTTGCTATGAACCAAAAACTGCTCTAAAAAGTAAAGTCTATTTTTAAAAGTACTAAACATACATTCATTATATATACACATACACACACATAAAGAGAGAAGGAAAGACAAAGGTCCTGCTCTGTACCTCAGGCTAGAGTGCAGTGGCATGATCATAGCTCACTGCCACCTCAGCCTCCGGAGTAGCTGGGACTACAGGAGCATGCCACCACACCTGGCTAATTTTATTTTTTGTAGAGATGGGGTCTTGCTACATTGCCCAGGCTGGTGGCAAACTTCTGGCCTTAAGAGATCCTCCTGCCTTGGCCTCCCAATGTGCTGGGATTACAGGTATGAGCTAGTGGGCTAGCTCATGGATTAAAAATATTTTTAAATTATATGCTAGATTACCTCAACAGATCACTAAAGGTTCAATATAAACTCAAAAAATTATTAGTAACAAGTGATTCTCCTGCCTCAGCCTCCTGAGTAGCTGGGGCCTGCCACCATGCCCAGCTAATTTTTGCATTTTTAGTAGAGACGAGGTTTCACAATATTGGCCAGGCTGGTCTCAAACTCCTGACTTCAAGTGATCCCCCCACCTCAACTTCCCAAAGTGCTGGGATTACAGGCGTGAGTCTCTGCGCCTGGCCCCAAGTTCTATTCATGTAAATATAACCTAATTAAATTCTCACAATAACCCTAGGAATCAGATGGTATTAGTGGATGTATTTCTGTTTTACACTTGAGGAAACTGGTTTAAAGAGAATAATTCAGACCTGAACTTCAGATGTGACTCTAAAGCCATTATTTCCATACACCACCTGTCTCCGTTTGACTGCTGCAGCACTAGCTACCATGAGCTAACCCTCATGAGAGTCCTGAGAATTTGCATCCGAATAAAGAGCTTTTGGTAGCTTCAGTTCTGTATGGCACATGGATTCTAACAGCTTAGACTAGTAAAATGTGCTCAGAATATACAGTTAACGATTGAGCACAACACTCAAACCTGCCAGGACGTGGTTTTCCCCTCTACTTTGCTGGGTAACCAAAAGCTATCAGACATTCATAGCTGGTTTATGAACTGAGAGGTTGCATAATATGCTAACAGCTACGCCAAAGTTTATTGGGTTCTAGGGCAGCAGAGCTTGGGGGTCCTCCAGATCCATATCTCAACTCATGAAGGATAAAAGATTACCTGGGTTCCTTTGCAAGTTAACAAGTACTGGCATTTAGTCACTTTCACTCAAGGCAGGCAACTATGCAAAAGAGATTAGCAGAAACGGCAAATAACCAAAGGTAAATAAAGGGCAGACTTAACTGCTCATCCACCGCAGCACTGAAAAATAACTGAATTTTTATCCTAACTCATGAAGGAGAATAAGGGAAGCAGGCTTGTCACTTAAGGGTAAGAAGCAAACTCAGCAGTTGTGAGAGATTAGAGAGTCTTGGCAGTGGGAAACAGGGCCCAAAATAGATGTATTAAGCATGGGCTAGGTGAGAGTTCTGATCAGCATGTATTTTTAGAAATTGCACATTTCTACCTTTCCCATGTCCAGTTCAACATTAAGGAGCCAGCCTTCTGAAATGTCAGAAAAGTTCCTCCTACCCCCACAATCATCCTCACAATAGAAATAATCATAATCAGTGCCCAGCAGTAATTTTTTTTCTTTTTCTTCTTTTTTTTTTTGAGATAGTCTCGCTCTGTCACCCAGGCTGGAGTGCAGTAGCGCGATCTCAGCTCACTGCAACCTCCTCCTCCCAGGTTTAAGCGATTCTCCTGCCTTAGCCTCCCAAGTAGCTGGGATTACAGGCACCCACCACCACGCCCAGCTAATATTTGTATTTTTAGTAGAGACAGGGTTTCACCACGGTTGTCGCCCAACGTCTGTTTCTCCTCTATTCCAGAGACGCTAACAAGGAAGCTAGTTGCTAACTAACCAGACTGTGTCAAGCTCTCAAGTAAGACTAAACTTGACCATGATCTGTTTTAAGTAACAAATTTTTCTGCTGGTGTTTTCTATTGCTGTCAAACTATTATATTACAAGGGCTGTTTTTATCTACCTCTGTTGGGCATTAAGAATAAAGAAACATGTAACATGATTGTAAAAAGTCAGAAAACATGATTGGTGGAGGAAACATTTAACAGCTGACAAGCTGTCTTATGGTAAATTATTGTAAATATAACTGAATATAAATAAACTTACTAAGGTTTTGTCCTCATCTACAAGCCAAGCCCTTTTGTTCTCTAGCATTATAAAACTCCCTTATTTCCAATATATCCGACAGCAGCTCAACTTGTTGTTTGCCTTCTGTAGAATTTTTTTTAATAAGTTGATTTTAAAAATACAAGTGCTACTGACAGTTTCTAAAACTAAACAATGGCCTGCCATGGCCTAGGATATTAAAACAACAACAACAACAACAACGGAACAAATCTAAACAACGGGAAGTCATACATAAATCCTCTCCATTCTTCACAAATACTGTATCTTTTGCCCAACCTTTACCTTGATAAGTGAAGCTTTACCTCCCATCATAAATCAAAAACTCAGGCAGGGCCTAAGAACTGGCCATTATGTAACACACCAATAGCATCCAGTAGAGTGTATATAAGGTACAACAAATAATTATTAGAAGAACCAATCAGCTGGGTGCGGTGGCTCACACCTGTAATCCCAGCACTTTGGGAGGCTGAGGCGGGCGGATCACGAGGTCAGGAGATCGAGACCACAGTGAAACCCCATCTCTACTAAAAATAAAAAGAATTAGCCGGGCGCGGTGGCGGGTGCCTGTAGTCCGAGCTACTCAGGAGGCTGAGGCAGGAGAATGGCGTGAACCCAGGAGGTGGAGCTTGCAGTGAGCTAAGATCATGCCACTGCACTTCAGCCTGGGTGACAGAGCGAGACTTCGTCTCAAAAATAAATAAATAAATAAATAAAATAAAAGAACCAATCAGTAAAATATTAGTCCATCCAGGACACAATGTTGACAAGTAATTTCCAGATTTTTAAAATTTCACAGACAAGTTTTTAAAATAAATCGGCCAGGCAAGGTGGCTCACACCTGTAATCCCAGCACTTTGGGAGGCCAAGGCGGGTGGATCACCTGAAGCCAGGAGTCTGAGACCAGCCTGGCCAACATGATGAAACCCCATCTCTACTAAAAATACAAAAATTAGCCAGGCATGGTGGCAGGACCTGTAGTCCTAGCTACTCAGGAGACTGAGGCAGGAGAATCACTTGAACCTGGGAGGCAGAGGTTGCAGTGAACCAAGATCGCGCCACTGCACTCCAGCCTGGCAACAGAGCAAGACTCTGTCTCAAAAATAAATAAAATAAATAAATAAATAAAGTCCTGGGATATTATTTAGCCTTAAAAAGGAATGAGATTCTGACACATGTTGCAAGATGAATAAAATTTGAAGACATCATGCTAAGTGAAATAAGCCAGTCATAAAAAGACAAAAATTATGATTCCACTTATGAGATACCTGGAGTAGTCATATTCATTGAGATAGAAAGCAGAATGGGGCATAGTGGCTCATGTCTGTATTCCCAGCTATACAAGAGGCTGAGGCAAGAGGATCCCTTGAGGCCAGGAGTTCGAGACGAGTCTGGGTCACACAGCAAGAACTCATCTCTGAAAATAAATACAGGCCGGGTACGGGGCTCACGCCTGTATTCCCAGCACTTTGGGAGGCCAAGGCAGGTGGATCACATGAGGTCAGGAGTTCAAGACTGGCCTGGCCAACATGGTGAAAGCTCGTCTCTACTAAAATACAAAAATTAGCCAGGGGTGGTGGCGCAAGCCTGTAATCCCAGCTACTCAGGAGACTGAAGCAGGAGAATTGCTTGAGCCCCGGAGGCAGAGGTTGCAGTGAGCCAAGATTGCGCCACTGCACTCTAGCCTGAGAGCCAGAGCGAGACTCTGTCTCAAAAAATATATATAAATAAATAAATAATATTTTTTAAAAAGTAAGTAGAATGGGTCAGGCTCACACCTGTAATCCTAGCACTTTGGGAGACCAAGGCCAGCAGATCACTTGAGCCCAGGAGTTCAAAACCAGCCTGGGCAACATAGGAAGACCCCATCTCTACCAAAAAAAAAAAAATACAAAAAGTAGCTGGGCATGGTGATGCATGCCTATAATCCCAGCTACTGCGGAGGGCTGGGGTGGGAGAATCACTTGAGCTGAGGAGGTTGAGACTGCAGTGAGTCATGATTTTGCCACTGCACTCTAGCGTGGGTGACTGAGCAAGACCTTGTCGAAAAAAGAAAAGAAAAGAGAGAAAGAAAGGAAAAGGAGAGAAACAGCAAGAGAGAGAAAGAGAGAGAGAAGGAGAGAGAGAGAGAAAGAGAGAGAGGGAAGGGAGGGAGGGAGGGAGGGAGGGAGGGAGGGAGGGAGGGAGAGAAGGTAGTGCCAGGGGCAGAGAGGAGGCCAGAATGGGAGCTTACTGTTTTGTTTTTTAGAGACAGGGTCTCACTCTGTTGCCCGGGCTGGAGTACAGTGGCATGATCATAGCTCACTGCAGCCTCGACCTCCTGTGCTAAAGCAATCCTTGCCCTTCAGCCTCCCAAGCAGCTAGGACTGCAACGTGTGCCACCATATCTGGCTGAGACTTACTGCTTAATAGGTACAGAGTATCAGTTAGTGAAGATGAAAACGTTCTTGAGATGGACAGAAGTGACAGTTGCACAACAATGTGAATGTACTTAATGCCACTGAACTGTACACTTTTAAATACCTAAAGTTGTGCAAATTTTACATTACATATATTTTACCACAATTAAAAAAAAATTTTTTTTGAGACAGTCTCACTCTGTCGCCTAGGCTGGAGTCCAGTGGCACAATCTCAGCTCACTGCAACCTCTGCCTCCTGAGTTCAGGTGATTCTCCTGCCTCAGCCTCCCAAGTAGCTGGGATTACAGGTGAGCACATACCTGGCTAATTTTTGTATTTTTAGTAGAGCCAGGATTTTGCTATGTTGGCAAGGCTGGTCTCGAACTCCTCAAGTAATCCACCCGCCTCAGCCTCCCAAAATGCTGGGATTACAGGTGTGAGCCACAATGCCTGACCTAAAAACATTTTAATTGGCCGGGCGCAGTGGCTCACGCCTGTAATACCAGCACTTTGGGAGGCTGAGGTGAGTGGATCACCTGAGGTCAGGAGTTTGAGACCAGCCTGGCCAACATGGTGAAACCCCGTCCCTACAATTAACACAAAAATTAGCCGGGTGTGGTGGCGTGTGCCTGCGATCCCAGCTACTTGGGAGGCTGAAGCAAGACAATTGCTTGAACCTGGGAGGCGGAGGTTGCAGCGAGCCGAGATCGCACCATTGAACTACAGCCTGGACGACAAGAGTGAGACTCCATCTCATTAAAAAAAAAAAGAAAAAAAAATGTAATAAATAAAAGGTACTAATAGTTGCCACTACCATATTTTGTCATGTAAGTAAATAAAAGATTAAACATAAGTACCGTCCAGCATGACCATCCAGTTCATAAAGAACATTTTAGTACCAAAAACACTAGGACAAACCTAATTTCAGAACAAAAGACAAGTGGCAACTTTCCAATGCACTTATACATACATTGGCTTTCTTTTTCTCATTTTACCATAAAATAAAAACTTGCTTCTAGCCTTGCATTTGGACATTGCTGCTCTAAGGCAAGCTCAGAGCATTGCTTCATACCCTAGAAGGAAGAAAAGATGGAGAAAGAAGAGCTGTGCCATGGGCAAAACTGGCTACCATTTTGGGGAGTGGGGAAAGCTCAGGACTGCCAGAAGAATGGAGAGGTTAAAAGCTGTATCTTGGCCAGGCGCAGTGGCTCACGCCTGTAATTCCAGCACTTTGGGAGGCTGAGGCAGGCGGATCACGAGGTCAGGAGTTCGAGACCAGACTGGCCAATATGCTGAAACCTCGTCTCTACTAAAAATACAAAAATTATCCCGGCGTGGTGGCATGTGCCTGTAGTCCCAGCTACTCGGGAGGCTGAGGCAGAAGAATCACTTGAACCCAGGAGGCAGAGGTTACAGTGAGCTGAGATCGTGCCACTGCACTCCAGCCTGGGCGACAGAGCGAGACTACATCTCAGAAAAAAGAAAGCTGCATCTTCCATAAAGAATATTGTTTTCAGGTGTTTCTTTCTTGGGATGTTTTCATATTAGGACTACTTCAAGCTGCTTTTTTCCTCTCCTTCTTCCCTACCAAGTAGCTGGAGCCTGAGAAGGCCTATCTCTTTACAAGCTTGAGAAGGGACCTGAACTCTTGGAGGAATAACTGATCTGGAAAGGCACAGGCCAGGAGACCTCATAAAGCAAAGAAGTGCAGCAGCATACAATCCCCTGGGCTCCAGGGCATGGAGGAGAGAAAGTCTGGTTTATTTGGCTGTCATTAAATCAAATCAAAACATAGTACAGGGGAAAAACAAAAACACAGTATAGATGAATCTCAGACAGCAATTTTCAACTGGTGGCTCACAACCTCCCAGGTTTAAGCATCAACGTACGAAACAGTAGCTCTGCTTTTGTTTTGTGTTTTTTGTTTTTGAGACAGAGTCTCACTCTGTCGCCCAGGCTGGAGTGCAGTGGCGCACTCTCAGTTCACTGCAAACTCCACCTCCTGGGTTCACACCATTCTCCTGCCTCAGCCTCCTGAGTAGCTCAGACTACAGGCTCCCGCCACCACACCTGGCTCATTTTTTGTATTTTTAGCAGAGACGGGGTTTCACCGTGTTAGCCAGGATGGTCTTGATCTCCAGACCTCATGATCCGCCTGCCTCGGCCTCCCAAAGTGCTGGGATTACAGGAGTGAGCCACCGCGCCCGGCCCAACAGTAGCTCTGTTTAATAAGTAATTCATTGTCTGTTTTCTGGAGTGGATCTTGAGAAGCTTCCTCACAGTTCAACTCCCTTAGCAGCCTAGCTGATTTTGAATTAGTTCTATACTGTTTATTGGGTACCTGTAATAGACCACTGGTTGAACACAAGATATAGAAGAAAAACTTGTATAGAAATGTATGTTAACAAGGAACATAAATACAATTCTGCAAATTTCTTTCAAAATAATTTCTACCAGATCTGTAAGTTAAATTCAACTCATCAAAATGACTACACAAGAGAAAAATATATAATGAAGACTATCTCCATCTTGACTTTTTATTTACTGGGGGTTAAGTTACTCATAGCTACAACATTATTTACAAAAGGATACTTGAAAAAAGCATCCTGAAATCTCTCTTCTTTCATCATTCAGAAACAAAATTAATCTAAAAATATGAAATAAACCAGTAGTTTTCTTAAAGTTCAAAGGCAAAAATTCCAAACATTAAGACTTGTGTCAGACTTTTGTCTAAGCGATGGGGCTACAATGGTAAGCAAGACAGAGGAGACGGCTGCTCTGATGAAGTCACAGTTAAGGAGAGGGGTCTTGTAAACAGGTAAGTAAGATAACGTCAAACAGCGATAGGTACTAGGAAGGAAATTAAAGACCATGATGTGACAGTGTGTGACTTAAGAGGGCAACATCAAAGACAGGGAAGCCTTTGGTCTAAGAAAAATCAACATATTGATCTAAAGTCATTTACCATGTCACTTCAGTACAATGAAAAGATTTTTTAAAATTCTACTGAATATTATAACTTATTATAACTGAATAAACCACAAACAGAGCAGATGCCTGGAGGGTCTTCTCAGGAAACTTGGCAATATTAGGCAGCTGGCTGGTAGAAACTCCAAGGACCCAGAGACCCTAATCCTGACCTCTTCCTAGTATGACTAACACATGCCACTGGTGAAAGGTACATAATATTCATAATCTTGGGGACAAATCTGAGGTTTCCCAGAGGCAGTTTATAATGTCTATTACCTAAAAACAAATTTTTTAAAGTTACATTTGAATAAAGCCCTGAAACATAATATTTAGAAAACACTACATTTTTCTTGATTTATTTTTAAGAATTGGTGACTCCTCAAATAATATGGCAAGTTATTACTCAAAATCCAAACAGATTATCCATAGAACATTTATGACCATTTGCACCTGCCCTAATGGATAGTTTCTGCTGCCTTCTTGGCACCATTCTACAAGTCATCTCCACTATGCTCTATGAATCTAAACCTGAATAATGCTGGCTAAAATAAATAGGAACTTACTTTTCTCACTAACAGAAATCTGAGGAAGACAGCTACTGGAGTTGGTCTGACCACTTGATGCCATCAAGGCCCAGACTCTGTATCTTTGCACTCTCCCATTCCTCCTCATGGCCTCAAAGTGGCGGCTACAACTCCAGATACAACTTCAGCGTTCAAGGCAGATGACAGAAGTAATAGTGCCAGTCACATCTGTTCTTCAGCAAACTTCTGCTTCTGGGTCAGACAGCCACTCCTAATTGCACAGAAAACTGGGAAATGAGTATTTAGCGAAAAGAGGGTTCAGGATGTGGGGTCAGCCAAACAACAGTGTCTGTCACACACTGGTTGAGCCAAATATGGGAAACCAATGTCCAACTTCCTTCCTCGGACAGAACTTGACAAGCTGAACAATGGTGTTAATTTTAGACTAAGCTGACCATCAAACCAGTGAAGTCCAGCACCTCTGGGTGAATTCTCACATATTTTCTTTGGCTAAAACATAAACACGATTTTTGTTATAGTTGTTGTACTGTTGATGACAATCACCAACAAATAAAAAATGCATTAAAAATGTCTAATACTGGCCAGGCGCCGTGGCTCACACCTGTAATCCCAGCACTTTGAGAGGCCGAGGCAGGTGGATCACCTGAGGTCAGGAGTTCAAGACCAGCCTAACCAACATGGTGAAACTAAATTTTTAGTCTCTACTAAAAATTCAAAAATTAGCAGGGCATGGTGGCACGTACCTGTAATCCCAGCTACTCGGGAGGCTAAGGCAGGAGAATCGCTTGAACCCGGGAGGCAGAGGTTGCAGTGAACCGAGATCGTACCACTGCACTCCAGCCTGGGCAACAGAGCAAGACTCCGTCTCAAAAAAAGAAAAAAAAAAGTCTAATACCGCTTTGCTGTGTCTTTAAAAAGCAACTTTATGGCTACTGAAAATGCTTTGGGCCAGGTGCGGTAGCTCATGCCTGTAATCCCAGCACTTTGGGAGGCCGAGGCAGGCAGATCAAGAGGTCAAGAGATCGAGACCATTCTGGCCAACATGGTGGAATTCGTCTCCACTGAAAATAAAAAAATTAGCTGGGCGTGGTGGCGTGCCGGTAGTCCAAGCTACTCGGGAGGCTGAGGCAGGAGAATTGCTTGAACCCAGGACGTGGAAGTTGCAGTGAGCTGAGATTGCACCACTGCACTCCAGCCTGGCAACACAGCAAGACTCTGTCTCAAAAAAAAAAAGAAAAAATGCTTTGAAGATAGCAAGTCTCATACTCAGCAGATGCAGATTCAACGTGGGAAACAGGAAAGAACAATCACTACTAAATTGTTATTGATTCCTTACGAGATCCTTTCTGAAACCATTAGAGGTAACAGTCAGTTTATGTGGTTCACTGATTAGAAGAATAGAGAATCACACTAATTCTTATTAATGAGCACTGGGGAAATAGACTGGCAAGATGAGAATTATAATTCTTTAAGATGGTTGGCTAAGTGTCATTTTTTTATTATTGTTATTTTTTATATTATACTTTAAGTTCTAGAGTACATGTACACAACGTGCAGGTTTGTTACATACGTATACATGTGCCATGTTGGTGTGCTGCACCCATTAACTCCTCATTTACATTAGGTATATCTCCTAATGCTATCCCTCCCCTAACCCCACACTACAACAGGCCCCGGTGTGTGATGTTCCCCACCCTGTGTCCAAGTGTTCTTATTGTTCAATTCCCACCTATAAGTGAGAACACGCAGTGTTTGGTTTTCTGTCCTTGCGATCGTTTGCTCAGAATGATGGTTTCCAGCTTCACCCGTGTCCCTACAAAGGACATGAACTCATCATTTTTTATGGCTGCATAGTATTCCATGGTGTCTATGTGCCATATTTTCTTAATCCAGTCTATCACTGATAGACATTTGGGTTGGTTCCAAGTCTTTGCTATTGTGAATAGTGCTGCAATAAACATATGTGTGCATGTGTCTTTATAGCAGCATGATTTATAATCCTTTGGGTATATACCCAGTAATGGGATGGCTGGGTCAAATGGTATTTCTAGTTCTAGATCCTTGAGGAATTGCCACACTGTCTTCCACAATAGTTCAACTAGTTTACAGTCCCACCAACAGCATAAAAGTGTTCCTATTTCTCCACATCCTCTCCAGCACCTGTTGTTTCCTGACTTTTTAATGATTGCTATTCTAACTGGTGTGAGATGGTATCTCATTGTGGTTTTGATTTGCGTTTCTCTGATGGCCAAGTGTCACTTTTTTTTTAAGTGTACTTTGTGTCAGGTGCAGTTGCTCACACCTGTAATCCCAGCACTTTGAGAGGCCAAGGTGGGGAGATCATCTGAGGTCACGAGTTCGAGACTAGCCTAACCAACATGGAGAAATCCCATTTGTATTAAAAATACAAAATTAGCCAGGTGTGGTGGTACATGCCTGTAATCCCAGCTACTAGGGAGGCTGAGGCAGGAGAATCGCTTGAACCCAGGAGGCAGAGGTTGTGGTGGGCCCAGATCATGCCATTGCACTCCAGCCTGGGCAACAAGAGCAAAACTCCATCTTTAAAAAATATATATATATACTTTGTGAGATTGGAGAAAAATAAACCAATAATTTATCAATTACTGGTCAATAATACTATCTTCTTTTCTGGCTTAACATTGTCATCTACCCCCCATCTCATCCCTGCCCCCACTAAATCTGACAGGCTTTAATATATATACATAGAGAGAGAGAGAGCGAGAGCACGCGCGTGTGCCGGGCGCGGTGGCTCACACCTGTAATTCCAGCACTTTGGGAAGCCGAGGCGGGCGAATCACAAGCTCAGGAGATCGAGACCATCCTGGCTAACATGGTGAAACCCCATCTCTACTAAGAATACAAAAAATTAGCCGGGCATGGTGGCAGGCGCCTGTAGTCCCAGCTTCTCGAGAGGCTGAGGCAGGAGAATAGCATGAACCCAGGAGACGGAGTTTGCAGTGAGCTGAGATCACGCCACTGCACTCTAGCCTGGGCGACTGAGAAAGACTCCGTCTCAAAAAAAAAAAAAAAGTGTATACAGAATTCAAATTAGGATAAATTGCATATTATATGTGAATTTAATGTTATAAAATTTAAAGCCAGAATGATTAAAGAGAATAATTTCCTTCATACGTTTTGGGGGGAAACTAGAGGCTGAACGGTATCTATCCTCATAAATAATTGTAGGCCTATTGTGTATGGAGCACCACGTAGGCACCACAGAGGATAAACTATGAGCAGGAGAGAACTCTGGTAACTTATAACGTAATGGGCTCAAAAGAGGCTATTTTCCAAATTTGCTATGGTGAATGTAGAACATCTTTATAATGGAAGGAAGACTACTAAAACTGCCTTAAAAAGTATTTTATGGCATTCAAAATGTGCCAAAAATATCCATGTTTCTGACAAATTCAGCTTCTTCCCACAACACACACGCACTGGTGCTGGGATTCGTGATCAGCTTCAGCTAACAGTGACAACAGCAATAGATGCTGCTGAAGTTGGTATAGATTACACTTCTATAATTGTGTTACAGCCTTTCATTCCACCTGTTTTTGTTCTTTTAAATACTGGTACTGGGAGTCTGTTTTAGAAATATATTTTTATTCGGCTGGGCGCAGTGGCTCATGCCTGTAATCCCAGCACTTTGGGAGGCCA
This sequence comes from Homo sapiens, assembly GCF_000001405.40. Taxonomy (NCBI): domain Eukaryota; kingdom Metazoa; phylum Chordata; class Mammalia; order Primates; family Hominidae; genus Homo; species Homo sapiens. The sequence continues at coordinate 34,373,921 of NC_000006.12, forward strand.
AGGCGGGCGGATCATCTGAGGTCAGGAGTTTGAGACCAGCCTGGCCAACATGGTGAAACCCTGTCTCTACTTAAAAAATACAAAAAATTAGCCAGGTGTGGTGGCATGCACCTGTAGTCCCAGCTACTTGGGAGGCTGAGGCAGGAGAATCACTTGAACCTGGGAGGCAGAGGTTGCAGCAAGCCCGGATCATGCCACTGTACTCCAGCCTGGGCGACAGAACAAGGCTCCCTCTCAAAAAAAAAAAAAAAAAAAAAAAAAATGCATTCTACTTGTTTAACTCCTTTTGTGGATCTGTCAGAAGAAAACTGTGTTATCTTTGTACATATTATTTTACCAGAATTATCACAGTAGACAGATTTCAACACTCTTTTGGTTCCAGTTCCCTTATTTCACTGACGTGGCTGGATAGATCATGTCTATGTTTACTTCCAGGTTCACAAATGTAAAGATTCTATAACTTCAGGTCTTCCTCTCTTTCCATAAAAGCTCTTTCACAGTAAATTCACAGAGCACCATTTACTGCAGTGAATCTTTCCTTTCTTTCCCAGTTCTTGTATTTTTTAGATCACATATCAGTCTGTCTTTGTGACGCTGTTATGATCAGCATCTGATTTTTTTTTTAATGCCTGCACAATCTGTATTGGAGTAGCAGCAAATTTATACTCATCCTTCAACACTCAGATCTAGTCCTTTCGCACTGTGTCTGACTTCTCAATCCAGCATTTGTCTACTCCTCCATTTCTAAAGCATTCGGAGAGGGTTCTTTTACAGCACTCATTTCACTGTATCATCATCATTTCTTGGCTAGTGTGATTCCTTCTGTGGTTCCTGCCTTCGTTACAGCACCAACTATGTTATCTGGGAGGCACTTTACTTTCCTCATTCAAGTCTCATAACAACTTCAAGAATTAGGTATTATTTATTCCCATTTTACAAATAAAAAAACTGACTCTCAGTCAACTTTCTGATTCTTCTGATCTTATAACATGCTCTTGAATCAGTCCCCAATCTTGGGACATCTCTACCGTTCTCTTTCCCCTCTCCAGCGTCTATATGCAAAGGGATAAGGAAATATATGAAACTTAAACAATATAAATTCCACCTCCTTTTGAGCCCACTAGGTAATAAGTTACCAGAGTTCGGCCGGGCGCTGTGGCTCATGCCTGTAATCCCAGCACTTTGGCCGAGGTAGGCGGATCACCCGAGGTCAGGAGTTCGAGACCAGCCTGACCAACACGGTGAAACCCCATCTCTACTAAAAAATACAAAAATTAGCCAGGCATGACAGTGCTCGCCTGTAATCCGAGCTACTCGGGAGGCTGAGGCAGGGGAATTGCTTGAAACGGGGAGGCAGAGGTTGCAGTGAGCTGAGATCGTGCCATTGCACTCCAGCCTGGGCGACAGAGTAAGACTCTGTATCAAAAAAAAATTAAAAAATAAAAAATAAAAAAGTTACCAGAGTTCTAAAACAGTCTCTCCTGCTCATAGTTTATCCTCCGTGGAGTCTACATGCTGCTTTATACACAGAAGGCCCACAATTGTTTGTGAGGATAAATACCATTCAGCCTCCAAATGTATCCCCTTATAAAACTATCACTTCAATCCTGACCACACCACAGTAACTCTGCCAGACTTTTTCTTGCCCCTCAAATCACCAGATCAGTATATTGATTGGAAGAGTAAATATGGTGAATAACTCTCCTTCTCAGAATAGATCCATCTGGAAGGAGTTTTCTCGAATTCATGTCAATATAACTCAGACTCTTGGGTTTTTTCATTTATCCACCTTCCAATCTCCGAAGAAAATGTGCTTCTTTCCTAAAGCCTGATTTAATCAACCCAAATCCACACGTCCATCTTACCATTCTTCTAACAGTTTTATAAAGTCATCGTTAAATCTGTTGCTACATCTCATCTTCATTATAATTGATGGCTCTAGGTGTGATCTATCACCTATCACATCTTTGTGAAATGTTCTTCCACCTCCGCTTTTATGACAGTGCTTCGAGTGCCATGATGCCCCAAGCTCAGGCCCTACGCTCAGTTTTGCTTTCTGTGTACTTTCTCTTGTGCTAACTTTCTATTCTCCCTCTCCAAGGTCCCTGACACTCCACACTGTATCTATAGTCCTAACTTCTTACTCCCCTTCTAGTCCCACATCTCCAACTATCATCAGTTGAATTCAGTTCATCACTTCAAATTCGACATGACAAAACCAAAGTTCCATCTTCTCTCCGAAACCAACCTCTCTTCTAAATTTCCATTTCTCCTGTCACCCAGGATCAAAATTTAAAAGTCATCTTCAACCATGAGCTCCTTCATCTTTTTTTTTTCTTTTCTTGAGACAGGGTCTCACTCTGTCACCGAGGCTGGAGTGCAGTGGCACTATCATGCCACTTGACCTCCCAGGCTCAAGTGCAATGGCATCTAGTGCAGCCTCGATCTCCCAGGCTCAAGTGATCCTCCCACCTCAGCCTCCTGAGTAACTGGGACTACAGGCATGCACCACCATGCACAGCTAATTTTTTATTTTTGTAGAGATGGGGTCTCCCTATGTTACTCAGGTTGGTCTTGAACTCCTGGCCTCAAGTGATTCTCCTGCTTCCGCCTCCCAAAGTGCTGGGATTACAGGCGTGAGCCACCATGCATGGTCTCCTTTATCTTTAACATATCATCTGTTACCAAACCTGTCCACCCTTTGATTACAGTGTCACTTAATACTTCATTCCATTCTGCTGCTACCATGGCTCTCACTTCCAGAATAGAACATCATTCTCCCAATCATTCCCTCTGGTAGCCCCCGCTGAGTTCACCCTGCATTCTACTCTCACACATACCTTTCCACAACCCTTTGAAGGACAACTGTGGTTCCCCACTGTAGGATCAAACCCAAACTCCTCATTATCTCAAATCAAGGCTCTATACCCTTAGCTCCCAGCCAGCTGACACCCCTTATCACTCCCCATCAATACCCTGCCACACCACTATCCCAGACCCAGGTTCATATGCTCAGAGTCTCTGGCATGCAACAAACTCATTCCCACCCTCAATCATGCTGGGTCTCCTTCTCCTAACATACTCTTTCCCCTCCTTTCTACGTAAATCCTATTAACTTCTTAGAGCCCAAGACTGACTACTTCTGTATTTTGCATCCAAAATGAAGCACTCCGGAAGCACAGCCTTTCCTACATTTTTTTCTAACTGCTCCATGTACTTTATGTCCCACTTTTTAAATTTTTGTCTGATCCCACCCAAGGCACATAATGCAGCCACTTGTTCAACTGTACTGAAATGCCTAACGGTAATTTAATTAATTCATCAATTTAGAAAAGCATTCTTCCTGGACAGCAGTGGACATGTCCACAGTTTTAAAACCATCACTGCACCGAGAATAGTGTTTTGCAAAAAGTGAAGCCTCAATAAATTCTTGTTAACCAAGACAGAACTTGGAGACTACAATATATGTATTTTAAGAAGCATCGTACTGTTTTCATAAACTTGGATTTTAAAAATTCATTTTAAAAAATCTGGTCCTTGATACCCCCAACATTTAAAACATTAAAAATTCACACATTCTCAAATATTATTTAGGATAATTCTAAAAAGAGAATTTAAAAAGTGTGGAGAGGGCAGGGCACAGTGGCTCATGCCTATAATCCCAGCACTTTGGGAAGCTGAGACGGACAGATCATTTGAGGCCAGGAGTTTGAGATCAGCCTGGCAAACATGGTGAAACCCGTTGCTACTGAAAATACAAAAATTGGCCAGGTGTGGTGGCACACACCTGTAACCCCAGCTACTTGGGAGGCTGAGGCATGAGAATCGCTTGACCCTGGGAGGCAGAGGTGGCAGTGAGCCAAGATCACACCACTGCACTCCAGCCTGGGTGACAGAGGGAGACTCCGTCTCAAAAAAAAAAAAAAAAGTGTGGAGAGAGCATGACTATGCTGATAAGCATTTTATAAAAACACTGGCGTTCAGGCTACTGTTAGTTACAGTGCTCTGATTTGCTCTAATTTGACTGAATTACTTTTTTGCCATTTAAAATCAATTTTACAAACTTTAGCATGAAGAAATTTTTACTACAAAAAGCGGAAAAATGGCCAGGTGCAGCGGCTCACACCTATAATCCCAGCACTTTGGGAGATCTAGGCAGGAAGACTGCTTGATCCCAGGAGTTTGAGACTAGCCTAGCGAGATCTTGTCGCTCCTACCCAAAAAAAAAAAAAAATAGCCAGATGAGGTGGCACATTCCTGTAGTCTCAGCTACTTGGGAAGCTGAGGTGGGAGAAGTGCTTGCGCCCAGGAGGATGAGGCTGCAGGGAGCCATGATCACATCACTGTACTCCAGCCTGGGAGACAGAGCAAGATCCTGACTTGGGGGAAAAAAAGGAAAAATGTTAAAGCTTGCTTCATAAATAAAATGAAAAGCTCTCCCACACACAAAAAAACTTCTGACTCAACATGTATACGTTTCTTCTGGTGCACTGGATTAGTTGAGGAGGCTACCCTAAAAACTACCAAAGTGATATATTAGGCAAAGTTCTTGGTTGCAAGCAACAAAGCCTGGCTGTCTGAAGCCAAAAAGGAATTTATTGGAAAAAATATCAAATGCTCAGAATATTGGAGTGGCAAGGACTATAGGACCAATCTTAGAAGATAGGCCCACACTATGAGCACTCCAGAGGTGGCAGCAAAAGCCACAGCCTGGGTCTATAGCACAAACATCTGGTCAGCACACAGTCACTGCCTTGCCCCACCCATCCCTTTGGCCTCCTCAGGCCTCCAACTGGTGGAGCCTTAGTCCCGCATCCACATGGCCACACCAGAGAAGAGAGCTAGGTGGAGGATGGGTCCCTCCCTCTCTCCAAGAAGGGCATTCTCCAAAAAGAATGGTACTCTTCTAATTTTATGCCAGAAAAATCAATCATTCAATACACTCCGCATCCCTGCACCACAGCCACCCAAACTCTTCTCTAGTGGCACCATTGTGTATGCTTATTGCTTCTACCATCCCTGGCCTCTTCTGCCCAGTCTGGCCATAGCACACCCTCCTCCAAGTCCATGATCAAGTCTTATGCCAAGACCTTCTCAGTCATACATCTTTATCAAACCCAAGAAGAATTCACCTCCCCTCTTCTTTCACCCACAGCAACGTAGTTCTAGTTTTCTTTTCATTAGCACAACAGCTCCATGATCTGTATAGACTCATGGAAAATAGAAAAGTCCACCTATATCAGTATTTGTTTAGTTTTCAATGTTTCAAAATAAAATTTAGATTTGCTAAATGTGTGACATAGTATAAAAGTATGGACTTTTTATACTTTTTATGACTTATTATAAAAGTAATCCATGGTGGGGTACAGTGGCTCACACCTGTAATCCCAGCACTTTGGGAGGCCAAGGTGGGCAGATCGCCTCAGGCCAGGAGTTTGAAACCAGCCTGGCCAACATGGCGAAACCCCATCTCCACTAAAAATACAAAAATTAGCTGGGCGTGTTAGCAGGTGCCTGTAATCCCAGCTACTTGGGAGGCTGAAGCAGGAGAATCGCTTGAACCTGGGAGGCAGAGGTTGCAGTGAGCCAATATCACACCACTGCACTCAAGCCTGGGCGACAGAGAGAGACTCCATCTCAAAAAAAAAAAGTAATCCACAGAAGTTTTTTTGTACAGACAGGGTCTTGCTATGTTACCCAGGCTGGTCTCGAATTCCTGGCCTCAAGTGATCATCCCACCTTGTCCTCCCAGGGTGCTGGGATTACAGGCTTGAGACACTGTACCAGCCCAAAGATTGTATTTTAAAATCTAGGCCAGGCGCGGTGGTTCATGCTTGTAATCTCAGCACTTTGGGAGGCCAAGGTGGGCAGATCCCTTGAGGTCAGGAGTTCGAGATCAGCCTGGCCAACATGGTGAAACCCCATCTCTACTAAAAATTAGCCGGATGGGGTGGCACATGCCTGTGATCCCAGCTACTTGGGAGGTGGAGGCAGGAAAATCCCTTGAACCTGGGAGGTGGAGGTTGCAACAAGCTGAGATCGAGCCATTACACTCCAGCATGGACAAGAGTGAACTCCATCTTAAAAAAAAAAAATAGTAAATACATATTAAAAGAAATCAGTTTTCTTTTATGCAGTAAAGTACTAATTTTTATCTATTTATTTATTTATTTATTTTTTGAGACAAAGTTTCGCTCTTGTTGCCCAGACTGGAGTGCAACAGCGCGATCTCGGCTCACTGCAACTTCCACCTCCCGAGTAGCTGGGATTACAGGCGCCTGCCACCACGCCCGGCTAATTTTTGTATATTTAGTAGAGACAGGGTTTCACCATGTTGACCAAGCTGGTCTTGAACTTTTGACCTCAGGTGATCCACCCTCCTCGGCCTCCCAAAGTGCTGGGATTACAGGCGCGAGCCACAGCGCCCAGCCCTATTTATTTTTTTTTTAAGAGAAAGGATCTTGCTCTGTCACCCAGGTTGGAGTACAGTGGCACGACCATGGCTCACTGCAGCCTCAAACTCCTAGACTCAAGTAATCCTCCTGCCTCAGCCTCCCAAATAGGTGAGATTATAGGCAAGAGTCACTGCAGCCAGCTAAAGTACTAATTTTTAGTGGTATATAGCATCCATACCATGAAATGAAAAGTAGATGAAATCATGAAGGATTTTCCTGGTTGATTTCACTGTTAGTTACAGGGTTCAAAATGGATAGAATTCTCTGTTGAGATCTTTGTTTTCATGTCCTTGGGGATGAGAAAAAGGGTCATCACTCTCTCATAGACACTGGACTGGGCCTCTTACTTTCTCTCTTTCTTCCAGCACAGATTAGGGGGACAGGCAGGGAATAACAGCTTTCTTTATCCACAATACGTTAATACAAACAGGCTTCCAAAGGCTGCATATCTGGGCCTCTGACTTAGACGGCCCAGTGTCCTTCACCTAGGATATTCTTCAACTACCCATATTCGACCAAGCTGTTCAGGTCTAGCCTGCTCCATAAAGTCATCCCTGACACTCTAGCTCATCTTTCTTCAAAGGCTTCTCCAATTCCTATAAACACCTCTCTCCATACTTCTCTATTTTACACTCCAAACTGCATCTTATTTTGCTTTTTAGACAGGGTCTTACTCTGTCACCCAGGCTGAAGTGCAGTGGCACAACCATGACTTACTGCAGCCTTGACCTCCCACGCTCCAGTGATCCTCCCATCACAGCCTCCCAAGTAGCTAGGACCACAGGCGCACACCACCACACCAGGCTAATTTTTAAATTTTTTTATAGAGACGAGGTCCCACTACATTGCTCAGCCTTGTCTCAAACTCTTGAGCTCAAGCAATCCTCCCACTCGGCTTCCCAAAGGGCTAAGATTGCAGGTGTGAGTCACTGCACCCGGCCTAAATTGCATCTTGCCAGTAGACTGAAGCTCAGATTCTGTATTCTACACATTTTAAAACTCTTCAGTTTGAAGTATTCTTTATAGATACCACAATACAATTACTTTTGTAACCAAAAATAATAATTCCCTCTTGAAAAAAAAATGACCCATACACCCTGGCAGAAGGATGATTGTGCCCAGCTAAAATAATTGAACCTACAAAAAAAAACCCACAGAAATACAATTATTATATACAGAAATTCTCTGGACTGTTTTCCTAACTCATATTGGCAATAAAATCTAAAAGTTTTGTCTTACTATTATTAAAGGCAGACTATCCAAACTGCAAAGCCTCCTAGGAAGAAATCAATACCACAGTGATAGATGTAAAAGCCCTGAGTCAGGGCTCAGCACATTTGGTTAATGATGGCTGAATATAAGCCTAGCAATCAAATCATTTCTGCAAAAAGGAAGCAAATAAAAATATTAAATAATCGGCTGGGCACGGTGGCTCACACCTGTAATCCCAGCACTTTGGGAGGCCGAGGCAGGCAGATCACGAGGTCAGGAGTTCGAGACCAGCCTGGCCAACATGGTGAAACCCCAGCTGTACTAAAAATACAAAAATTAGCCAGGCTTGGTGGTGGACACCTGTAACCCCAGCTACTCGGGAGGCTGACACAGGAAAATCACCTGAACCCGGGAGACGGGGGTTGCAGCGAGCCAAGATCACACCACTGCACTCCAGCCTGAGCGACAGAGCGAGACTCTATCTCAAAAAAAAAAAAAAAAAAAAAAAAAAATTAAATAATCAAACAGGCCAGATGTGGTGGCTCGTGCACGTAATCCCAACACTTCGGGAGGGCAAGGAGGGAGGATCACTTGAGCCAGGAGTTCCAGACCAGTCTGGGCAACATAATGAAACCTCATCTCTACAAAAAATAAAAAAAATATATATTAGGAGGGTGTGGTGGCACATGCCTGTAGTCCCAGCTACTCAGGAGGCTGAGGTGAGAGCATCACTTGCGCCCGGAAGGTTGGGGCTGCATTGAGCTATGATCACACCACTACACTCCAGCCTGGGTGGCAGACCCAGACCCTGTCTCAAAACACAAACAAACAAATTTCAAAGTATAAGCACAATGTAACTTCTCTTTTTTTGTTTGTTTTGTAACTTTTCTTAATGTATATTTTATTAGGATTTCTAAATATTCAAATAAAAATCATGGTTAGGTATAGTGGCTCACACCTGTAATCCCAGCACTTTGGAAGGTCAAGGCAGGAGGGCTGCTGCTTCGGTCAAGGCAGGAGGGCTGCTGCTTCAGCTCAGGAGTTTGAGACCAGCCTGAGCAACATAGCAAGACCCTGTCTCTACTAAAAATAAATTAGCCAGGCATGGTGGTGCATGCCTGTAATCTTAGCTACACGGGAGGCTGAGGAAGGAGGATCGCTTGAGCTCAGGAGGTCAAGGCTGCAGTTAGCCATGACTGCATCACAGCACACCAACCTGGATGACAGAGCAAGACCCTGTCTCAAAAAAAAAAGGAAAGGCCGGGCGCGGTGGTTCTCACCTGTAATCCTAGCACTTTGGGAGGCCGAGGAGGGTGGATCACAAGGTCAGGAGTTCGAGACCAGCCTGGCTAAGGTGGTGAAACCCCTATCTCTACTAAAACTGCAAAAATTAGCTGGGTGCGGTGGCAGGCACCTGTAATCCCAGCTACTCGGGAGGCTGAGGCAGGAGAATCGTTTGAACCTGGGAGGCGGAGGTTGCAGTGAGCCAAGATGGCGCCATTGCACTCCAGCCTGGGTGACAGGGCAAGACTCCATCTCAAAAAAAAAAAAAAAAAGGAAAAAAGAAAAATCACAATCCTTCCTCCTTTTAAGAAAAGCATAAGCACTATGTCTGAGCTCATACTCCTTTTTATTCATCATTGCTAAGCTGCTCTTACAAAACACATCAGAAATATGTTAAATAACCAAGCCGAAGAAAAGATTTTCTAAGCAGTTCATAAAACTTTACTGTTTTATGAACAAAGAGATCAACTAATTGTATACAAAGGAAGTCTATTTAAGGGATCATTTCATTTTATGGTGTTTTCTTTTTGGAGCCAGGGTCTCTCTCACTCTGTTGCCCAGGCTGGAGTGCAGTGATGCAAACACAGCTCACCACATCCTAGACATCCCCAGCTCAAGCGATCCTCCCACGTAGGCCTCCCAAAATGCTGAGCAGTCTTATTTATCCATGTATTCCCAAGGTCTTACACAGACACTCCAAAAATGTGTGCTGAAGAAATGAATAAACAATTGTATTCCTGAACAAGGGCCCTTCCTTTCTGTACTAGGCTATGAAGATATAGATTGCTTCAGACACAGCACACAGTAGATGTGCAGCACTATTTTTATTGAGAAATGAGAATTAAAGCAGAAACAAAGAAGTAGGATTGGGGCAAAGACATAAAAAGAATGGAGACTGCAGTATGAATTCAGACCAGAATTCACACCTTGGGAAGGAGGCAAAAAATAACGTAATGGAAGACATGACTAACTGGTATTAGGCAAACAGAAGGGAAAGCAGGGGAAAAAAGCTTCCAGGAAAGATTTTGAGAAATGAGAAGCAGAAATGTCCAGTCATGACGGGATCAATGAACCCATCATGATCTTAGAGCAATGTAATATTGAACGGTGACCAAGATGTGTTACAAAAGGACTCCCAAACCACCTTGGGATCTGCTGGAAGCCCTTTGTCATGATTATTGCCTCTGGGATTGCTACCTGTGTCTTACTCTCTTCTCTAGAGCCTGCTGGAAGGTGCAGTCTGCAGAGACGTCAGTCCACCTGCTCCTCTGGGGCATTTTACAGACAAACAGGCCACCAGTCTCTGCCCACTGAAGAGCTCCAATGTCAATCATCTCTCCGTTCCAACCTGGTGAGCTGAAGGATCTGAGAAAATGTGAAGCAGCTCCCCTTTGCCAAGAGATATAGGGCTTCTAGTGGAAAAGTACAACAAACGAACCTAACAACTTAGGAACAGCTTCATCCTTTCTTTATTAAAACAGCTTTAAGGCACAGGGAAATCTAACTCACACAATCCTATTAGTAGTCATTTTTCTCCCTGGGTAAAAACAGACCCGTTAGGAGCAGCTTTAACTTTCCTAGGCACTGTGATGTCATTTGTTGTATGTTCTGTATCATTTGGCCTTTCTAAGAGTACAAACAAGCCCATCCCTGTCTCTCACTTCTCCTCACAGAGGCTCTAAAAAAGGAAAGGCTGGGGGAAGAGGGATAATCTCACTGGAAGTACTTTAGCAGGGCCAAAGTTGAATAATATGACAGATGAATATCATATTACCCAATTTTGGATTATAAAATCTTACTCAAGAAGTTACAGTCTTCCACACAGTGTATGATAAAGTATCAAGTAAAGGATACGGTTGATTAAAAAATATAAATGTAGGTTGGGCGTGGTGTCTCATGCATGTAATCCTAGCACTTTGGGAGGCTGAGGTGGGAGGATCGCTTGAGCTCAGGAGTTCAAAACCAGCCTGAGTAACATAGTGAGACCCTGTCTCCACACACACACAAAATAGCTGGGCAAGGTGGCAGGCACTTGTACTTCCATCTACTTGGGAGGCTGAGGTGGGAGGATCACTTGAGCCTGGGAGGTGGAAGCTGCAGTGACCTGAGATCGCATTACTGCATTCCAGCCTGGTCAACAGAGCAAGACCCTGCCTCCAAAAAAAAAAAAAAAACTCAAAACAAGATCTTGGCCCTAAGAACAAAGATTAGCAGATAAATATACATTTATATATACATACTTTATATATTACTAATTATATATTATGTGCAAAGAGGAAGCAAATGAAAATATTAAATAATCAGGCCAGATGTGATGGCTCATGCCTATAATCTCAACACTTTGGGAGGCCAAGAAGGGAGGATCACTTGAGCCAGGAGTTCCAGACCAGTCTGGGAAACATGAGACCTCATCTCTACAAAAAATAAAAAATATGGCCAGGCACAGTGGCTCATGCCTATAATCCCAGCACTTTGGGAGGCCGAGGCGGGCGGATCACCTGAGGTCGGGAGTTCGAGACCATATTACATATTATTAGCAAATAAATCTTTTATATGTATATAAACATGTAGTTATTTGGTAATCTTTGTAGGGCCAAGATCTTGTTTTGTTTTGTTTGTTTGAATTGTTAAGTTGTCTTTCTTTCATATGCCACATCCATAATCAATGACCTATGTTTTCCAGTCCTAGTTTTTATAAAGAACAAAAACCTAAAAACATTCATGAAGTAATCTATGTGCAGAGTCCTTCTAGACTTTTAAGATCCCCTCTCCAGTCTTCTCAGTTTGTTTGTCCATATAAGTGAGCAGTAATTTCTTTTTTTTTTTTTTTGAGACAGACTCTTACTCTGTCACCTAGGCTGGAGTGCAGTGGCGTGCTGTTGGCTCACTGCAACCTCCGTCTCCTGGGTTCAAGCAATTCTTGTGCCTCAGCCTCCCATGTAGCTGGGACTACAGGCTGCACACCACCGTGCCTGGCTAGTTTTGTATTTTCAGTAAAGAGGGGGTTTCACCATGTTGCCTAGGTTGGTCTCAAATTCCTGGGCTCATGTGATCCGCCCACCTTGGTCTCCCAAAGTGCTGGGATTATAGGCGTGAGCCACCATGCTGAGCCTTGTTCTTTTCTGAACTCAAAGTTCACTGGTTAAGTTGCACAATTACAATAACAAGTACAATGAACATAAACAGATAAAGGAATAGAGGTAACTAATTGTAATCACACAATTTGGCAGCTGGGAGGCCACCTGGTTGGGGTACACCAGACCCAGCAGCCTGCTGTGTAACAGCCAAGCATTCAGTGTACCAAGCTGGTTAAAGTGGTGGTTGGTTAAGAAACTGTATATCAGGTTCAAACTACTGTAATAAATGTTAGTTACCACAAATACCCAATTTAAAGATGTTATCAACATACCAATAACAATCAGTACAACTTTTTAAGTGGGAAGTTTTTTCCTGTTAATTTTTGTTTGTCAACAAGAAGAGAAGCCAGAAAAAGAAAAGGTAATCATTTTCATCATGCTGTTTGGTCTGTTTGTTCTTCCATCTCTCCCATTAGACTCTAAGCTCCCTGCATGTCTGTCTCCTTCATAACAGTATCACAGAACTTGGCACTCAATGAGTGTTCAATAAATTTGCTATGTTGACACATCCTAACCTGGATCAGAATTTCAGCCTCTCATTGCTGGTCTATAAATAAAGTTTTCTGGGGCTGGGGAAAAAAAAAACCTAGAATGATAGGTTTGGCTACCCATGATCTATTACCTTCTAATATAGTCATGGACTATATAACATTTCAGTCAACTACAGACCACATATACAAGAGTAGTCCCAAGAGATTATAATGGAGTTGAGAAATTCCTATCCCATCATAGCTGTGGTGTCACAGCACAATGCATTACTCATGTGTTTATGGTGAGTACACAATCAAACCTACTGTGCTGCCGGTCATATAAAAGTCTAGCACAGCTGAGCACGGTGGCTCATGCCTGTAATCCCAGCACTTAGGGAGGCTGAGGATGCAGATTGCCTTAGTCCAGGAGTTCAAGACCAGCCTGGGCAACATGCCGAAACCCTATCTCTACAAAAAAATACAAAAATTAGCCAGGCATGGTGGCATGTGCCTGGAGCCCCAGATACTTGTTGAGGTGGGAGGATCGCTTAAGCCCAGAAGGTCAAGGCTGCAGTGAGCTGTGATCACACCATTATACTCCAGCCTGGGCAACAGAGTAAGACCCTGTCTCAAAACAACAACAACAAAATGTAGCACATACAATTATGTGCAGTACATAATACTTGATAGTAAATGACTATTACTGGTTTCTGTATTTACTATACTGTACTTTTTATTGTTTAACTGTAGAGTGTATTCTATTTTTTTAAAAAGTTAATTGTAAAACAGTCTCAGAAGAAGGGATTGTTATCATAGGAGATGATAGCTCCACGCCTGTTACTCTCCTGAAGACCTCCCAGTGGGATAAGATGTGGAGGTGGAAGACAGTGATACTGATGATCCTGACCCTGTGTAGGCCTAGGTTAATGTGTGTTTGTGTCTTTGTTTTCAACCAAAGAAAAAGCTTAAAAAGTAAAATATGGGTAGCCAGAGGAACAAAAAGTAAAACAAACAAATACTAAATAATATTTTTAAATAAAGTTTCTAGAATAAAGATATAATGAAGAAAACATTAGCCAGGCATGGCGGCATACACCAGTTGTCCTAGCTGCTTGGGAGGCTGAGGTGGAAGGATCACTTGAGCCCAGGAATTCAAGACCAGCCTGGGGAACAGAGCAAGATCTCATCTCTTTTTAAAAAAAAAAAAAAAAAAAAAAAGTGATTTTAGTATGACAGGAAAGAAAGAGAAAAATATTGTTATATAGCTGTACAATGTGTTTTAAGCTAAGTATTACAAACGAGTCAGAATGTTAAAAAATGTAAAAGTTTATAAAGTAAAAAAATTACAGTAAGCTAAGGTTAATTTATTATCGAAGAAAAATAATTTTTTGATTTAGTGCAACCTAAGCTGTACAGTGTTTCTGTAGTGTACAGTAATGCCCTAGGCCTTCGCATTTACTCACCGCTCACTCACTGATGCACCCAGAGCAACTTCCAGTCATAATAAGTGTCCTGGTCAGGTGAACCATTTTTTATTTTTTGTACCGTATTTTTCCTGTACTTTGCTTGTTTAGATATGTTTAGATACACAAATACTACTGCATTACAATTGCCTATTTATTCAGTACAGTCACATGCTGTACAGTTTTGCAGCTTAGGAGCAATAGGCTATACCATATAGCCTACATGTGCAGTAGGCTATACCATCCAGGTATGTGTAAGTACATTCTATGATGTTTACACAACAACAAAATCACCTAATGATGCATTTCTCAGTACGTATCCCCAACGTTAAGCGACACATGGCTGTATTTTCATCTCTTTTTCTTCACATTCCATGTATGCTTCTTGACATTGCTTAAATTTATAAATCAAGGTCCTATTTATACTTATATTACTACTGTATTAATGCTAATAATATTCTGTAAACTATTCTATCTTGATTAAGGCCATTAGTGCCCATTAAAATTTTTTTTAATTGGGTTGAATGCCTTATTCGGTTGGAATTTTACATTCCCACAATGTGTGGCAGCTAATGCTTCTGGCACATCTACTGAGAACATAAAAGTTCTCCTGGAACTAACAAATTACTTCCCTTCCAACATAATTATATAATCTGAGAGTTGAAAAGCACCCTAGAGATTATTCTGTGGTCCAAAATCCCTCCCAATTAAGGAATCTCATCTAAAACTACTCAACTCTGTCTGCAAGAAGGGATGCTAATATTTAGATTCTCCATGACACAGCGCTGCAGCCATAGCAGGCTCTTTAATACATGCTTTTTGTTGTTTCTCATACATGTTTGTTGAACTGAACAAATCTAAAATGGACGTATTTCACTCATTTTATTTTTCTTCCCAGGCTTTAGCTGTAACACCCACTGAATCTGTAATTTAAAGCTTTGCATGATTCCTCGGCTCATTAGCCAACGTTCAAAAAGAAATTCAATAAAGGAAACTCAATGCATTAAAGAAACTCATTTTAACAGTTTAAAATTTTAAGCTCCTGGCCTGGCAAAGTGGCTCTTGCCTATAATCCCAGCATTTTGGGAGGCTGAGATGGGAGGATCTCTTGAGCCCAGGAGTTTGACAATAGCCTGGGCAACAAAGGGAGACCCTGTGATATGCTATGGCTCTGTGTCCCCACCCAAATCTCATCTCGATTTGTAATCACCACCTGTGGAGGGAGGGAACCTGTAATCCCTCCCATGTGTTGAGTGAGGGAGGTAACTGGATCATGGGGAGTTTCCCCCATGCGGTTCTCATGCTAGTGAATGCTCACGAAATCCAATGGTTTTACAAGTGTTTGGGAGTTCCTCCTTCCCTTCTCTCTCTCCTGCTGCCTTGTGAAGAAGGTTCTTACTTCCCCTTTGCCTTCTGCCATGATTGTAAGTTTCCTGAGGCTTCCCCAGCCATGTATAACTGTGAGTCAATTAAACCTCTTTCTTTATAAATTACTCAGTCTCAGGTATTTCTTTATAACAGTGTGAAAATGGACTAATACACCCTGTCTCTACATAAAATTTAAAAATCAACCAGATGTGGTGGCTTGTGCATGTAGTCCCAGCTACTTGGGAGGCTGAGACGGGAGGATTGCTTGAGCATAGGAGGTTGAGGCTGCAGTGAGCCATGATCACACCACTACACTCCAACCTGGGTGACACAGTAAGACCCTGTCTCAAAATAAATAAATAAATAAATAAAGGTCGGGCACAGTGGCTCACGCCTGTAATCCCAGCACTTTGGGCGGCCAACGCGGGTGGATCATGAGGTCAGGAGATTGAGACCATCCTGGCTAACACGGTAACAACCCATCTCTACTAAAAATACAAAAAAATTAGCCAGACGTGGTCGCGGGCACCTGTAGTCCCAGCTGCTCGGGAGGCTAAGGCAGGAGAATGGCGTGAATCCGGGAGGCGGAGCTTGCAGTGAGCCGAGATGGTGCCACTGCACTCCACCATGGGCGACAGAGCAAGACTCTGTCTCAAAAAAAAAAAAAAATACAGAAAACTAGCCAAGCATTATGGCAGGTGCCTGTAATCCCAGCTACTCGGGAGGCTGAGGCAGGGAGAACAGCTTGAACCCGGGAGGTGGAGGTTGCAATGAGCCGAGATCACGCCACTGCACTCCAGCCTGGGCGAAAGAGCGAGACTCCGTCTCAAAATAAATAAATAAATAAAAATAAGTAAATAAATAAAATTTTAAAAATAAAAATGCAAGCTCCTAGAATCGCCTGAACCTGGGAGGCAGAGGTTGCAGTGAGCCAAGATGGGGCCACTGCACTCCAGCCTGGGCGACATAGCAAGAGTCGGTCTCAAAAAAAAAAAAGAAAAAAAGTAAGCTCCTAGAAGGCAAGTCCTATGCCTGGTCTGACTTGTGAGATGCCGTGAGGTAGCCTAAACAGACAAGTAAGCTTTCAACATTAATGTTGCTAATGTCAGTGCATAACAAAACATTTAACAGAAAATGGAAAATTAAGCCGTTGCTAGTTTGCTTATGATCTATAGTTTTCAATTTATCAAAAATACATTTTCTATTTCTAGTATGATTTATTATTATTATTTTTTTTTATATTTAGAGATGGGGATCTGTGTTGGCCAGGTTGGTCTCGAACTCTTGGCCTCACCACCTTGGTCTCCTGAAGTGCTAGGATTACAGGCGTGAGCCACCACGCCCGGCCTGGTGTGATTTTTTTAAAACAAACAGTCTTGCATCATTCGTACAACTAAATTATACTTATAATTGGGGTGCTCACAGATTTATGCATACTAGTGTAGTAAGACATGCTATTATGCTAATTAGTTTTCCCTTCAGTTAAGAGCCTGTGATCCCATCTGATTTCCCATAACATGATATGATAATGAGGAGAATAAAGGCTCTGGAGCAATAAGCACCACCAATAATTTTACTTTACTCAAATATGCATTCCAAAACAGTATATAATTTACAGCATGGCCCTGGTTAGCTATTACAATGCATCTGTTTTGGGGACTTTTACAATATATGGTAGGATACAAAGCATACGTTTCCAAATCTCCTTTCGTTCTGTTTTGCTGAAAGGGAGCACACATGGGATCCCTTAACAACACAATTCACTAACTAATTTTCTTCAGGCAGTAATTCAAATTCCCACTTCCTCCTAAATACCTCTGGACAGCAACTCCTGGCAATCCATCTGTCTCTTTCGCCACAGCTTCTTTTCATAACTAACGGGTCAAGTTCCTTTCCCCATTTCGACACTGCACTGTACTGCGGCCCTGCCACCATAGCCCACTGCTGAATCCAATATAACATATTGGATTTCACTGTCCTTCATTGTTTCCAGTTTAACTGCCATTTTACCACCATGCACACGAGAAATGCATTCCCACAGGCATCTTATGAATTTCCAAAGCAGCTACTCTTTTGTGGATTTACAAAACATGTGCTTCTCTGAATTCCCTTCATCACCACAGAAACGGCTTTGGGAAGCCGAGATTTTTTTTTAAAGTACCCTACCTATTATAAAAAGAAACTGATTCTAAAACATTATTTTCCTAGCTAATTTAATCCTAAGAGTCTTCCCACAAGGCAGTGGAGGAACGTCAGGGCAAAAATGTTAAATACCGCTTTTGGTCTTCCCAATTAACATGAAACATTTTCAGCACACAAAGATTATTATATCAAATGTCTTTTCTTCTCAGACTACACCATAAAGGCTACCCAGCGCACTGTAAAATAAACAGCTGGCTATGGCTTATGCACAACGCCCTAAATCTTCCGAAGACACCCCACCCCCACCCCTCAGCTTTGGGCTCACAGACATATAATCCCTCGGCAAACCCCAAACCTGCCAATGAAGTGCACTATTTCTCTGCCACAAAGGCCGGCCCGCGCCTCGTGCACGCCGGCCTCCGCACACATGTGCCTGGCTGACAACTGCGGAGCGGCCCTTCCAGGATCAAAGCCGTTGGCCTGGACCGAAAGCCGCACTCTTCCCAGCCCACTGCCTTCTCCCGCGGCCGCTCTCCCCGGTAACAGGCGGCGGAACCGAAGCGCTCCGGCCACAAGCCGGCTACCCCCTCCGCCCGGCGCGCCCTGTGCAGCCGCACTCAAACCCGCTTCCCCTCAGCCCCAACGTCCTTTCTCCTTCCCCCTTTTTTCGCCTCAGGAAATTCCATCGGAACTTCATTCCGCCCGAGCGGGGCGGCCCTGGCACACCCTCCTCCGGCGGCCGCGCCCCTCGCGCCTCCACCCGAAGGGGCCGGAGACCCGGCGACCCCGGCCCGCCCAGCCTGCCGCCTCACCTCCTCCTCGCTCTCGCTGCGGAAACACAGGCATGCGGCCCGCTTCTTGTAGCCGTCGCCGTCGTAGGTGCGGGTCTGGTTCGACTTGAGCTTCATCATCCTCCGGGCCCGGGTGGGGGTGCGGTGCGGGTCGCAGGAGTCGAGGGGTGGGGAGCCCGCTCTGGACGGCCGCGTGCGCGCGCGCCCCCGGCTCGGCCAAGGGAAGCAGGGAGGGGGAGCTTCTCCGCTACACGGCTCCGCCGCTGGCCCGCCGCGGCCGCCTCATTCCCCCAGGCCCAGGTCCCGCGCCGCCGCTGCCACCGTCACGGCTGCCGTCTCCGCTGCCGCCAGGGCCGCCGCCCCCTCTGCCGCCGCCACCCCCGACGACGACCGCGCCGCCATCTTGGGCGCGATGCGTCAGCGGCGTAAGGCTGCACCGGCCTGCGGGACGGCCGCGCGCTCGCAGCGCAGGCCGCGTTCGCGAATCGCGCCCTCCCAGTTCGCGCGGTGGAAACCAGCATCTGAAAGGAGAGGGACGCGCGACTCCAGGCGACCGCTACGCCGGCAGCGTAGGCGTAGAACTGGTGGGGTGCGCGGAGGAAGCCGGGGGAGATAAGAACAGCGGCGCAGGACGCCTAGCGGCCGGAGCGGAGACCGAGCGGTCCAGCCGCGCAAGTCTGCGGATGGGGAAGCGGGGACTTGGCCAAGGTCACGCCGCGTCTCCGCGGCCGAGGATGAACCAAGGTCACGCCACCCGCCCCTGGGCCCTGCCGGTCGGTCTCGAAGGGGTTGAGGGGGAAGGTTTGTTGGAAAAAGGAGGATGTAGTTAAAGGCAACGGAAGCTGCAGCCTGAGACATCTGGGATTTGGAACTGCAAGGAAACGGCGCATGGGAGGCGTGTGCACTTTGCGTTGATAGCCTGAACCTCAGGATGTCTTAGGGGCTGGTGCATGTCGCCCATTACAAAGAACAAATATTTATTCTGCAATCTTTTATTGATGCTAAAGGTAATTGCTTCCTCTTATGGTAAACAAGAGGGCCAGAAAGGAACACGCGCGCGTGCGTGCGTGTGTACACACATAATGTAAATCATAAAACATCATCGTTTCTGGCAATAAATGAGGAGTGTGTGTTGTGGATGTCAAACAGATTCTCCAGGAAAAGATATACAGACAGAAGCTCTCCAGAAAGGAAAACTGGTGTATGACCTGTGAATGTTCTCAGCAACCCAGAACAAACCAAGTACCATGCAGATGCCCTAAACGTACCAAAAATCCTGTGCAGTATCTGTCTGTGAGTTGTTTAATACCCTTTTTTGTTTTTTAAATTTTTTTATTTAATTTTTTAAAATTTTTTTATTTAACATTTTGTTGCCCGGGCTGGTCCGGAATTCCTGGCCTCGAAGCTATCCACCCTCGGCCTCCCAAAGCACTGGGATTACTGGTGTGAGCCACAGCAGCCGGCTAATTCCCCTTTTTGAATTTGCTTGTATTTAGCATAGTCAAAAAGATCTGGATTTGAAAGCAAATACACCTTGGTTGTAACCTCAATTACATTTTTTTTAATGCTCATACCACCCGATTACATCATATTTTAACTTCCGCAAAATAGAGACCTACTTGGCCCTGGCACATAGCAAGCACTCAGGGCACACCAGATGCTATTAATAGTTTGTTTGCCTATTAAACTTTCCTCTCTTCAAGAAAAGAAAATTAGAGTTCAGTAAATGTTGAATGAATAGATAGATGGAGGTTTTCTTTTGGTTTCTAATTCCTTACCCTGACTTTTTATGGGCATGTTTTTGTTTGTTTGGGGTTTTTTGTTTGATTGATTGTTTTTTGGAGACAGGGTCTTGCTGTGTCAATTAAGGTGGAGTGCAGTGGCATAATCTCAGCCAGCTCAACTGCAGCCTAGACCTCCTGGGCTCAAGCGATGCTCCCACCTCAGCCTCCCAAGTAACTGGGACCACAGGCGCCTGTCATGCAGCCTGGAGTGCTACCACGTCCAGCCAACTTTTGTATGTTTTTGTAGAGACAGGGTTTCACCATGTTGCCCAGGCTGGCCTCGAACTCCTGGGCTCAAGCAGTCCTTCTGCCTCAGCCTCCCAAAGTACTGGGGTTACAGGCATAAGCCACTGCTCCCAGCCTATGGGCATGTTTAGTTTCAAGAGCCCACAAGATTACTCCCAGATCCCTTGACTGAGTAATAATTACTTTGTCTTTGTTCAGGGAGCATTAACCAAGGGATTCTGTCCTTTCCTTGAAGATAATGGGTAAGTAGTACATTTAAATTTGTTTTAAAAAATTATACTCGGCCGGGCGCAGTGGCTCAAGCCTGTAATCCCAGCACTCTGGGAGGCCAAGGTGGGCAGATCATCTGAGGTCAGGAGTTCGAGACCAGCCTGACCAACACAGTGAAACCCCGTGTCTACTAAAAATACAAAAATTAGCCGGGCGTGGTGGTGCGTGCCTGTAATCCCAGCCGCTCAGGAAGCTGAGACAGGAGAATCGCTTGAACCCGGGAGGGAGAGGTTGCAGTGAGCTGAGATCGTGCCACTGCACTCCAGCCTGGTGGACGGTGTGAGACTCCATCTCAAAAAAAAAAAAAAAAAAAAAAGAACATCTGAAAGAACATCTGTCAACATAGACCATAAGCATGTCCATAAAATAAGCTTCAATAAATGTTAAAGGACTGAAATTGCATAGAATATGTTCATGGGGAAAAGGACTTAAATTAGAAAACACCATAATAGGATATCTAGAAAAGGCTCAAATATTTGTAAATTAAATAATCTACTTCTAAGTAACCCATGAAACAAAAGTCACAAAAGATAAAATGTTTCTAACTGATATCAGTATTTATGAGGCTTAACTAAAGGAGGCTGGGCGCAATGGCTCACACCTGTAGTCCCAGCACTTTGGGAGGCTGAGAGGGGCAGATTGCGTGAGTCCAGGAGTTGGAGACCAGCCTGGACAACATGGTGAAACCCCATCGCTGCAAAAAAAAAAAAAAAAAGCAGTGCTTAGAAGGATATAAATAGATTCAACTAGTATTAGAAAGGAGGAAAAGCTTAAAATCAATATTATAAATTTCCACCTTAAGATGCAAGAAAAGGCTGAGTGCAATGGCTCACACCTGTAATCCTAGCACTTTAGGAGGCTGAGACACGTAGACCACTTGAGCCCAGGAGTTTGAGACCAGCCTAGGCAACATAGTGAAACCCCGTTTCTATGAAAAATACAAAACTTAGCTGGGTATGGTGGCACCAGTAGTCCCAGCTACTCAGGAAGCTGAGGTAGGAGGATCACTTGAGCCTGAGAGGCAGAGGTTGCAATGAGCCAAGATCACACCACTGCACTCCAGCCTGGGAAATAGAGCAAGACCCTATCTCAAAACAAACTAATAAATAAAATAAGCTAGAAAAAAG
Source organism: Homo sapiens (assembly GCF_000001405.40). Taxonomy (NCBI): domain Eukaryota; kingdom Metazoa; phylum Chordata; class Mammalia; order Primates; family Hominidae; genus Homo; species Homo sapiens. The sequence goes on from NC_000006.12 coordinate 34,395,670, forward strand.
TAAACCCAAATTAAGTAGGGGAAGAAGTTAATAAAAGAAGAAATCAATGAAATATAAATCAAACAATAGAAACAACAAAGCCAAAAGTTGTTTCTTTGAAAAGATTAATTGTAAAAAATAAAAATAGCCAAGCATGGTGGTGTGCACTTGTAGTCCCAACTACTTGGGAGGCTGAGGTGGGAGGAGAGCTTGAGCCCTGGAAGCAGAGGTTGCAGTGAGCCAAGATTGCACCACTACACTCCAACCTGGGCAACAGAGCAAGACCCTATCTCAAAAATAATAGTAATATAATAATAATAATATACTGACAAATGTATCATATTAATGTAAGATGTCAACAATAAGGAAAACTGGGTGTGGAGCACATGGGAACTCTACTATCTTCACAACTTTTCTATAGACCTAAAGCTATTCTAAAATAAGTCTAATCAAAAAAACTTGCCATAAAGAAAATTCCAGTGCCAGGTGGTAGCATTGGTGAAATCTATCAAAAACCCAAGAAAGAAGGGATACAAATTCTACACAAGCTTTTTCAGAAAACAGAGGAGGAAAGAATACTTTAAACTTATTTTATGAAGCTGAAATAATTATGATATGAAAATCTGATAATTACAAGAAAAAAGTTACAGACCTGTATCCTTCATGAACACACACACACACACACACACACAAATCATGAAGAACATATCAATAAATAGAATCCAGCAATATATACAGTGAAATATATTATGACCAAAAATTTAATACAAGAATATAAAGTTAGTTTAACTTTACAAAAATCAGTGAAATAAACCACATCAACATCATAAAAGAGAACAACTATATGATTGTCTTGATCCTAGAAAAGCACTTGACTTTTAAATAAAATTATTATTTCACAGTCAATACTCTCAGCAAGCTAGGAATAGAAGCAAACATTCACCACCTGATAAAGGACACCTATGAACAACAGGTGAAATGGTGAAAGAATAAATGTTTTCCCATTAAGATCAAAAGCAAGGCAAGAATATCTCCTCTCACTGCTATTATTAAGTATTGTATTAGAGATCCTAGCTAGTGAAATAAGACATGAAAAATAAATAGAAGGCACTGATCTCATGGGCCACTCCTGAGTCCTATGGCACCCTCTGGAGTCAGAGGTGAAATAATCCCTCCAGAACCACATGGACTAATGACAAGGAAAGAGTGATTCCCTAAGGAAAAATCAGGGCAGCCGCCGCCGCCCGACCGCCGGGAGGATGGAGTTCAGCTGGCAGCGGAGCTGTCTCAGTCTTTGCCGCCGCGCCGGCGAGCGCCGCCCGGGAGGCAGCGGCTGGAGGAGCGGACGGGCCCCGCGGGGCCCGAGGGCAAGGAGCAGCCGCCTGCCTTGGCCTCCCAAAGTGCCGAAATTGCAGCCTCTGCCCGGCCGCCACCCCGTCTGGGAAGTGAGGAGTGTCTCTGCCTGGCCGCCCATCGTCTGGGATGTGAGGAGCCCCTCTGCCTGGCTGCCCAGTCTGGAAAGTGAGGAGCATCTCCGCCCGGCCGCCATCCCATCTAGGAAGTGAGGAGTGCCTCTTCCCAGCCGCCATCACATCTAGGAAGTGAGGAGCGTCTCTGCCCGGCCGCCCATCGTCTGAGATGTGGGGAGCGCCTCTGCCCCGCCGCCCCATCTGGGATGTGAGGAGCGCCTCTGCCCGGCCGAGACCCCGTCTGGGAGGTGAGGAGCGTCTCTGCCCGGCCGCCCCGTCTGAGAAGTGAGGAGACCCTCTGCCTGGCAACCACCCCGTCTGAGAAGTGAGGAGCCCCTCCGCCCGGCAGCTGCCCCGTCTGAGAAGTGAGGAGCCTCTCCGCCCGGCAGCCACCCCATCTGGGAAGTGAGGAGCGTCTCCGCCCGGCAGCCACCCCGTCCGGGAGGGAGGTGGGGGGGGTCAGCCCCCCGCCCGGCCAGCCGCCCCATCCGGGAGGGAGGTGGGGGGGTCAGCCCCCCGCCCGGCCAGCCGTGCCGTCCGGGAGGGAGGTGGGGGGGTCAGCCCCCCGCCCGGCCAGCCGCCCCGTCCGGGAGGTGAGGGGCGCCTCTGCCCGGCCGCCCCTACTGGGAAGTGAGGAGCCCCTCAGCCCGGCCAGCCACCCCATCCGGGAGGGAGATGGGGGGGTCAGCCCCCCGCCCGGCCAGCCGCCCCGTCCGGGAGGTGAGGGGCGCCTCTGCCCGGCCGCCCCTACTGGGAAGTGAGGAGCCCCTCAGCCCGGCCAGCCACCCCATCCGGGAGGGAGGTGGGGGGGTCAGCCCCCCGCCTGGCCAGCCGCCCCGTCCGGGAGGGAGGTGGGGGGGTCAGCCCTCCACCCGGCCAGCCGCCCCGTCTGGGAGGTGAGGGGCGCCTCTGCCCAGCCGCCCCTACTGGGAAGTGAGGAGCCCCTCTGCCCGGCCAGCCGCCCCGTCCGGGAGGGAGGTTGGGGGGTCAGCCCCCCGCCCGGCCAGCCGCCCTGTCCGGGAGGGAGGTGGGGGGGTCAGCCCTCTGCCCGGCCAGCCGCCCCGTCTGGGAGGTGAGGGGCGCCTCTGCCCGGCCGCCCCTACTGGCAAGTGAGGAGCCCCTCTGCCCGGCCAGCTGCCCCGTCCGGGAGGGAGGTGGGGGTGTCAGCCCCCTGCCCGGCCAGCCGCCCCGTCCGGGAGGGAGGTGGGGGGGGTCAGCCCCCCTGCCCGGCCAGCCGCCCCGTCCGGGAGGGAGGTGGGGGGGGTCAGCCCCCCTGCCCGGCCGGCCGCCCCGTCCGGGGGGTGAGGGGCACCTCTGCCCGGCCGCCCCTACTGGGAAGTGAGGAGCCCCTCTGCCCGGCCAGCCGCCCCGTCCGGGAGGGAGGTTGGGGGGTCGGCCCCCCGCCCGGCCAGCCGCCCCGTCCGGGAGGTGGGGGGCGCCTCTGCCCGGCCGCCCCTACTGGGAAATGAGGAGCCCCTCTGCCCGGCCACCACCCCGTCTGGGAGGTGTGCCCAACGGCTCATTGAGAACGGGCCAGGATGACAATGGCGGCTTTGTGGAATAGAAAGGCGGGAAGGGTGGGGAAAAGATTGAGAAATCGGATGGTTGCCGTGTCTGTGTGGAAGGAAGTAGACATGGGAGACTTTTCATTTTGTTCTGCACTAAGAAAAATTCCTCTGCCTTGGGATCCTGTTGATCTGTGACCTTACCCCCAACCCGGTGCTCTCTGAAACATGTGCTGTGTCCACTCAGGGTTAAATGGATTAAGGGCGGTGCAAGATGTGCTTTGTTAAACAGATGCTTGAAGGCAGCATGCTCGTTAAGAGTCATCACCAATCCCTAATCTCAAGTAATCAGGGACACAAACACTGCGGAAGGCTGCAGGGTCCTCTGCCTAGGAAAACCAGAGACCTTTGTTCACTTGTTTATCTGCTGACCTTCCCTCCACTATTGTCCCATGACCCTGCCAAATCCCCCTCTGTGAGAAACACCCAAGAATTATCAATAAAAAAATAAATTAAAAAAAAAAAAGAAAAATAAATAGAAAGCATAAAGACTAGCAAAGAAGTAAAATTGTTGCTATTCACAACCTATTTTTTATTTTTATTTATTTATTTATTTATTTTTGAGACAGAATCTCACTCCATCAACCAGTCTGGAATGCAGTGGCCCAATCTTGGTTCACTGCAGCCTCCACCTCCCAAGTTCAAGCGATTCTCCTTTCTCAGCCTTCCAAGTAGCTGGGACACAGGCGTGCACCACTGCACCCAGCTAATTTTTGTAGTTTTAGTAGAGAAGGGGTTTCACCATGTTGGGCAGGCTGGTCTCAAACTCCTGACCTCCGGTGACCCACCTGCCTCAGCCTCCCAAAGTGCTGAGATTCAGGAATGAGCCACCGTGCCCGGCCAACAACCTATTTTTTAAGTAGAAAATCCAAAGGCAGGTACTAGCCAAATACCCAAAATAGTAGTATTAATAAGTGAAATTAGGCTGGGCGCAGTGGCTCATGCCTGTAATACCAGCACTTTGGGAGGCCAAGGTGAATGGATCATCTGAGGTCAGGAGTTTGAGAACAGCCTGGCCAACATGGTGAAACCCTGTCTCTACTAAAACTACAAAAAGTAACCAGGCGTGGTGGTGGGCACCTGTAATCCCAGCTACTCGGGAGGCTGAGACAGGAGAATGGCTTGAACCTGGGAGGTGGAGGTTGCAGTGAGCTGAGATCATGCCACTGGACTCCAGCCTGGGTGACAGAGCCAGACACTTTTTTTTTTTTTTTTTTTTGAAATGGAGTTTTGCTCTTATTGCCCAGGCTGGAGCGCAATGGCATGATCTTGACTCACTGCAACCTCTGCCTCCCGGGTCCAAGTGATTCTCCTGCCTCAACCTCCCAAGTAGCTGGGATTACAGGCAACCACCACCACACCTGGCTAATTTTTGTATTTTTAGTAGAGACGGGGTTTCACCATGTTCGCCAGGCTGGTGTTGAACTCCTGACCTCAGGTGATCTGCCTGCCTCGGCCTCCCAAAGTGCTGGGATTACAAGCATAAGCCACCATGCCTGGCCAGATCTTACACAATTCTTGTTAGGTTTACTCCTAGGTATTTGATATTTTTTGATACTATTATAAATAGCATTCTGTTTTAAATTTAATTTTGCAATTGTTTGTTGCTAGTGTATACAAATATACCTTATTTTTATGTATGACTTTGAGTCCTTTCACCTTAACTTCTTTTTTTTTTTTGAGATGGCATTTCGCTCTTGTCCCCCAAGCTGGAGTGCAATGGCACAATCTTGGCTCACTGCAACCTCTGCCTCTGGGTTCAAGCAATTCTCCTGTCTCAGCCTCCTGAGTAGCTGGGATTACAGGCATGCACCACCATGCCCAGCTAATTTTTTTTTTTTTTTTTTTTGAGATGGAGTCTCGCTCTGTTGCCCAGGCTGGAGTGCAGTGGCGCGATCTCAGCTCACTGCAAGCTGCACCTCCCAGGTTCATGCCATTCTCCTGCCTCAGCCTCCCGAGTAGCTGGGATTACAGGCACCTGCCACCATGCCCGGCTAATTTTTTTGTATTTTTTAGTAGAGACGGGGTTTCACCGTGTTAGCCAGGATGGTCTCAATCTCCTGACCTCGTGATCCGCCCATCTCGGCCTCCCAAATTGCTGGGATTACAGGTGTGAGCCACCGCGCCTAGCCAATTTTGTTATTTTTAATAGAGACGGGGGGTTTCGCCATGTTGGTCAGGCTGGTCTCAAACTCCCAACCTCAGGTGATCTGCCCACCTCAGCCTCCCAAGGTGCTGGGATTACAGGCATGAGCCACCACGCCTGGCCTAATTTTTTGTATTTTTAGTAGAGATGGGGTTTCCGTATGTTGCCCAGGCTGGTCTCAAACTCCTGACCTCAGGTGATCCACCCACCTCGGCCTCCCAAAGTGCTGGGATTACAGGCGTGAGCCACCGTGCCCACCTGACTCTGTCTCAAAAGAAAAAAAAAAGGCTGGGCACGGTGGCTCATGCCTGTAATTCCAGCACTTTGGGAGGCCAAGGTGGGCTCATGCCTGTAATCCCAGCACTTGAGGTCAGGAGTTCGAGAGCAGCCTAGCCAAAATGGTGAAACCCTATCTCTACTAAAAATACAAAAATTAGCCGGGCATGGTGGTGGGCGCCTGTAATCCCAGCCACTCGGGAGGCTGAGGCTGGAGAATCGCTTGAACCCAGGAGGCGGAGGTTGCAGTGAGTGGAGATTGTGCCGTAGCACTCCAGCCTGGGCGACGAGAGTGAAATTCCTTCTCAAAAAAAAAAAAAAAAAAAAAAAAAAGGCACTTTGGGAGGCCAAGGCAGACAGATCACCTGAGGTCAGGAGTTCGACACCAGCCTGGCTAACATGGTGAAAACCCGTCTCTACTAAAACTACAAAAATTAGCCACACATGGTGGTGGGCGCCTGTAATCCCAGCTACTTGGGAAGCTGAGGCAGGAGAATTGCTTGGACCCAAGAGGCAGAGATTGCAGTGAGCCGAGATGCCATTGTACTCCAGCCTAGTCAACAAAAGCAAAACTCCCATCTCAAAAAAAAAATTTAGAAAGGCCCAGCACTTTAGGAGGCCGAGGCGGGCAGATCATGAGGTCAGGAGATGGAGACCATCCTGGCTAACACGGTGAAACCCGTCTCTACTAAAAATACAAAAAAAAAAAAAAATAGCTGGGCATGGTGGCGGTCACCTGTAGTCCCAGCTACTTGGGAGGCTGAGGCAAGAGAATGGCATGAACCCGGGAGGCAGAGCTTGCAGCGAGCAGAGATCGCGCCACTGCACTCCAGCCTGGGGGACAGAGCGAGACTCTGTCTCAAAAAAAAATAAATAAATAAAAAATAAATTAAAAAAAAATTGTGTAAGATCTGCATATTGAAAACTACAAAATGTTGCTGAGAGAAATTCAAGAAGACCTAAGTAAATGGAGACATACTCTATATTCATGGTTTAGGTAACTCAGTACTAAAAAGACATCCATTCTCCCTAATTGTCATATAGATTCAACACAATTCCTATAAAAATTCTCAGCCAGGCACGGTGGCCCACACCTGTAATCCTAGCACTTTGGAAGGCCGAGTTGGGTGGATCATGAGGTCAGGAGTTCGAGACCAGCCTGACCAAGATAGTAAAACCCCATCTCTACTGAAAATACAAAAATTAGCCGGGCATGGTGGCAGGTGCTTTAGTCCCAGCTACTTGGGAGTCTGAAGCAGGAGAATCACTTGAACCCGGGAAGCAGCGGTTGCAGTGAGCAGAGATCATGCCACTGCACTCCAGCCTGGGTGACAAGAGAGAAACTCTGTCTTAAAAAAAAAAAAAATTCTGGCAGTTTTTTGGAAAGAAGTCGGCAAAACGATTCTAAAGTGCATATGAAAATGAAAAGGATGTAAAATAGCAAAAAAAAAAAACTTGAAAAAGAACAGAGTCAGAGGATTTATATAACCTATTTTTAATATTTAATATAAGATGACAGCAATCAGTGTGTGGTGGCACTCGCCTCCTCCCAGCTACTTGGGAGGCTGAGGCACGAGAATCGCTTGAACCCAGAAGGCGGAGGTTGCAGTGAGCCAACATTGCGCTACTACACTCCAGCCTGGGTGACAGAGGGAGACTCTGTCTCAAAGAAAAAAAAATGGTAACCAGGACAGTGTAACATTTGTGTAAGTATACATTAATTGATCAATGGAACAGAATAGAGAACCCAGAAATAGACCCACACTTCGTGGTTATTTTCAACAAAGACACCAGAGCAATCCAATGAAGACAAGTGCTTTTTAACTAATGGTGCTGGAATAAAGGGTATCCATATGGACAGAAAGGAACCATGACTCCTACCTCACATCATACACAAAGATTAATTCGAGATGGATTATAGACTTTAACATAAAACTAAAGACTTTAGACTATAGACTTTAACATAAAAACCAAAACCAATACTTCTGTGGAAAACATAGGCCGTCTTCATGACTAAAAGGTAGAGGAGGACATAGGAAAACCCTGTCTCTACAAGTAATTTTTTTTTAATTAGTCGGCCATGGTGGTGTATGCCTGCGGTCCCCAGCTACTCAGAAGGCTGAGGTGGGAGGATCACTCAAGCCTGGGAGGTCGAGGCTGCTATGAACTATGATCATACCACTACACTCCAGCGTGGGCAGTGAGCTATGATTGTAGCAATGCACTCCAGCGTGGGCAACAGAAAGACCTTGCTTCCAAAAAACAGGTAGATGAGGCCAGGCATCGTGGTTCACACCTTTAATCCCAACACTTTGGGAGGCAGAGGCAGGAGGATTGCTTGAGGCCAAAAGTTCAAGATTTGCCTGGGCAATATAGGAAGAACGCACCTCTACTAAAAATTTAAAAATCAGTGGCCAGGCCCAAGGGCTCACACAGGTAATCCCATAACTTGGGGAGGCCAAGGCAGGAGGACTGCTTGAGCCCAGGAGTTCGAGACCAGACCTGACAACATGGTGAAACCCCATCTCTACAAAAAATACAAACATTAGCCAGGTGTGGTGGCATGCACCTGTAGTCCCAGCTACTCGGGAGGCTGAGGTAGGAGGATCGCTTCAGCCTGGGAGGTAGAGATTGCAGAGAGCTGAGACTGTGCCACTGCACTCCAGCCTGAGCAACAGAGACCTTGTCTCAAAAAAAAAAAAAAAAAAAGGAGGCTGAGGTGGGAGGATCACCTGAGCCAGGGGAGCTGGAGGCTGCAGTGAGCTGAGATTGTGCCACTGCACTCCAGCCTGGGTGACAGAGTAAGCTCTTGTCTCAAAAATCTCATCTCAAAAAAAAAAAATCGGGGCTAGAGGTGGTGGCTCACACCTGTAATCCCAGCACTTTGGGAGGCCTGAGGCAGGTGGATCATTTGAGGTCAGAAGTTCGAGACCAGCCTGGCCAACATGGTGAAACCCCATCTCTCCGTCTCTACTAAAAATACAAAAATTAGCCGAGTGTGGTGGTGGGTGCCTGTAATCCCAGCTACTTGGGAGGCTGAGGCAGGAGAATCACTTGAACCCAGGAGATGGAGGCTGCAGTAAGCCAAGATCACACCACTGCACCCCAGCCTGGGCAACGGAGCAAGACTCTGTGTCAAAAAAAAATTAGACATGGTGGTGCACATCTGTAATCCCAGCTACTCAGGAGGCTGAGATGGGGGGATCACTTGAGCCCAGGAGTTTGAAACTACAGTGAGCCACTTCATTCCAGCTTGGGTGACAGAGCAAGACCCTGTCTCAAAAAATACATATATTTAATTTAAATTAAAATTTTAAATAAAAATTAACTTGAAGATGGGCACAGTGGCTCACACCTGTAATCCCAGCACTTTGGGAGGCTGAGGCAGGAGGATTGCTTGAGCCCAGGAGATCAAGACCAGCCTGGGCAACATAGTGAGACTTGTCTCTACAAACAACTTAAAAATTATCCAAGTGTGGTGGCGCGGGCCTGCAGTCCCAGGTACTCAAGAGGCTGAGAAGGGAGGATCGCTTAATCTCAAGGGATCCCAGGAGGTCGAGGCTGCAGTGAGCCACTGCACTCCAGCCTGGGAGGCAGAGCAGGACCCTGTCTCAAAACACACACACACACACACACACACACACACACACACACACACACACACACGCAAACAAAAGAATACCCAAAACAATCTCCAATAAGAACAAAGCTGGAGACTTGACTTGTATTTAAGACTTATTCTAGGCCAGGGACAGTGGCTCACACCTGTAATCCCAGCACTTTGGGAGGCCAAGGCAGGAAGATCACTTGAGCCCAGGAGTTCAAGGCCAGCCTAGGCAACATAGCACAAGACCTCTGTCACTACAAAAAATTTAAAAATTAGCCTGGTGTGGTGGTGTGCGCCTGTGGTCTCAGCTACTTGAGAGGCTGAGGTAGGAGGATCACTTGAGCCCAGGAGGTTGACGCTACAGTGAGCCATGATCATGCCACCACACTCCAGCCTGGGCAACAGCACAAGACCCTGTCTCAAAATGAAAAGAAAAAGACTTACTCTAAAGCTGTAGTAATCAAGACAATGTGATATTGGTCTAAGAATGGGCATATAGATTATAGATCAGTGAAACAGAATAGAGTCCAAAATTGATCCACACTTACATAGTCAATTGATTTTTGACAAAAATGCTAAAGCAAATCAATGAGGAAGGGAAACTATTTCAAAAAATGGTGCTAGAACAACTGGATATTCATGTGGAAAAATAATGAACCTTGACTCATGCATCACACTATACACAAAAATTAATTTGGGATAGATCATAAATATAAATATAAAAGTTAAAACTGAAAACATCCCTTTAAACTTTAAAAAATTAATCAGAGAAGAAGGAGGGAGAAATGCAAATCAGCCAAGCTTGCCGCACATTCACTATTAATCACAAGGTCAGCTTGCTCTCTGAGCTGCTTCTTCATGGTTATTTGGTGCCTATTGTCTTAGAATCACATAGATGCTGTTACAAGATTGCAGTTGCCTTCCCCTGCTCTATAGATAACAACTTGAACTTTAAGAAATGCTGGCTGGGTGCACGCGGTGGCTTATGCCTGTAATCCTAGCACTTTGGGAGGCCGAGGTGGGCGGATTGCCTGAGCTCAGGAGTTTGAGACCAGCCTGGGCAACACGATGAAACCCCGTCTCTACTAAAATACAAAAAAAATTATCCGGGTGTGGCAGCGTGCACCTGTAATCCCAGCTACTCAGGAGGCTGAGACAGGGGAATCATTTGAACCTGGGAGGCAGAGGTTGCAGTGAGCCGAGATCGCACCACTGCACTGCAGCCGGGGCGACAGAGTAAAACTCTGTCTCAAAAAAAAAAAAGAAAAAAAGAAATGTTAAGTTTTCCCTTTGAGATATTCCTTCAGGTCCTGCATACTAATGAAATTACTGACACGGCTGGTCTGAAGAACCCCATGAGAAACTGACTCACCAAAAAACGCAGTTTCCACATCCTGATAATTTCATCCCCTTGCCCTGATCAATCAACGACCTCAGTTTCTCAGCCCCTCACCCGCCATCGTCCCCTTAAAAATCCCAACCCAGAACTCCCTGGAGAGTTGGATTTCAGCGTCTGCTTCCATCTCCTCCTCGGCACCCTGTGATTATTAAGCTCTCTCTCTGTTGCATTTCTGCTGTCTCAGAATGGGTATGTTATTGTACAGTGGGCACAGAAAACTGTTGGTCCTGTAACAAAACTGTGAAGAGTTTGGAAGAAACCATAGAATATTTTCAGGACTTGGGGGTAGGCAAAGATTTCTTAGCAGGACTCAGAAAACAATAACAATTAAAAAAAAAAATACGGGCCAGGCACGGTGGCTCACGCCTGTATTCCCAGCATTTTGGGAAGCCAAGGCGGGCAGATCACCTGAGGTCAGGAGTTCGAGACCAGCCTGGCCAACATGGTGAAACCCTGTCTCTACTAAAAATACAAAAATTAGGTGGGTTTGGTGGTGGGTGCCTGTAATCCCAACTACTCGGGAGGTTGAGGCAGGAGAATCACTTGAACCCGGGAGAAGGAGGTTGCAGTGAGCCGAGATCACGCCATTGCAGGCGTCCAGCCTGAACAAGAGCAAAAACTCCATCTTGAAAAAAAAAAACTATACGATAAATTAGGCCAGGCCCGTTGGCTCACGTCTGTAGTCCCAGAACTTTGGGAGGCCAATATCGGTGAATCGCTTGAGCCCAGGAGTTTGAGACCAGCCTGGGCAACATGGTGAAACCCCGTCTCTACAAAAAATAAAAAATTAGCTGGGTGTGGTGGTGCACGCTTGTGGTCCCATCTACTTAGGGGGCTGAGGTGGGAGGATCACTTGAGCCCAGGAGGCTACAGTGAGCCATGATTGCACCACTGCACTCCAGCCTGGGTGACAGAGCAAGATCCTGTCTCAAAAAAAAAAAAAGAGAAATATGATAAATTAGACTTTATCAAAAATTTAAAATTCTGCTAATCAAAAGATATATTTAAGAAAACAAATAGGCCAGGTGCGATGGCTCAAGCCTGTAATCTCAGCACTTTGGGAGGCCAAGGCAGGTGGATCACCTGATGTCAGGAGTTCAAGACCAGCCTGGCCAACATGGCAAAACTCTGTCTCTACCAAAAATACAGAAATTAGCCAGGTGTGGTGGCACATGCCTGTAGTCCCAGTTACTTGGGAGGCTGAGGCAGGAGAATCGCTTGAACCTGGAAGAAGGAGGTTGCAGTAAGCTCAGATCACGCCACTGTACTCCAGCCTGAGCAACAGAGTGAGACTCCATCTCAAAATAAATACATAAATAAATAACCAAGTTACAAGTCACACTTTGAGGAAACATTCACAAGAGTTATTACTAACAAAGGACTTATAACCAGTAATATATAAAGGACTTTAGCCATTTAATAATTTTAAAAACTGGCTGGGCACGGTGGCTCATGCCTGTAATCCCAGCACTTTCGGAGACCAAGGCGGGCGGATCACCTGAGGTCAGGAGTTCGAGACCAGCCTGGCCAACATGGTGAAACCCCGTCTCTACTAAAACTACAAAAATTAGCCAGGCGTGGTGGCGGGCGCCTGTAACCCCAGCTACTCGGGAGGCTGAGGCAGGAGAATTGCTTGAACCCAGGAGGCAGAGGTTGCAGTGAGCCGAGATCGTGCCATTGCACTCCAGCCTGGGGGACAAAAGCGAGACTTCGTCTCAAAAAAAAAAAACAAAACTGCCCACACATGGTGGCTCACACCTGTAGTCCCATATACTTGAGAGGCTGAGGCAGGAGGATTGCTTGAGCCCAGGAGATTGAGGCTGCAGTAAGCTATGATTACACCACTGCACTCCAGCCTGGGTGACAGAGCAAGACCCTGACACAAAAGAATTTTTTTACATAATAATAATAAAGACAACTCAATTTTAAAATGGCGTAATAGGCTGGGTATGGTGGCTCATGCCTGTAATTCCAGCACTTTGGGAGGCTGAGGTGGGAGGATCACTTGAGCCCAGGAGTTTGAGACCAGCCTGGGCAATATAGTGAGACCCCATCTGTACAAAAAAATTAAAAAATTAGCCAGGCATGGTGGCATGTGCCTATAGTCCCAGCACTTGGGAGGCTATAGTGGGAGGATTGCTTGAGCCCAGGAGGTTGAGGCTGCAGTGAGCTGTGATCACACCATGTACTCCAGCCTGGGCAACAGAACAAGACTCTGTCATAAAAAAAAATAAGTGTTTTAAGCCACTAAGTTTCTGATAATTTGTTGCAGCAGCAATAGGAAATGAATGCACCCAGCAAAAATGAAAACATATGCTGACAAAAAGATGTGGAAAATGTTTATAGCAGGTTTTTTGTTGTTGTTTTGCTTGTTTTGTTTTGTTTTTGTTTTTTTGTTTCTGTTTTTTTTTTTGAGACAAAGTCTCACTCTGTAGCCCAGGCTGGACTGCAGTGGTGCGATCTTGGCTCACCACAACCTCTGCCTCCCAGGTTCAAGCAATTCTCCTGCCTCAGCCTCCCGAATAGCTAGGATTACAGGCACACACCACCGCACCTGGCTAATTTTTCTGTATTTTTAGTAAAGACGGGGTTTCAGCATGTTGGCCAGGCTGGTCTTGAACTCCTGACCTGAGGTAATCTGCCCGCCTCAGTCTCCCAAAGTGCTAGGATTACAGGCATGAGCCACTGTGCCTGGCCAGCAGTTTTATTCATAGTAGCCAAACAACATACATGTCTGTCTGTGATGGTGGGGGGATTAACTGAGAAGAGAGAGGAGAGAATGTTACGGGAAAGTAAAATATTTTGGCCCGGTGCGGTGGCTCACACCTGTACTCCCAGCACTTTGGGAGGCCAAGACAGGTGAATCACTTGAGGTCAGTAGTTCAAGACTAGCCTGCCCAACATGGTGAAACCCCATCTCTACTAAAAATACAAAATTAGCTGGGTGTGGTGGCATGTGCCTGTAATCCCAGCTACCTGGAGACTTAGGCAGGAGAATGACTTGAACCCGGGAGGCAGAGGTTGCAGTGAGCTGAGATCATGCTACTGCATTCCAGCCTGGGCAACAGAGTGAGACCTTGTCTCAAAAAAAAAAAAAAAAAAAAAAGTGAAATATTTTGTATCTTGACAGGTACATCAGTGATCAATGCCTTCCAGGCAAAGATTAGAAGCATAACTGTAGCCGAACAAAGTTGGTTTTTTGCTGGTTGTCATGAAAGAGAATACGTATCATGGAAAAGCATAGGGTGTCTCAAAGAGGGTGATAAGAAGGATATAGGATTTGGACTTGTGTTAGGTGGTTTTGGGGAAGGCTTAGGGACTGAGGCTTTGCTCTGGATTGGATAACCTCATGTGATCCACCTGCCTCAGCCTCCCAAAGTGCTGGGATTACTGGCGTAAGCCACCACACCCGGCAGTCTTGATGTTTTTGGTGCACTTTATCAGGGTCACAAAGCGACCTTGTCTGATTGTTGATGTTTGATGATGTTGTTTATGTCCACGGGAGAATGGCACGGCCTCGCTGTAAGCACCAGGCCAGCTTCAAACATGCCAAGGCCTAGCTATAAGGATCAGGCCAGTTCCTGACATTAGGAGCTGCTTTTCTCTTTCTCAGGGGTATGAGTTACATGGTTGTATCCATCATCAAAGGGTAGAGTTAAAATTTGTGTATTTCAATGTCAGTTTGACTCAAAAATGCCTGTATAAAAAATGAATAAACAGACCGGGTGCGGTGACTCACGCCTGTAATCCCAGCACTTAGGGAGGCCAAGGCGGGCGGATCACTTGAGGTCAGGAGTTTGAGCCCAGCCTGGCCAACATGGTGAAACCCGTCTCTACTAGAAGTACAAAAATTAGCTGGGCGTGTTGGCAGGCACCTGTAATCCCAGCTACTTGGGAGTCTGAGGCAGAAGAATTGCTCAAACCAAGGGGGTGGAGTTTGCAGTGAGCCAAGACTGTGCCATCACAGCCTGAGCGACAGAGTGAGACTCTGTCTCAAAAAAAAAAAAAAAAAAAGAATCAACAAACTGTGGGCTGGATGCAATGGCTCATGCCTGTAATCCCAGCGCTTTGGGAGGCCAAGGTGGGCGCATCACTTGAGGCCAGGAGTTCGAGACCAGCCTGGCCAACACGGTGAAACCCTGCCTCTACTAAAAATACAAAAATTAGCTGGGCGTGGTGGCGGGAGCCTGTAATCCCAGCTACTCAGGAGGCTGAGGCAGGAGAATCACTTGAACCCAGGAGGCGAAGGTTGCAGTGAGCTGAGATCGCATCACTGAACTAGAGTGAGACTTCATCTCAAACAAACAAACAAACAAACAAAAAAACCCTGTAATATATCCATATAACATAATACTACTCAGCAATAAAAAGGAACAAACTATTGATGCATGCAACATAATAGATGAATCTCAAAACACCATGCTGAGCAACAGAAGCCAGTCCCAAGAGTACATATGATATGATTCCACTTATCTGACATTCTAGAAAAGGCAAAATTATACTAAAGACCAAGAAGGGTGTTTGCCAGGGGGTTGACCACAAAGGGGCAGCATGTGACACTTTTTAGGGTGATGGGAAAGCTCCATTGCTTCGCTGTGATGTATATCTTTTTATCAAAACTCAGAACTCTGTATCTAAAAAGTGAATTTTGGCCAGATGTGATGGTTCATGCCTGTAATCCCAGCACTTTGGGAGGCCAAGGTGGGAGGATCACTTGATCCCAGGAGTTTGAGACCAGCTAGGCAACATAGAGAGGCCCTATCTCTACAAAAATAAAAATAAAAAATTAGCCAGGCATGGTGGTGCACACCTGTGGTCCCAACTACTTGGGAGGCTGAGATGGGAGGATCACTTGGGCCTGGGAGGTAGAAGCTGCAGTGAGTCATGATGGTGCCATTGAACTCCAGCCTGGATGACAGAGTGAGACTTTGTCTCAAGAAAGCAAAGTGAATTTTACTGTATGTAAATTATACCTCAATAAACCTGACTTAAAATAATAATCAAATTAGGGGTGGGGAGTGGACGTAGGTATCAATGTAACAAGAATGGCAGAGGCCGTGCCTGTAGTCCCAGCTACTTGGAAGGGTGAGGTGTGAGGAGTTTGAGTACAGCCTGGGCAATACAGTGAGACTTCATCTCAAAACAAACAAAAAAGGAATGGCAGAATGCTGATGACTATTAAAGCTCAGTGATGGGTACACTATGGTTTATTATACTTTTTTTTTTTTTTTAATGAGACAGAGTTTCACTCTTGTTGTCCAGGCTGGAGTGCAATGGCATGATCTCGGCTCACCTCAACCTCCGCCTCTGGGGTTCAAGTGATTCTCCTGCCTCAGCCTCCCGAGTAGCTGGGATTACAGGCATGTGCCACCACACCCAGCTAATTTTGTATTTTTAGTAGAGACGGGGTTTCTCCAGGTTGGTCAGGATGGTCTCGAACTCCCAACCTCAGGTGATCCGCACCCCCTCAGCCTCCCAAAGTGCTGGGATTACAGGTGTGAGTCACTATGCCTGACCTTGGTTTATTATACTTTTATGTTTATTTTATATGTTTGAAGTTTTCCATACTAAATATTTTTTATTTTAGTGGAAGGGGAAATCTCTGTGTGATGGAGGCAAAGATGTCAAAGAGTCAGTTGACTGTTCAGCCTCCCAGTGTACTTTTTACACATTAATAAATGGATGCCCGTAGATTCTCAAACTGACCTTCTGCTTTTCACACACTTAAATTAACTAGAACTTAAACTATTTCCTTTGACATTTCTTGCAGATACTCTTCAGAATTTCTTACTCTCATTTGATTTGTAACTTTCATACATTTTGCCCCATTTTGAGGCCTCCTTAATTCCCTCAGCTTGGGTATCCTCTCTCATTTAATATTTCTTCATTTTTAAAGATGCCCTTTTCCTCACAATGGGCTCTTTGATATGTCAGTAAACCATGCAGGGCTTATTTCTCAAGTGACTGTTCTCTTGGTCTGGTGCCATGCATTTATCACGGGCTTCCAATAAAGCACTTTTCAATAGAAATGGGCTCCCTGCTTTCTATGGGCTGTAACTTCTTAAACAATTCCTTTCATTTCCCCCCCTACTGCCCTGATTCTGTCCTAGTTTCCCTTTCAAAAACTGAGCAATCAAATGATGGATTTTTGTCCCCTCCCTTTCCCGGTAGCAGCCTGAATGTGTATTGTAGTCACCACTGACCAAGTGGCTTACCCATGAGCACTCGCTGCCCCGGTGTGATCACTGCGCAGACCCAATCCAGCCTACAGTATTCTGCAGTGTGGGGTCAAGTATTGCCCAAGCATCCAGCATTCTTGGTTGTGTCAGTCCTCACCTCCATATTGCTTTTAAGTTTTATTTATAATTGTATATGTTTACGGGTTACAGTGTGATGTACATATTGCAGAATGATCAAATTAGGCTGATTAGCATGTCCATCCCCTCAAATATTTATCGTTTCTTTGTGGTAAGGACATGTAAAATCCTCTCTTTTAGCTATTTTGAAGTATACAATACAGTATTATTAACTAGAGTCACTGTGCTATGCAATCAAACACCAAAACTTATTCCTATCTAACTGAAACTTTGTACCCGTTGACTAATATCTCCCCTTTCCCCGTCCACTGTGTGCCTCCCACCTTCGTATTGTTCACTGGCTCATGATCACCTGTGGGATAAAATCCAAACTCTTCATGCCTATTACAATGGCTAAAATGAAAAGACTGGTCAGACCAAGTGTTGGTGAAGATGAGAAGCAACTGAAACTCACATACTGCTGGAGGGAGCGTAGAATGATGCTGCTACTTTGGAAAGCAATTTGGCAGTTCCTCTAAGTGTTAACCATAGAGTTACCACATGACCCAGCAACTTCACTCCTAGGTATATACCTAAGAGAACTGAAAACACATGTCATCACAAAAGCTTGTACACAAATGTTCACAACATTAGTCACAATAGCCAAGCACTGGAAACAATCCAAATGCCCAAGCATAAGTAAATGGATAAGCAAATCATGGTATAGCCACACAATGGGATGCTACCCGGCACTAAGAAGGAACTACTGATGCACACAGCACTGATGAATCTCAAAACAATTATGCCAAAAGAAGTTGGACTAAAAAGAATGCATACCGTATTATTCCATTTATATAAAACTCTAGAAAATGCAAACTATCCTGACAATGCCTAGCGTCAATAGGCCCACACTGCCCTGCAGGAGGCCCACCCATGCCAGGCACCAAGTAAGGAGTGTTCTAGTGAGCCCTTGTGTCTACAGGGCTACATGTCTACAGGGCTACCTCCTCAAAAACAAGTCTCTTATGGGATCTTTATTTTTTATTTATTTATTTATTATTATTATTATTTTTTTGAGCCAGGGTCTCTCACTCCATCGCCCAGGCTGGAGTGCAGTGGCGTGATCTCGGCTCACTGCAACCTCTGCCTCGTGGGTTCAAGTGGTTCTCCTGACTCAGCCTCCTGAGTAGCTGGGATTACAGGCATGCACCAACATGACTGGCTAATTTTTTCTATTTTTAGTAGAGACGGGGTTTCACCAGGCTGGCCAGGCTGGTCTCGAACTCCTGACCTCGTGATCCGCCCGCCTCGGCCTCCCAAAGTGCCGGGATTATAGGCGTGAGCCACTGTGCCCGGCCTCTTAGGAGATTTTTTTTTTTTTTTTTTTTTTTAACCAGATGGAGTCTTGCTCTGTCACCCAGGCTGGAGCGCAATGGTGCGATCTCGGCTCACTGCAACCTCCGCCTCCGAGTAGCTGGGATTACAGGCATGCACCACCATGTGTAGCTAATTTTGTATTTTTAGTAGAGACCAGGTTTCTCCATGTTGGTCAGGCTGGTCTCGAACTCCCAACCTCAGGTGATCCACCCGCCTTGGCCTCCCAAAGTGCTGGGATTACAGGCGTGAGCCACCACGCCCGGCCTCTTATGGGATCTTTTAAGCTGCTCTATCTTGTCTGCAAGCATCTAACATGCCTACATGATAGCTGTTTCCTGGTCTGTTTATTAATCAAAACAGAAGTGGTGCTTCAAGAAAGTCACTGAGACTTAAAACTGTTGTTGGCACTGGCTGCAAGGGGATTCTGGTTTTCAGGGAAGGGGATTTGTGTCCCTATCAGGAAGTTTGTTAAATTAGGAAAAGGTATCTTCAGCCAGCAGCTTCCAAAATCCCTTGAAAAACCCTTTGGTAGTAGTAGTGGTGGTCGGGATTATCTGATGAACCATTGGGCTGGTGGGTAGATTCGAGGCTATGGTGCACCTGGAGACCAACCCTGGAAGATGGGTTAAACCTCTTCAAAGCTTTCCCTGAGTGATGGCTGGGCCCATACAGCCACCCCTGTCCCTTTTAACCTTCTCCAAGTGACCTCCTCAGGCACGTGTAGTGGGACTTGAAATGTTCCTTTTTAGCTTCACTTGAAAAAATAAAAGAACTTAATTTTTTGACATCAGCCAGTTTCATAACCTGACATTTTTATTTTCCAGTAAAACTTCTTCAAGATGCCCTGACTAGTCTCACCCCTCCCTGACCCCACAACTCACCTCTGGGCCACTTGAGCCTTCATTCATTTCTCTTGCCCTACACTTCCCTAGAATTCAGTCTGGACACGATTTACCACTTATGGAATAGTTGTTGTTCTGGATTCAATGTATAGCTTTGGTTTTGTTTTCCCAACTCGACTGTCAGGTGGTTAAGGGCAAACTTTGAGCCTTGTTTCTCAGAGCTCTTATTAGCAATGATCCTTGAGCAGCTAATGAATGATTATTGATTGGAAGGTATGTTTTAACCTACCAAGGTAGGGACAGAGCTGGCAGGCACCAAGATCCACTTCTACCTGCATGTTTTTATTCACATGCTCTTTTATAGATTCCTCGGGTTTCCCCAGAGTCCATGGGTGATCTTGGAGTATGTATTACGGAACTAATTTGAATCACGAGGAAAGAAGTTGGCAAAGAGCCCTAGCTGAAAAAGTAACATTTTAGGGCCAGAAAATCACTAAGATCGTAGAGGAAACCTATTGACTAGCTGGCCTCAGTGGGAAACAGAAAGGCAGGAGCTACTAACATTTCACAGTGGAATCCAGGTTAAACAATCACAAAGCGTGTGAACATGGGCAAACCACTTGACATCACTCAAGCCAGCAGAAAAATTGGATAAAAAGCAATCTTTGAAATGAGCCAAGGCCGTGCTGAAACAAGCTTCCCCAAACACTGCTTCTTTCTGCCAAAGCAAGCTTCTATTTTATTGGTGGCTCAGACTCCAAAGTTCACTTCCCAGGACTAACAGTTAAGTGCATATTTGGAGTTGTCATCAGCTGCCACCTCGTGGTCTACATTACAACTGCCTATCAATACTGAAGGTGGTTTAGAATTCTGTGTTGTTTAGAATTATCATCAATCTCATTTGACCAATTTTTTAAATTTTTTTTTTTTTTTTTTTGAGATTGGGTCTCACAATGGATGGTTTCGAACTCCTGGGCTCAAGTGATCCTTCTGCCTCGGCCTCCTGAGTAGCTGGGACTACAGGTGTGTGCCACGGTGCTCAGCTTCATGAGACCAGTGATTATTATTGAGTCTTGCTCTGTCGCCTAGGCTGGAGTGCAGTGGGGCACAATCTCAGCTCACTGCAACCTCTACCTCCTGGACTCAAACGATCCTCCTGACTCAGCCTCCCAAGTAGCTGGAACTACAGGTGAGCACCACCATGCATGGATGATTTTTTTTTTTTTTTTTTTTTTTTTGTGGAGACAGGGTTTCACTGTGTTACCCATGCGGGTCTTTAACTCCTGGACTCAAGTGATCCGCCTATCTTGCCCTCCCAAAGTGCTGGGATTAAAGGTGTGAACCACCATGCCAGGCCCCATTTAACCAATTATTGTCCATTTGTACACAGTGCTTACCCCACAGTACTACACAAATATGATTCCCAAGTCCCCGGAACCCATAAGATGCACTTCCAATTAGCTACCAGCTTTTCTGGCTGAAAACATTACCTTGGGCCTGTCTTGAGCCACTGGTTGGTTCAGAGCTGGTATCTCAAATGCTTTAACCACCTCCATCCCAGTAACTTGTATTTACTGCAAGCAGATAGTCATGGTGACTGATCTGCAAGCCAAGGTTGGTGTCCTGCCCAGCAAAAGTCCACAGGATTGTCACAGCTCTCACTGGCATTGTGCCAGGTATATGTTTGCAGTCCCTTTCCTGTACCATGGTAAGATCACACTTGATCACCGGAAAACTGTATACACACCTCTAGTCCATTTAGTCATGCCATAAGATGACGGATCACCACTCTGAGTCCAAGGAAAACTACAACTCATTCCTTCCTTAAAGGAACCCTGGATAGCAAAGCTCCTACTGCCCAGTATTTATCCTTATTATGTTAAGACATAAAAATGTTGGTTGGGCACGGTGGCTCATGCCTGTAATCCCAGCACTTTGGAAGGCCAAGGTGGGCGAATCACCTGAGGTCAGGAGTTCAAGACCAGCCTGACCAACATGGGGAAACCCCATCTGTACTAAAAATACAAAATTAGCTGGACGTGGTGGCAGATGCCTATAATCCCAGCTACTCGGAAGGCTGAGGCAGAACTGCTTGAACCTGGGAGGCGGAGGTTGTGATAAGCTGAGATCACGCCACTGCACTCCAGCCTAGGCGAAGAGCTAGACTTCATCACAAAAAAAAAAAAAAAAAAAAAAAAAAGAATTTCAGATGACTTTCAAATGTTTTGGTCCTTTTCTGAGACAGGGTCTTGCTATGTTGCACAGGCTGGTCTCAAACTCCTAGCCTCAAGCAATCCTGCCTCAGGCTCCTGAGTAGGCGTTAGCCACTTTGAACAGTGGTTTTTGTGCATTGTTTTCTCCCTTGATTCTTGTCAACAAACGCTGAGCCTTGAAGACTTAGATTAGTAACGTTGGCCTAAACACCATTCCTGTGCTTCTTCTCCATAAATTGAAGGATTCCAAGTGCACCATTTCCTTGGTCGTTACCTTTCATCCTCCCTCCCCAGTACTTCTTATAGTTCCTGACAGCAGGCACAAATCACGACTCCAGGCCAACCAGCAATTTTCCCACCATGCTGAGCTGAGGCAGCATGGCTGGTCTAAAGAAGGGACCCAGTTTTCCAACTGCAGCACCATATGGGACACCACTCTGCAGGGAGGCACTGCCTAGAGAAAGCAGGGCACACGCCAAAGCCAAGTACAGCAGCAGCCGGTGTCACCCAGGACAATGACAACTCCCCAAACCAAGCCTGTACTGCCCCATTTACATTCTGACACTTAAACTGTTCCTGTTCAGGCTGCACAATGCAAACAAAATGGACAAAAGATTAAGGTTTTTTGGCTGTAAGTTTATTCAATGCAAAAGAATCCTCTCCAATTTTACTGAGGTGGCTGACCACGTCCACGACCAAATCCGCCTCTCTGTAAGAGAAAGCACATCACATCAGCATGAGCGGCACTCTGGTTTGATCTTTGGAGGTTTTGCTAACTTTCAGGCCTCATTATAACTCCAGAGGCCCCCAAATGTAAACAGCTGGGAGAGAGCTGAGTACAGGCTATAAATCCCAGCACTGCCCCTTACTGGATGTGGGGCCATATCTAACATCTAGGCCCATTTCTTCATTGGTAAAGTGGGAGTATGGCCACCCACCCAGAGTGTGTTCATACATACTCCTATGAAAGCATCCAGCACCAGGATTGGACCGTTTCTACTGTACATGCTTCCTTTTTACAAATGACATTATCTGAGAGCAATCGTGTGCTATGAGGACCTGCCATAGGACAAAAATGATATGCCAGTACTATGCCTGGATTAACTAATCTCACAACTACCTTAGTAGCTGTAATTATCACCTTATTTTATAGATGGAGAAACTGAGGCAGAGGGGAACCTACCTAACATTACATCAACTGAAAAAAGATGGAGGATTTGATTTCATACCATCTTGGTTCTTAAGCCCACCCACCTTCCAGTGTTTAGTTCAATGTCAAGCATTAATGAAACAGAAAATACTAGTAGGCCACATGTACTGATTTCTGAGACTCATTTCAGTAATTTATGTATTTACAAAAGTTTGCATGCTACAACTCAATGTAAAATTTGGAATTTGGAAAAAAGTGGGAGGAGGGAACTGGTTGACAGGACCCACCCATACTATATGACATCCCCACAACTTGCAGAGCAACCAGACTGAGGCCAGAACAAGTGATGGCTCATGGAAAACAAATAGGAAGATACTCACAAACTGGAATTCGGTTGCTGACCCAGCCCCAGCCTCGGCTTTCTTGTCGGCACCAGCTAGAAAGTGAAACATCGATTTAGAATCATCATATGATCTAATCTACTATAGAACAAGGGAAGACAACTCACTGACTCCAATCTTGCAGGAAAAGCCAAGTACCACTCCGTTAAATATAAGCAAATTACACCAGTGGTGGGGAATACCTTCTGAGCCACCTTTGTCTCTCCTGGGGCACCCTTCTCAGCCTTCCTTATGTCACCCTTCAATACTCACAGCCCAAACTATAAATCCTCCCAAAGGATTCCTACTTCCTATCACACTGACTGACTTACCCACTTCACAGCAGCATCTAGATAACAAAGGGAGTGTAATTATGGAAGAACTAACATGTAAAGGGAAGGGCCCACAAAAGCCTTAATTACCACCATGGGAGAAAAGCAGACAAGATGCTGCCCGGTCCTATATCCCAGTCACAGTTCAAATGGAGACGTGTGCAAAATTCACCAGTTTTCTTTTACTTATTTGAGACAGGGTCTTACTCTGTCACCCAGGATGGAGTGCAGTGGTACGATCTCAGCTCACTACAACCTCTGCCTCATGGGCTCAAGCGATCCTCCCACCTCAGGTGGGACTACAGGCAGCTAATTTTTATATTTTTTGTTCGTTTGAGACTGAATTTCGCTCTTGTTGCCCAGGCTAGAGTGCAATGGCGCGATCTCGGCTCACTGCAACCTCCGCCTCCCAGGTTCAAGCGATTCTCCTGCCTCAGCCTCCCGAGTAGCTGGGATTACAGGCATGCGCCACCATGCATGGCTAATTTTTTTGTATTTTTAGTAGAGATGGGGTTTCTTCATGTTGGTTTCTCCAGGCTGGTCTCAAACTCCCAACCTCAAGTGATCCGCCCACCTCGGCCTCCTGAAGTGTTGGGATTACAGGCATGAGCCACCGCACCCAGCCCTAATTTTTATATTTTTTGTAGAGATGGGGTTCTGCCATGTTGCCCGGGCTGGTCTAGAACTCCTGAGCTCAAGTGATCTGCCTGCCTCAGCCTCCCTAAGTGCTGGAATTACGGGTGTGAGCCACTGCACCCAGCCAATTACAAAGACTTAAGAAAAAAAGAATGTAAAATATTTCACTACTCTTTATACTGATTACATGTTAAATTAACACGTTTAGATATTTTTTAAACCGATTTATTTGTATTTATTTACTTATTTTTTTTTTTTGAGACGAAGTCTCACTCTTGTCCCTGAGGCTGGAGTGCAATGATGCAATCTCAGCTCACTGCAACCTTCACCTCCTGGGTTCAAGCGATTCTCCTGCCTCATGCTCCGAGTAGCTGGGACTACATGTGCATACCACCACGCTTGGCTAATTTTTTGTATTTTAAGTAGAGACGGGGTTTCACCATGTTGTCCAGGCTGGTCTCAAACTCCTGACCTCAGGTGATCTGCCCGCCTCGGCCTCCCAAAGTGCTGGGATTACAGGAGTGGGCCACCGCGCCCGGCCCTGATTTATTTGAGTTGGTGCGGGGGGCAGGGTCTCACTCTGTTGCCCAGGCTGGAATGTAGCAACAAGATCATAGCTCACTGTATCTCAAACTCCTGGGCTCAAAACAATCCTCTTGCCTTGGCCTTCCAAGTAGCTGGGACTATAGGCACATACCACCATTCCCAACTCACTTTTACAAATATTTGATTAAATAAAAGACATTAGTACTCAAATAACCTGTTTCCACTTGCTTTTTCAAGTGTGGCTACGAGGAAATTTTGTATTAGATCTATGGCTCACATTGGGTACAAGAATAGGGGGAGGAAAGCAAATGCCAATAACGAATATGGTTTCAGTAATCGTTTTCTTTTCTTTTGAGACAGGGTCTTGCTGTTGCCCAGGGTGGAGTGCAGTGGCATGATCTTGTCTCACTGCAACCTCCGCCTCCCAGGTTCAAGCAATTCTCCCGCCTCAGCCTCCCGAGTAGCTGAGATTATTACAGGCAGGCACACACCATCATGCCCAGCTAATTTTTTAAAGTAGAGATGGGGTTTTACCATGCTGGCCAGGCTGGTCTTGAACTCCTGACCTCAAGTGATCCACCTGCCTCGGCCTCCCAAAGTGCTGGGATTACAGGCATGAGCCACTGTGCCTGGCCCATAATCGTTAAACTTCCAGTATCACCAACTTCCTCTGAACCAAGGGCTGGAGAAATTCATTCCTTCTACTACCCTGTATGGTACTCAGGTCAAGTGGTCACTTCTCCAAAAGATGACAGAAAAAAGCTAAGAGTGGTAGAAGTTAGTAAAAACTCTTCTTGTACACCTTGCTTTTGTATTACAATCAACAACGAGTGACTTTATCCGGGTGGGCGCGGTGGCTCACATCTGTAATCCCAGCACTTTGGCAGGCTGAGGCGGGCGGATCATGAGGTCAGGATATCCAGACCATCCTGGCTAACACGGTGAAACCCCATCTCTACTAAAAATACAAAAAAAATTAGCTGGGCATGGCGGCGGTCGCCTGTAGTCCCAGCTACTCGGGAGGCTGAGGCAGGAGAGTGGCGTGAACCCAGGAGGCAGAGCTTGCAGTGAGCTAAGATCTTGCCACTGCACTCCAGCCTGGGTGACAGAGCGAGACTGTCTCAAAAATGAAAGAAAATTAAAAAAAAAAAAAAGTTGAATCCTATTATTCCTTTGCAAAAATACTAACAAAAGCTCCACATTTTACCGAAGAGGTTTTTTTTTTTTTTTGAGACAGTCTTGCTCTGTCACCCAGGCTGGAGTGACAACTTTAACAATTACTGAAACCATATTTGTTATTGGCATTTGCTTTCCTCCCCCTATCCTCGTGCCCAGTGTGAGCCATAGATCTAATACAATGGCATGATCTCGGCTCACTGCGGCCTCTGCCTCCCAGGTTCAAGCAATTCTCATGCCTCAGCCTCCTAAGTAGCTGGGACTACAGACGCCCACCACCACACCGCCCTAATTTTTGTATTTTTAATAGAGACAGGGTTTCGTCATGTTGGCCAGGCTGGTCTCGAACTCCTGACCTCAAGTAATCTGCCCACTTCGACCCCCCCCCTCCAACCAAAGTGCTGGGATTACAGACATGAGCCACTGAGCCCGGCCTGAGTTTTGTTTTTTAAAAAATCCCAGCCTCCTCCTAATTCTCATCTATGAAATCACTGCATGAAGAAAGAAGCACAAAGGACTCCAGCTGTTCTGATGCTCTGCAGAGTGAAACCAAGAATCTTTCCTGGTCATTTTGTCATCATCAAGGGCTGAGCCCCACCCAGCCAGAGCCAGCTGTGAGAATCCAGACATTTCACCCCAACACCCCTAATATAGGTGATGCATTTACTCACGTGGCACAGCACTCCGTCTGTAGGTATCTCTGTCAGCTTCCCCTCTTGTGAGTCTCGCAGGTCGCTCACCCTCCAGACCTATGTAAATCAAACCACACTGTGAACACAGGGCAATGTGAGAACTCTGTCCCTTAAAGCCAAGAAAACTGGCATTGCTCTCCTGTTGTCACTCTCAGCAACCACTTGGTTAAGATGGGTTAATGGGGACAGGAACTCCTTAAACCTACAATGTCAGCTAGAAATAATTATTTCTCCATAGAAACTTATTGACAATCTTGGCTGCAAATCTGAAAAAAAAAAAAAAGGCTTCCATTTTGTTTCAACATAAAACTATTTTCCAATTATTGGACCAATCTAGGTATCTAGCTATTTCTATGAACATCTGAATAGCTAAACTTTTGAACCTGACCCACGTTAAGTGGAAAACTTAGTATATGCAAACAGAAAAGGAAGCATCCTAAGCTGAAAGTCCCAACTCCAATATTAAGTACATAATCTAGGGGTTACCAAGAATCGTTGAGTTCCTCTTGGGCTTCTTCACATACCTGTTAGGCTGTGGGATATATATTAAGGCAGAAACTTTATTATTTATTATCTTTTTGTGAGACGGAGTCTCACTCTGTCACCCAGGTTGGAGTGCAGTGGCGCGATCTTGGCTCACTGCAACCTCTGCCTCCTGGGTTCAAGCAGTTCTCTCACCCCAGCCTCCCCAGTAGGTGGGATTACATGCACGTGCCACCACGCACGGCTACGTTTTGTATTTTTAGTAGAAAGGGGGTTTCAACCTGTTGGCCAGGCTGGTCTCCAACTCCTGACCTCAAGTGACCCTCCCGCCTTGGCCTTCCAAAGTGATGGGATTATAGGCACGAGCCACCACGCCCAGGCTAATTTTTTTTGGTTGGTATCTTTAGTAGAGACAGGGTTTTACCATGTTAGACAGGCTGGTCTTGAACTCCTGGTCTCATGTGATCCTCCCGCCTTGGCCTCCCAAAGTGCTGGGATTACAGGTGTGAGCCACCACACCCTAAGGCACAAACTTTAAGAGCTACCTTAAAAAAATTATCATAAATGGCCAGACGCAGTGGCTCATGCCTGTAATCCCGGCACTTTGGGAGGCCAAGGCAGGTGATCACTTGAGGCCAGGAGTTCAAGAACAACCTGGCCAACATGGTAAAACCCTGTCTCTACTAAAATTACAAAAATTAGCCGGGTGTGGTGGTGCACGCCTGTGATCCCAGCTACCAAGAAGCTGAGGCAGGAGAATCACTTGAACCCAGGAGGCAGAGGTTGCAGTAAATTGGGATCGTGACACTGCACTCCAGCCTAGGTGACAGAATATAAACAAACAAACAAACACAATCAGTAACAATTTAATCAAGTATTTTCTCTAGCCAGTTACCCTGGAACTTACCCGGAGTCCATATGATTAGAATATGAACTATGTCTCCTTTTTTTTTTTTTGACACAGTGTCTTGCTTTGTTGTTCAGGCTGAGTGCCATGGCCACAATCACAGCTCAATGCAGCCTGGAGTTCCTGGGCTTAACCACAGGTGTGCACCACCATGCCTGGCTAATTTATTTTTTTGTAGACGGAGTCTCACTATACTGCCTTAGCTGGTCTCAAACTCCTGGACTCAAGTAGTCTTCCTGCCTTGGCCTCCTAAAGTGCTGGGATTACAGGAATGAGTCACTGCACTCAGGCAGAATGAACTCCTTTTAGAGCAGAAATAAATTAATCATGTAATGAGTGGCAAAAACAAATGTCAGGCCCAACTAAATCAGAATATATCAAGCACAGATAGGCACTGGTATTTTTTTCTCCCAGGAGATTCCAAGATGTAGTAGACAACTTTTGCTAAAAAGACGTATTATGGGCTGGGCGCGGTGGCTAACGCCTGTAATCCCAGCACTTTGGGAGGCTGAGGTGGTGGATCACCTGAGGTCAGGAGTTCGAGCCCAGCCTGGCCAACAGAGTGAAACCCCATCTCCACTAAAAATACAAAAATTAGCTGGGTGTCGCTCTGGGCGCCTATAATCCCAGTCTCGGGAGGCTGAGACAGAATTGATTGAACCTCAGAGGTGGAAGTTGCAGTAAGCTGAGATCGCACCACTGCACTCCAGCCTCGGCAACAGAGTGAGACTCTGTCTCAAAAAATTATGTCTACCTAATCACCAGAATCCCTTGGGGAGCTTTCATAACGAATTCCTGAGCTCCATAAGGTAACTCTCCAGGGGAACCTGGGCCCTCTGATGATCACATTTAGGAATCTGCGCATTTTTTCACCTCAACCTATGCTCTCTGCAGCTCCTACAGAGTTTTGTAACAAAGAACCATAACCTAGATAAAATACAGGCCAAGCACGGTGGCTTACCACCGCACTCCAGGCTGGGCAACAGAGCAAGACTCCGTTAAAAAAAAAAAAAAAAAAAAAAAAGCAACTGTGAGCTAGCAATGATCCCAAGAATCAGAAGATAATTCTCCTCACACCACACATGCATGCATATCCTTTCACATCGTGGTATACACCATCCGTTCTCCACTCCAGTTTCTAATTTCTTCTCCTGTTGGCAAGAAAACTACAACACTCTTGTTTCTTTCGAGGTGGTAAATGGCTTTGCTTTGGACTTCTCGGGAATAGTACAACGCACTCTGCGGGAAAAGTTACTCAATATTCTATACCACATGTATCTGGATGTTTGTACAGGTGTGGGTGAAGAAAGTGACAGACTATCTGTGCTTAAGGCCATCTCATGGATGGCCTGAAGAACTGAGTCTAGTTCTATTCCAAGTCCCAAGCCATGGGACAAAGGTTCTAGCACTTGACCAAATGCCTGCAGGCCAGAGCCCTCTAAAGCTGACATCAGCTAAGAATGCTTTTGTCCCTTACACAAAAGAAACTATCTTCAAATAGCTGAAGGGATTTGTGTGGGAACCATACCTTTAGGCCGAGGCCTGCCAGTCTCTGGACGGCTACGGCGTAGGGTGGCAGGCACAATCTCCGGGGGCAGATGAAGGTAATCACGGAGATACTGGATACCCTCATTGGTAAGGTACCAGTAGAAATGTCTCCAGGCAAACTGTTCCTTCACGTAGCCTCGGGACTTGAGAGACTGTAAGGCAGAAAACTACTGTTAAGGCGTTAAGTAGAAGCTTGGATCATCCTAGGCAAGTCTCCAGTCCCAGCCAGCCCTTCAAGTTAGCAAGCAGCCCCCGCAGTCCTGACCTCCCTTTTTGAACTTGCCTTGAACCTTAGGGGAAGATCCCTCCATCCCATTCCATCCCATCCCGGGATGGGATCCCGGGGAGGAAGATCCATCCCATCTTCCTCCTCACCCTCCTACCTGCATGGCCTTCATGACATGAAGGTTGGGCACATTCTTGTCTGCCAGCTCCGGGTGCTTAGGCATGTGGACATCCTTCTTGGCCACCATGACTCCCTCCTTAAAAAGGAGTTCATAAATGGCAATCCGGTTCTTCTTAGGCATCAACATCTGCAAGAAGGAGACGATTGTCAAGAGCACTTCTGAGTAACGAGGCCGGGGCCCGGTAATCAAGTTCTTGATCCTAAAGTGACCCACACAAAACCGTAGACAACATGCTGGTGGGAAGACTCAACTCCACAAAACAGATTCGGCAGAGGCCAGCTCCGTCAGTCCCCACCCCCAAACACAATTCAGGTGGAAAAGTTGACAGTATGTTAAAACCAGGATAGTGGTGCACATTCGCGCCAAACTTCCTTAAGTTCTCATCAATTACAAAGGTCAATGGGGGGGAGAGGAGCAAACCCTGTATTATCGGGAGCAGTTGGAGGCCATCAGCGACCGTACCCAGCGCGGAATCTCGCGGCTGTACCATAAGGTACGCAGGGAAGGCCCGGAGGGGTAAAGCCCCGGCTTCTTGAAGGCGGCAGACCCCAAACCAAAGGGCTAAGGCCTTCGCACCCTCGTCTCCTACCTACCACTTCTCCCCCAAACTAGAGCTCCAGTGCCAGGCAAGGAGGCAGTCGGGGGAGTCCTGTTCCCAAGAAAAAAGCGTGTCGGTGGGACACCGTCTCGCTAGTCTCACCTGGCAAGTCTCCGCCACTCACTGGCTTCATCCTCCCCCTCTCCCTCGGACAATCTTCGCCTACCAGCGGCCCCCTACCCCATAAAATAAGCCTCCAGCCCCTATCGCTACTCAGAAATCGGTGTGTGGGGAGTGGGAGAGAGGCCCCCTGCCCGCATCCTGGGGAGAAGCAGCCGCTAAGGCGGCAGGATAGCCCGGATGGGAGCCGATGGAACTCGAACGCCACAGAAACTCACCTCTGCGGCTGCAGGGTCCGGTACCGGGGCTGGAAAGGAAGGAGCATGCGCGGTGCTGCGTCTCTTCCGGGCTGGCGTGGACCCGCCCCCCGCCAGGACCCGCGGGGAGCCTGGGGTGGCCTCGGCGGTGCCTGAAGAACTGGCGGATCTGACCACGGAGCCTGACCGCCTGAGGGACTCACGCACGCACTAGGAAACCGCCGCCGGGAACTTCTGAGCTTGCGTGCTCTATCAGTACAGGGTCACTTATTTTGGGCTGTCGTTTTAGAAACGCTTCTTCTTTTTTTCCCGGCCAAAATCTATTATGCAAGTGATATATGCTCTTGGAGCAAGAAAAGAGAGAGAACATATAAATCAGATGACGATAAAAGACTAAAAACATAATCCCATCAACCAAAGAAAATAGCTATTAACATTGTGGTATACACTTTTCCAAATTCATATGCACTCACACAAGTAGACTTTTTTTTTTTTTAATAAAAAACAGAGGCCGGGCACAGTGGCTCACGCCTATAATCTCAGCACTTTGGGAGGCCGAGGTGGGCAGATCACAAGGTTAGGGGTTCGAGACCAGCCTAGCCAATGGTGAAACCCTGTCTCTACTAAAAATACAAAAAAAATTAGCCGGCGTGGTGGCGGGCGCCTGTAGTCCCAGCTACTCGGGAGGCTGAGGCAGGAGAAGCGCTTGAACCCGGGAGGTGGAGGTTGCAGTGAGCCGAGATCATGCCACTGCACTGCAGCCTGGGCGACAGTGAGACTCTGTCTCAAAAAAAAAAAAAAAATTGACTCAGCATTTTGGGAGGCTGAGGCAGGAGAACTGCTTGAGCCCAGGAGGTCCAGACTAGCCTAGGCAATGGTGAGACTTCATCTCTACAATTTTTTTTTTTAATTAACTGACTGTGGTGGTGCACGCTTGTAGTCCCAGTTATTGAGGAGGCTGAGGCGGGAGGATCGCTTGAGCCAGGAAAGTGGAGGGTGCAGTGAGCCGGGTTCGTGCCCCTGCAGTCCAGCCTGGGTGACAGAGCAAGACCCTGGCTCTATTTAAATAAAAAAAAAAAAAAAAAGAGGCTGGGCGCGGCAGTTCAAGCCTGTAATCCCAGCACTTTGGGAGGCCAGGGTGGGCGGTTCACCTGAGGTCAGGAGTTCAAGACCAGCTGGCCAACATAGTGAAACCCCATCTCTACTAAAAATACAAAAAAATTAGCCAGGTGTGTTGGCGTGCGCCTGTAATTCCAGCTACTTAGGAGGCTGAGGCAGGAGAATCGCTTGAACCCCGTATGCGGAGGTTGCAGTGAGCCGAGATCACTCCACTGCACTCCAGAGCTTGGGCGACAGAGCGACACTCCGTCTAAAAAGAAAGAAAGGAAAGTGGGGCCGGGCGCAGAGGCTCACGCCTATAATCCCAGCACTTTGGGAGCCCGAGGCGGGTGGATCACCTGAGGTCAGGCGTTCGAGACCAGCCTGGCCAACATGGCGAAATCCGATTTCTACTAAAAAAAAAAATACAAAAATTAGCCAGGCATGTTGGCGGGCGCCTGTAATCCCAGCTACTTGGGAGGCTGAAGCAGGAGAATCACTTGAACTTGGGAAGTGGAGCTTGCAGTGAGTCGAGATTGCACCATTGCACTGCAGCCTGGGCGACAAGAGCGAAACTCCGTCTCAAAAAAAAAAAAAAGAAAAGAAAAGTGGACCGGGCACGGCGGCTCAGGCCTGTAATCCCAGCACTTTGGGAGGCCGAGGTGGGCGGTTCACCGGAGGTCAAGAGTTCGAGACCAGCTTGACCAACATAGTGAAACCCCGTCTCTACTAAAAATACAAAAATTAGCTGGGCATAGTGGTGGATACCTGTAATCCCAGCTACTCACGAGGCTGAGGCAGGAGAATTCGCTTGAACCTGGAAGACAGAGGTTGCAGTGAGTCAAGATCTCGTCACTGCACTCCAGCCTGGGTGACAGAGCAAGATTCTGTCTCAAAAAAAAAAAAAAAAAAAAAAAAATTAGCCGGACATGGTGGCGGGTGACTGTAATCCCAGCTACTCATGAATCTGAGTTTTGAGGATTGCTTGAGCCCGTGGGTCAAGGCTGCAGAACCGAGATTGCCTGGCCAGCCTGGGTGACAGAGCAAAACTCTGTCAAAAAAAAAAGGCCGGGCGCGGTGGCTCACGCCTGTAATCTCAGCACTTTGGGATCCGCCAAGGCAGGCGGATCACAAGGTCAGGAGATCGAGACCATCCTAGCTAACACGGTGAAACCCCATCTCTACTAAAAATACTAAAAAATTAGCCAGGTGTGGTGGCGGGCACCTGTAGTCCCAGCTACTCGCGAGGCTGAGGCAGGAGAATGGCGTGAACCCGGGAGGCGGAGATTGCAGTGAGCCGAGATCGCGCCACTGCACTCCAGCCTGGGCAACAGAGTGAGACTCCGTCTCAAAAAAACAAACAAAAAGGCTGGGCGCCATGGCTCACGCCTGTAATCCCAGCACTTTGGGAGGTTGAGGCGGGCGAATTATGAGGTCAGGAAATCGAGACCATCCTGGCTAGTACAGGGAAACCCCGTCTCTACTAAAAATACAAAAAATTAGCCGGGCATGGTGGCAGGTGCCTGTAGTCCCAGCTACTCGGAAGGCTCAGGCAGGAGAACGGTGTGAACCCGGAAGGCGGAGCTTGCAGTGAGCCGAGATGGCGCCACTGCACTCCAGCCTGGGCGACAGAGCGAGACTCCGTCTCAAAAACAAACAAAAAGACTAAATAGCCAGGTAAGGTGTGCTGTGAACCTGTAGTAGTCCTAACTACTTAAGGTAGCTCTTTAGGCTGAGGTGGGAGGATCGGTTGAGCCCAGGAGTTGGAGAGCAGCCTGGGCAACATAGCAAGACCTCCTCTCTAAAAAAAAAAAAAAAAAAAAAACAAAAAACAAAAAAAACAAAAAAAAAAACAGACAACAAGACTAAACAATAGATTTGACATACTGACACACTTGAAAAGTCAGTGAGATTAAAAGTAGAAATGAAAATATATATACAGATAGACACAATGTAGTCCAGAGACTGAAAGAGAATATTTGATTGATTTTTAGTTGTTGTTTTTTTAATACAGGGTCTCCCTTTTTTTGCCAAGGCTGGAGAGCAGTGGCACAGTCACGACTCACTGCAGCCCCGACCTTCAGGGCTCAAGCCATCCTCCTGCCTCAGCCTCCCGAGTAGCTTGGTCTACAGGTGCACACCACCACACCCAGCTAAAGAGATGGAATATTTGAAAGCAAGGATGAGACATGAGTGATAGAGTTAGAAAGTCTAATAGATGTCTAGGTGAAGTCTTATAAGAAAATAATAGAGAAAGGAAAGAAACACTGTCAGAGTATTTTCCAGAATTATTGGAAGACAATGTGAATCCTGAAAATCTGAGACAGGTCTGTTAATTTAGAAAGTTTATTTTGCCAAGGTTGAGGATGCGCCCATGATACAGCCTCAGGAGGTCCTGATGACATGCGCCCAACGTGGTCAGAGCACAGTTTGGTTTTATACATTTTAGGAAGACATGAGACATCAATCAACATATGTAAAATGAACATTGGTTCGGTCCAGAAAGGTGAGATAACTCAAAGCAGGGAGGGGGCTTCCAGGTCACAGGTAGGTGAGAGACAAACGGTTGCATTCTTTTGAGTTTCTGATTAGCCTTTCGGAAGGAGACAGTCAGATACGCATTTATCTCAGTGACCAGAGAGAGGACTTTGATTTTGTTTGTTGTTTTGAGACAGAGTCTTACTCTGTCACCCAGGCTGGAGTGCAGTGGCACAATCTTGGCTCACTGCAAGCTCTGCCTCCGGGGTTCAAGCGATTTTTCTGCCTCAGCCTCCCTAGTAGCTGGGATTACAGGTATGCACCATCATGCCTGGCTAATTTTTGTATTTTTAGTAGTGACAGAGTTTCACCATGTTGGCCAGGCTGGTCTCGAACTCCTGACTTTAGGTGATCCTCCCACCTTGGCCTCCCGAAATGCTGGGATTACAAGCATGAGCCCTTGCACCTGACCAGGGGGATGACTCTGGGGAAGATCTTAAAAGCAGCCAGTAAGAAAAGACAGGTATGACTGCCCACTTCCCAGCAGCAACGATGGGATGCAGTCAACTGAAATATGGTCTCCCAGATTCTCTTCTCTTCCTAGAGCCATGGCGATCCTGCTGCAACATCAGACCATGTCACTTCCCTGTTTAAATCCCGCTAATGGCTCCCCAGCTCACTTGAAAAAATACTCAGTCCTTTTTTTTTTTTTTTTTTGACAGAGTCTCACTCTGTCACCCAGGCTGGAGTGCAGTGGCATGATCTCAGCTTAAGCAATTATTGTGCCTCAGCATCCCAAGTAGCTGGGATTACATATGTGCCACCAAGCCCAGCTAAATTTTTTTTTTTTTTGGTATTTTAATAGAGACAAGGTTTCTCCATGTTACCTAGGCTGATCTTGAACTCCTGAGCTCAATGGATCTGCCCACCTCGGCCTCCCAAAGTGCTGGGTTTACAGGTGTGAGCCACCATGCTTGGTTGACTTCCTTTTTTTATATATATCTTTTATCCTCCTGGAATGTTCTCTGATGTAAAACATTTTCCCTCCAAAGGGTTAGCCAGTATCTCAACACCATTTCCCCAATGAGCTATGCTTCTATTTATCTGAAATACCACTAAATTGTTTATGAGAGATGAATTCAGTTTTAGATTTTGTTGCATTTGAGGTTCCCATGAGACACACTGGTGCAAATGCACAGTATAATTTTAGATAAAGGGTTCTGAATGTGTCCTGTGGAAGAGAGCTGGGTTAGATGAGGAAAGGGCATCATCTAAGACCTTGTGAGGTTCTGAGGTCACCTAGAAAGGATAAGGAGTGAGGAGGAGACAAGGAGGAGCTCCACAGCACTGCCCAGCTCACCCTGGAATGATAGGGTTCCCTTAGTGTCTCCATCCTGGATGGCACCTCCCTGAGGTCAGGGACCATGGCTTCCCCTCTCTCAGTGTCCTTTCTAGCATTTAGCATGGTGTCTCATATGTTCGTTAATAAATGTTTCAAAATTAACAGTAACCTCACGGCAAGTGGAGGAAACAAAAGATGATGACTTGCTGAGAGCAGCTTGGTCGGGGAGACCCTAACCCAGCGGCGCTAGAGGAATTAAAGACACACACACAGAAATATAGAGGTGTGAAGTGGGAAATCAGGGGTCTCACAGCCTTCAGAGCTGAGAGCCCCGAACAGAGATTTACCCACGTATTTATTAACAGCAAACCAGCCATTAGCATTGTTTCTATAGATATTAAATTAACTAAAATTATCCCTTATGGGAAACAAAGTGATGGGCCAAATTAAATGAATAGGTTGGGCTAGTTAACTGCAGCAGGAGCATGTCCTTAAGGCACAGATCGCTCATGCTATTGTTTGTGGCTTAAGAATGCCTTTAAGCGGTTTTCTGCCCTGGGCGGGTCAGGTGTTCCTTGCCCTCATTCCCGTAAACCCACAACCTTCCAGCGTGGGTGCTAGGGCCATTATGAACATGTTACAGTGCTGCAGAGATTTTGTTTATGGCCAGTTTTGGGGCCGGTTTATGGCCAGATTTTGGGGGGCCTGCTCCCAACAATGACTAAGGAAGGAAGGGAATAATACTATCTCTGCCATTACCAAAGCCTTCTGAGATGCCAGCACTTCATGGAGTTCGCCGAATTCCATTCCGCACTTAGGCACTGGGTCCCTAGCCCTGGGCCAGATGATGGGGCTGACTGGGGACATGAGCACACAGGGATCCCATGACAAGCAATGTATACTTCTGTCATGTGCTGAGAGCTACGGAGAAAATGATCAGCCTGTGGTGATGGAGAGTAATGGGGAGTGAGGAGGTGATGTTTGATCTGAAACCTACAGAGAACTGAGAGGAGAACTGGGAAGGGGGAACAGGGCCTCTGAAGGGCCCCGATGCAGGAAAGAGCTTGAGCTGAAAGGCAGCCAGGATGATTAGGACATGGTAACAAGGTGAAGCTGGACCGCACATCGACCTCAGGAAGGCATCAGGATTTTATTCAAAGTGCAACGAAAAGCCGTGGAAAGGTTTCAAGCAGTAGTGACAGGATTCAATGTATCTTTTAAAGAGATTACTTTTATTTATTTATTTATTTTGAGATGGACTTTCACTCTTGTCACCTAGGCTGGAGTGCAATGGCATGATCTCGGCTCACTGCAACCTCTGCCTTCTGGGTTCAACAGATTCTCCTGCCTCAGCTTCCCAAGTAGCTGGCATTACAGGTGTATGCCATCACGCCCAGCTAATTTTTGTATTTTTTTTAAGTAGAGACAGGGTTTCACTATATGTTTGTCAGGCTGGTCTGGAATTCCTGACCTCAGGTGATCGGCCCCTTCTTGACCTCCCAAAGTGTTGGGATTACAAGCGTGAGCCACCATGCGTGGCCTTTTCTTATTCTTTTCTTTTTTTTCTGAGTCAGGGTCTCCCTCTTTCACCCAGACTGGAGTGCAGTGGTGTGATCACAGCTCACTGCAGCCTTGACTTTCTGGGCTCAAGTGATCCTTCCTATCTTAGCCACCCAAACAGTTGGGACTACAGGTGTGCACCACCATGCCCAGCTAGTTTTTAAACTTTTGTACAGAGATGCAAGGGGCGTGGGATGGGTCTCACTATGTTGCCTAGGCTGGTCTTGAACTCCTGGGCTCAGGTGATCCTCCCACATCGGCCTCCAAAAGTGGGATTATAGGTGTGAGCCACTGTACCCGGCCTAAATGACTATCTCTAAAGCAGCCAAAGTTGTGAACCAGTGACTCTGAGGAACCTATGAACACCAAGGGAAGCCAGGGTTTAGGTCCCCAGCGACCCTAGGGACCTCCTCAGGTTGGAAAACAGTAAACTGTGGTTTCTAAAGATTTTCAAGTTTCAGTCCCTTGCCTTCTGAGATTCCTGGGTCTTTTATAAAATCTCTGGTGTCACAGCAGGGGTGGAGGGAGACCTAGAGGAGTAGTGCCCTCTGTGGCCAGCACTGCAGCCAGGAGATTTCTCTATTTCCTGGGCTCTGGGGATAGGGTGGAGGATACCAGTTCATGGCCCCGGTACAGCAATGCACTGACTGTAAGAACACTAAAACAGACATTCCTCAAGAGACACCCTGGGCCTCACCTCTTCCCCCATCTCCTGGCACCACACCTAAAATAGGTTCCTAATCCTGTAGAACATTATCTCTTCCCACTCATCCAGAAACCCCTTCAAAAGAGCCATCTGTGCTGCAATCTTCATTTGTAGCTCGCACGGCATATGTGAGTTTGCGGATGTAGGTAGATGGCTACTGATACATCCCCGGACACACACACACACACACACACACTCTTGACGCCATGGGCTGAAGGGCTGTTTTCTCCTCTAAATGGCACCTGCTCCTCTCCACATGGGATGTCCCCTCCCCTTCGGTGGGCCACCTCTTTTCCTATTGTGGTTTGGCGCAGCTCCTCTGACCTCACCTTCCCAGTGCTGCTGTGATTATTTTCCTGAATTATTTGATTATGACCAGTGTCAAAGTGAAAACAGAGTCCAGGGAATGTCACATATTTATAGCCTGTTGGATCTGTTGCTTTGGGCCTCACTCTTGAGGAGATGATCCACATTGCTGTGGAGGTGGTCTATACTGGAGGCCATCACGTTGCTGTCAATGTCTATGCTCAAGGTATAAACCTCTGAGCATTTATCCTACTTCTTGGATTCTTTTTAACTGTCTTTTCTTTTGAGACATATGATAATAATAATTATTATTATCACCCAGGCTGGAGTGCAATGGCATGATCTCGGCTCACTGCAACCCTACCTCCCGGGTTCAAGCAATTCTCCTGTCTCAGCCTCCCAAGTAGCTGGGATTACAGGCACCCACCACCACACCCAGCTAATTTTATTTTTTGTATTTTTTTAGTAGAGGGATTTCGCCATGTTGGCCAGGCTGGTCTTGAACTCCTGACCTCAGGTGATCCACCCGCCTTGGCCTCCCAAATGTTGGGATTACAGGCATGAGCCACCATGCCAGGCCACAATTATTATTATTATTATTTTGTTATTATTATTATTATTATTTTCGGAGGCAGAGTCTTGCTCTGTCGCCCAGGCTGTAGTGCAGAGGCGCGATCTTGGCTCACTGCAACCTCTACTTCCCAGGTTCAAGCAATTTTCCTGCCTCAGCCTCTCAGGTAGCTGGGACTACAGGCACATGCCGCCATGCCTGGCTCATTTTTTGTACTTTAGCAGAGACGGGGGTTTCACTGTGTTGCCCAGGCTGATCTCGAACTCCTGAGCTCAGGCGATCTGCCCGCCTCGGCCTCCCAAAGTGCTGGGATTACAGGCGTGAGCCACCGTGCCCAGCCTAAAATTTATCTGTAAACATTTAATTATAAACTAAAATCGGATACGAGAAACTACAAAAAACAAAGATACAGCTTAGTGAACTTTTTTTTATTTTTTATTTTTTGAGACAGAGTTTTGCTCTTGCTCTTGCCCAGACTGGAGTGCAGTGGCTCAATCTCGGCTCACCGCAACCTCCGCCTCCCAGGTTCAAGTGAATCTTCTGCCTCAGCCTTCCGAGTATCTGGGATTACAGGCATGCGCCACCATGCCCAGCTAATTTTGTATTTTTAGAAGAGATGGGGTTTCTCCATGTTGGTCAGGCTGGCCTCAAACTCCCGACCTCAGGTGATCCACCCTCCTTGGTATCCCAAAGTGTTGGGATTACAGGCATGAGCCACTGTGCCTGGCCCCCCCGCCCACCCCCTCCCCCGCTTTTTTTTTTTTTCCTTTTTTTGAGATGGAGTCTCACTCTGTTGCTTAGGCTGGAGTACAGTGGCACAATCTTGGCTCACTGCAACCTCTGCCTCCCGGGTTCAAGCAGTTCTCCTGCTTCAGCCTCCCAGATAGCTGGGATTACAAGCGTGCACCACCACCAGCCAATTTTTTGTATTTTTAGTAGAAACGGGGTCTCACTATGTTTGGCCAGCCTGGTCTCGAATGCCTGACCTCAGGTGATCTGGCCCCCTTGGCCTTCCAAAGTGCTGGGAGTGCATGTGTCAGCCACCATGCCCATCCAGCTTAGTGAACTTTTATAAGGCAGACACCCTTGTAATCACCACCCAAGTCAAGAACTAGAACCTTGACATCCCCCGCACTCTCCCCCCATAGAAGCCCTTCCGTACCACATCCCAAGTGTAGTCCCTGGCTCCCTCCAACTGAGCCCACCATCCCGACTCATAGGACTCGCTTCCAGCGGGGTTCCTCATCCAAGAGTGCATCTCTAGACACCATACTTCAGTCTTACCCATTTAAAAAAACAACTTTCTTCAGGTATAATTTACATCTAATAAAATCTATCCATTTTAAGGACACAATTTTGATGAGTTTGACAGGTGTAGACAATCATGTAACAACCAATCCTGATACAAGAACATTTCTATCACTCCCAAAATTCCCTTGTACCCCTTTATACCTGCTCCCCTTCCCCTAGTCCTGGGCCCAGGCAACCACTAATTTGCTTTTTGTTGCTATAGATTAGATTTCCCTTTTCTAAAATTTTATATAACTAAAATCATGTTATATCCTCTTTTCGGTACAGTTTCTTTCACTAATAGTTTTGAAATTTATCCCTGTTCCATATTTCCTTCCTTTTTTTTTTTTTTTTTTGAGATGGAGTCTTGCTCTGTTGCCAAGGCTGGAGTGCAGTGGCGTGATCTCGGCTCACTGCACCCTCCGCCTCCTGGGTTCAAGCAATTTTCCTGCCTCAGCCTCCCAAGTAGCTGGGACTACAGGCGCATGCCACCCCACCAGACGAATTTTTGTATTTTTAGTAGAGACGGAGTTTCTCCATGTTGTCTAGGCTGGTCTCGAACTCCTGACCTCAGCTGAGCTGCCCACCTCGGCCTCCTAAAGTGCTGGGATTAAAGGCATGAGCCACCGCGCCCAGCCTGCCTTCCTTTTTATTGCCAGGAAGTATTCCACTGAATGAATATACCAAAATAGTTTATGCATTCTTCCTCGATGGACATTTGAGTTGTTATCAGTTTTTGGCTATCACCAATAAAGCTGCTAGAAGCATCAGGTTACAGGCTTCTGTATGGACATATGCTTGGGGGTGGACATACACTTGGGTAAATAAATACCTAGGAGTGGATTGCTAGGCTTTATGGGAGGTATGTGTTAAAATTTATACAAAACTGTCAAACTGTTTTCCAAAATGGCTGTGTATTCAGGAAAAACTCTCAAACTGAGTATTTCTTCCCCTCTTGGGCCAATACAACAATCAACATAGAAGACTTCCATGATCCCAACACATATGGGGGCTTCTCACCAGCAAGCAAGTTATCAATTCTGCAGCACACACCAACTGGGCACCAATTCCCACACTATCTACCTGGAGTTAGTGTCAGATTCCACAGACTTGGAGCTTTGGAGCTCACTCCCCAACACTGCCCCTGCCACCCCCCCAGATACTATGTCTGGAATTAGTGGGTTCTTGGTCTGACTTCAAGAACGAAGCCACAGACCCTCATGGTGAGTGTTACAATTCTTAAGGCAGTGCGTCCGGAGTTGTTCCTTCTTGGTCTCACTGACTTCAAGAATGAAGCTGCACACCCTTGCGGTGAGTGTTACAGTTCTTAAAGACAGTGTGTCTGGAGCTTGTTCCTTCCAATGTTCAGATGTGTTGAGTTTTTTCTTTCTGGTGGGTTCTTGGTCTACACTGGCTTCAGCAGTGAAGCTGCAGAGCTTCGTGGCGTTACAGCTCATAAACGCAGCCCAGACCCAAAGAGTAAGCAGCTGCAAGATTCACTGCAAACAAGGAAAGAACAAAGCTCCCACAATAATGAATACGACCCAAGCGCCTTGCAACTGCTGGCTAAGGCAGCCTGCTTTTATTCGCGTATCAGACCCCACCCACATCCTGCAGATTGGCCCATTTTACAGAGAGCTGATTGGTCCATTTTACAGAGAGCAGATTGGTCCATTTTACAGAGAGCTGATTGGTCCGTTGTGACAGGATGCTGATTGGTGTATTTATAAACTTTGAGCTAGACACAGAGTGCCTCGGGCATGGCGGGCTGCAGGTCCCGAGCTTTGCCCCTTCGGGAGGTGGCTGAGGCCTGGCAAGAATTCAAGCAGCACAGTGCTGGGGGACCCGGTGCACCCTCCGCAGCTGCTGGCCTGGATGCTAAGCCCCTCACTGCCCAGGGCCAGTGGCGCCGCTGGCCAGCCGCTCCGAGTGCGAGGCCCGCAGAACCTGTGCCCACCCGCCCACCCAGAATTCGCGCTGGCCCGCGAGCCCCGAGCGCAGCCCTGGTTCCCGCCTGTGCCTCTCCCTCCACACCTCCTCGCAGGCGGAGGAAGCCGGCTCCAGCCTCGGCCAGCCCAGAGAGGGGCTCCCACAGTGCAGCCGCGGGCTGAAGGGCTCCTCAGTTGCAGCCAGAGTGGACGCCGAGGCCTAGGAGGCCCGGAGGATGAATGAGGGCTGCTAGCACGCTGTCGTCTTTCAATACCAGTAGCAAGTCTGGGCCTCAGGAACTTCTAACTGGCTTCATGTTGGGGTTCCCACAACCCCATCTTTGAGTGCAATTACTTTGCTGAAGCAGCTCACAGAACTCAGGGAAACATTTACTTATGTTTACTGATTTATTACTGTAAATAAAAAAATACAATCCTAAGCTCCCCAACTGACTGAACAGCTGAACAGACCCGTTCTGGGACCCAGAGAAACCTGAAAAACTGAATTCCTGACCAAGACTGGAAGAGAGGTCACACTCCCTCCCTTTTAGAGTTTAGGCACAACTGACCAGCATTAACATGAAAATAGGGATATAAGACTTAAAATAATACTGACAGAACAGACTCTTCAGGGCAATAGGATACCAAATTACAACCATACTCTGGTGTAGCATCATGAGACAAATAGCGACCCTAAAGGAAATAAAAATATTTCACCCCAAAATATATTTCTTTGATATATTTTGAAATAGTTCTGTGAAGCCATCTTTTTGTGGGGGAAATTTGCATCTTTAGAGAATCTCCGTTAATGCAGCCAGGCTTCCCTTTCTAGGCCTTTCTGGGACCTATGAGAGATTAAATTAGAACCTGACACGTTTAAGTTCTGAAAGGAGATTTACCATCTAGTCTTTCTGAAAGGGGCTACCTATGAGGCTTCATTGATATAACAAGAAGTTTGGGCCTGGCGCGGTGGCTCACGCCTGTAATCCCAGCACTTTGGGAGGCCAAGGTGGGAGGATCACCTAACATCAGGAGTTCGAGACCAGCCTGGCCAACATGGCGAAACCACATCTCTACTAAAAATACAAAAATTAGCTGGGTGTGGTGGCACGTGCTTGTAATCCCAACTGAACAGGATGCTGAGGCAGGAGAATGGCGTGAACCCAGGAGGTGGAGGTTGCAGTGAGCCAAGAGCATGCCACTGCACTCCAGTCTGGGCAACAGAGTGAGACTCCATATTAAAAAAAAAACAAAAACTTTGGCCTCCACAATCCCCCTTATCTGAACTCAGTCATTTCCTTCTGCTAACTTCAGGTCTTTAGACAAAGCTTTAATTCTTTCAACCAACTGCCAATCAGAAAAATCTTTGAATCCACCTAATGAAAGGTGAAGCTGGCTGGACTTTCTGGGTCCAGTGGAGACTTGGAGAACTTTTCTGTCTTACAAGAGGATTGTAAAATGCACCAATCAGCACTCTGTAGCTAGGATTGTAAAACGCACATATCAGTGTTCTGTGGCTAGCTAGAGGTTTGTAAAATGCACCAATCAGTATACTGCAAAATGTGCCAATCAGCACACTGTAATATGGACCAATCAGTGCTCTGTAAAATGGACCAATCAGTTCTCTGCAAAATGGACCAATCAGCAGGACATGGGCGGGGACAAATAAGGGAATAAAACTTGAACACCCCCCCGCCTCCCACAACCTCCCTTTCTCTGCCCCAGCAGGAGCAACCTGTTTGGGTTGCCTTGTGTGCCATGGAAACTTAGTTCTTTTTCTCTTCACAATAAATCTTGCTGCTGCTCACGCTTGGTCTGTGCTACCTTTAAGAGCTGTAACACTCACCACCAAGATCCGTGGCTTCATTTTTGAAGTCAGCGAGACCAAGAACCCACCAGAAGGAGCCAATTCTGGACACACTGACCTGTAAGCTCATCTGTCCTTCAGGACGTCCCACCTCTTTCAGCTGAACCAATGTACACCTTCCGTGCATTGATTTATGATTTTACCTACAATTCCTCTCCCTAAAATGTATAAATCATCACTAACCTGACCACCTTGGGTACACTTCCTCACTTTCCACAGGCCCTGGGGAACAATCATAATGGCTAAGGACAAACCTCTTTAAACTACTTTATGGAGTCTGGTTTTCCAGTAACATTATAAAGGCTATTACAAAAGATACCACTGAAGATGAGAGGTGAAGCCAGCTGGACTTCCTAGATCGACTGGGGACTTGGAGAACTTTTCCATCTAGCTGGAGGATT
Organism: Homo sapiens; assembly: GCF_000001405.40. Lineage (NCBI taxonomy): Eukaryota > Metazoa > Chordata > Mammalia > Primates > Hominidae > Homo > Homo sapiens. The sequence continues at coordinate 34,439,558 of NC_000006.12, forward strand.
GTAAATGCACTAATCAGTGCTCTGTGTCTAGCTAGAGAATTGTAAATGCACCAATCAGCACTCTGTGAAAACACACCAATCAGTGCTCTGTGTCTAGCTAAAGGATTGTAAATGCACCAATCAGCACTCTGTGTCTAAAGGATTGTAAACACACCAATCAGCACTCTGTAAAATGGACCAATAACTCTGTAAAATGGACCAATGAGCAGGACATGGGTGGGGACAAAGAAGGAAAGAAAAGCTACGCCACCCCCCCCCAGCCTCTGCCAGCCCTGCTTCCGCCTGCACCCCCCCCCCCCCCCCCCCGCCCAGCAGCGGCGACCTGCTTGGGTCCCCTTCCACACTGTCACACTGTGGAAGCTTTGTTCTTTTGCTCTTCACAATGAATCTTGCTGCTGCTCACTCTGGGTCCATGCCACCTGTAAAAGTTGTAACACTCACTGCGAAGGTCCGCAGCTTCATTCTTGAAGTCAGCAAGACCAAGAACCCACCAGAAGAAACCAACTCCAGACACAGATGCATAGGGCGAGGTATTGGGGGAAGGTGCACAGAGCTTCTAGGCCCTCCCCAGGTGCAGCACCTTCCAGGAATCTTTACGTGTTCAGCTACCCAGAAGCTCTCTGAACCCTGTCCTCTTGGGTTTTTATAGACAACCTTGTTGAAATGAAGGCCTCCAGGGCATAGGGCGGACCCTCTCTGCAATGAGAGTCCTAAATCCTACAGTCAGAAAGGTGGAGGAAGATTAGAGTTCTGCCTTGGGGCAGGTGAAAGAAGGCAGGAGAAAATCAAAGAGATTCTGTTTCTTAAGGCCTGCTTCTGAGGCCTACAGCACCCAGCATTATTTTTTTTATATACATATATTTTTTGAGATGGAGTCTCACTCTGTCACCCAGGCTGGAGTGCAGTGGCGCAATCTCAGCTCACTGCAACCTCCACCTCCTGGGTTCAAGCAATTCTCTGCCTCAGCCTCCCGAGTAGCTGGGATTACAGATGCCTGCCACCACACCTGGCTAATTTTTGTATTTTTAGTAGAGATGGGGTTTCACCATGTTGGCCAGGCTGTTCTTGAACTCCTGACATCATGATCCATCCGCCTCAGCCTCCCAAAGTGCTGGGATTACAGGCGTGAGCCACCGCGCCTGGCCTACAGCACCCATCGTTATAACAGAAGACTGTAACAAGGGCTGTGGGAGTTACAAACCCAGAACCATGGAGGAAGCCAATGCATATTAACATATATATGTAAAATGACACCACACTGTGCCATTGTACATTCTCACCAGCAATATATAAGAGCTCCAGGGCTCGGTGGCTCATACCTGTAATCCAGCACTTTGGGAGGCCGAGGCAGGAGGATCACCTGAGGTCAAGAGATCAAGACCAGCCTGGCCAACATAGTGAAACCCCGTCTCTACTAAAAATACAAAATTAGCCTAGAGTGGTGGCACGCACCTGTAATCCCAGGTACTCAGGAGGCTGAGGCAGGAGAATTACTTGAACCTGGGAGGTGGAGACTGCAGTAAGCTGAGATCGCACCACTGCACTCCAGCCAGGGCGACAGAGCAAGACTCTGTCTCAAAATAAATAAATAAATAAATAAATAAATAAATAAATAAAGGCCGAGTGCAGTGGCTCACGCCTGTAATCCCCGTACTTTGGGAGGCCAAGGTGGGCGGATCACAAGGTCAGGAAATCCAGACCATCCTGACTAACATGGTGAAACCCCTGTCTCTACTAAAAATACAAAAAAAAAAAAAAATTAGCCGGGCGTGGAGGCGGGCGCCTGTAGTCCCAGCTACTTGGGAAGCTGATGCAGGAGAATGGCGTGAACCCAGGAGGCAGAGCTTGCAGTGAACCGAGATTGCACCACTGCACTCCAGCCTGGGCGACAGAGCGAGACTCCATCTCAAAAATAAAATAAAATAAAAAACAAATAAATAAAAATAAAATAAAACAAAATGTACCATCTTAATCATGTTTAAGTCTTTCTCTCTCTCTCTCTCTCTTTCTTTCTCTCTCTCTCCCTCTCTCCCTCTCCCTCTCTTCCTCTCTTCCTCTCATTCTATTTCCTGAGACAGGGGCTCACTTTGTCACCCATGATGGAGTGCAGTGGCATGAACACAGCTCACTGCAGCCTCGACCTCCTGGGGTCAAGCAAACTTCCTGTCTCAACCCGCCAAGTGGCTGGGTCTACAGGTGCATACCACCACACTCTGCTATTTTTGTATTTTTTGTAGAGAAAGGGTTTTACCACGTTGCCCAGGCTGGTTTTGAACTCCTGGGCTCAAGCAATCCAACCACCTCGGCCTCCCAAAGTGTTGGGATTACAGGTGTGAGCCACTGCGCCCAGCCTACTCTTCAGTCTTTTGTCCATTTTAAAAACTGGGCCATTTGTCTTTTTGTTGAGTGTAGGAGTTATTTATATAATCTGGATATCCGTTCTTTTTTCAGATATATGTATTATGAATATTTTCTGCTACTTTGTGGCTTTTCATCTTCTTGACAGTGTCTTTTGAAGACCAGGGTTTTACATTTTGATCAAGCCTAATTTATTATTATTATTATTAATTTAGTAGATGGAGTCTCACTCTGTCACCCAGGCTGGAGTGCAATGGTGTGATCTTGGCTCACTGCAACCTCCACCTCCCGGGTTCAAGCGATTCTCCTGCCTCAGCCTCCTGAGTAGCTGGGATTACAGGCGTGCACCACCATGCCTGGCTAATTTTTATATTTTTAGTACAGATGGGCTTTTACCGTGTTGGTCAGGCTGGTCTCGAACTCCTGACCTTGTGATCTGCCCACCTTGACCTCCCAAAGTGCTGGGATTACAGGCATGAGCCACCGCGCCTCGCCAAATTTACTATTTTTTATTATTATAATTTTGTTTTTTTTGAGATAGGGTCTCACTCTGTTGCCCAGGCAGGAGTGCAGTGGCAAAATCACAGCTCACTGCAGCCTCAAATTCCCAGGGCTCAAGTGATCCTCCCACCTCGGCCTCCTGCCATTGCACTCCAGCTGGGCAATAAGAGCAAAACTCTGTCTCAAACAAAGAAAAAAAAAAAAGGGATACCTAGTTTTTCCAGCATCATTTGTTGAAAAGACATTGAATTACCACATCGAGTTAGCTTGGCACTTTTGTTGAAAATCAATACACCACAGACCATGAATTTGTGAATCTACTTCTTGGACTCCCTTTTCTGTTCCATTGATTTACGGGTCTATCCTTACACGAATAGCACCGTTTCTTTTTTTCTTTTCTTTTTTTTTTTTTTTGAGATGGAGTTTTGCTCTTGTTGCCCAGGCTGGAATGCAATGGTGTGATCTCTGCTCACTGCAACCTCCGCCTCCTGGGTTCAAGCTATTTTTGGCCTCAGCCTCCTGAGTAGCTGGGATTACATGCGCATGCCACCACACCCAGCTAATTTCTGTATTTTTAGTAGAGATGGGGTTTCCCCATGTTGGTCAGGCTGGTCCCGAACTCCTGAGCTTGTGATCCACCTGCCTTAGCTTCCCAAAGTGCTGGGATTACAGGTGTGAGCCACCGCGTCTGGTCAAATAGCACAGTTTCTTAACACTAACTTTACAGAAAGTCTTGAAATCAGGTGGTATAAGCCTTCCAACTTTGTTCTTTTTAAGAAATCATGAAATCATTTTGGCTTGCTCAAAACAAAACAAAAACAAACAAAAACCCAAAGCTTGCTAAGTGTCATTAAAAAACAAAGACTTACAATTGAAGGAAACTAATGAGGAATGACAACTAAATGCAAAGTGGGATTCCGGATCACATCCTGGAACCAAAAAGGGACATTAGTAAAAAATTCACGAAATTCAAGTAAGTCCTACAGTTTAATTAATCATATTGTTGGCCAGGAGCAGTGGCTCATGCCTATAATCTCAACACTTTGGGAGGATGAGGGGAGAAGATTGCTAGAGTCCAGGAGTTCAAGACCAGTCTGGGCAACATGGTGAAACCCTGTCTCTTTTAGAAAAAATAGAAAAAACAACTAGCCAGGCACGATGGCCTGTGCCTGTAGTCCCAGCTCCCTGAGAATCTGAGGTGGGAGAATTGCTTGAGCCCACGAGGTTGAGGTTGCAGTGAGCCAAGATCACACCAGTGCACTCCAGCCTGGGCGACAGAGCAACCCCGTCTTGAAAATAAAAATAATATTGAGGCCGGAAGAAGTGGTTCATGCCTGTAATCCTGGCACTTTGGGAAGCTGAGGCAGGAGGATTGCTTGAACCTGGGAATTCGAGACCAGCCTGTACAACATAGTGAGGGCCCATCTCTACAAAAAATATAAAAATTATATGGGCATAGTGGCACATGCCTGTAATCCCAGCTACTCAGGAGGCCGAGATGGGAGGATGGCTTGAGCCTGAGAGGTAGAGGTTGCAATGGGCTGAGATCGTGCCACTGCACTCCAGCCTGGGCGACAGAGCGAGATCCTGTTTCAATAATAATAATAATATTGGCCCGGCACGGTGGCTCACACCTGTAATCCCAGCACTTTGGGAGGCCAAGGCAGGCAGATCATGAGGTCAGGGGTTCAAGGCAAGCCTGGCCAATATGGTGAAACCCCATCTCTACTAAAAATACAAAAATTAGCCTGGCATGGTGGCACATGTCTGTAATTCCAGCTACTCGGGAGGCTGAGGCAGGAGAATCACTTGAACTCGGGAGATGTAGGTTGCAGCGAGCTGAGATCACACCACCACACTCTAGCCTGGGTGACAGAGCAAGACTCTGTCTCAAATAATAATAATAATAATAACGTACTAATATTAACTTCCTATTTTTGGTTATATAAGATACTAGATACTAATACTAAGCAAGCAGGTTGAAAGATATAAGGAAACTCTACTATGCTTGCAACTTTTCTCTAACTTAAAAACTAGCTCAGGCTGGGCACAGTGGCTCACACCTGTAATCCCAGCACTTTGGGAGGCCAAGGCGGTGGATCACCTGAGGTCAGGAGTTGGAGACAGCCTGGTTAACAGTCTCTACTGAAAATACAAAAAGTGTCTGGGTGTGGGGTACATGCCTGTAATCCCAGCTGCTCAGGAAGCTGAGACAGGAGAATCACTTGAACCTGGGAGGCAGAGGTTGCAGTGAGCCGAGATCGCACCATTGCACTCCAACCTGGGCAACAGAGAGAGACTCTGTTTCAAAACAAACAAACAAACAAAAAAACAAAAAGTCATTCAAATAAAGTTTTCGAAATTCACAAGGCCGAGCATGCCTGTAAACCCAGCACTTTGTGGGGCCTGCGTGGAAGGATCTCTTGAGCCCAGGAGTTGGAGACCAGCCTGGGCAAAAGAGCGAGACCCTGTCTGAATTAAAAAAAAAAACAGGCCGGGCGCGGTGGCTCACGCCTGTAATCCCAGCACTTTGGGAGGCCGAGGCGGGCGGATCACGAGGTCAGGAGATCGAGACCATCCTGGCTAACACGGTGAAACCCCGTCTCTACTAAAAATACAAAAAATTAGCCGGGCGTGGTAGCGGGCGCCTGTAGTCCCAGCTACTCGGGAGGCTGAGGCAGGAGAATGGCGTGAACCCGGGAGGCGGAGCTTGCAGTGAGCCGAGATCGCGCCACTGCACTCCAGCCTGGGCGACAGAGCGAGACTCCGTCTCAAAAAACAAACAAACAAACAAACAAACAAAAAAACAAACCACAATTGTCATCTCAAAGCTTCCGTGGGTCAAAAAGCTGTGGCACAGCTTAGCTAGGTCCTCTGCTCAGGAACTTACAGGCTGAAATTAACCTGTTATCTGGGTTGCATTCTCATCTACAGGTTTCACGAGGGGAAGAATCCACTTCCAAACCCATTCAGGTTGTTGACAGAATGAATTTCCTTGTGGTTGGATGACTGATGACAGCCAGATGTTTGCTGGCTGTTGGTTGGAGGCTACCCTCAGGTCCCAGAATCCTAGAAGCCACCCACTGTTCCCTGCTGCATGGCCCTCCCCATAAGCTGGTCATGGCATGGCTGTTTGCTTCTTCAAGACTAGCAGGAGCTTCTCTCCCCACAGTCGGTTAAGGTGAAATCTATAAAAAAAGGTGAGCACGTGAGTCACATCCCATCACATATGCCCTACTCTGTGAGCCAGGAGCAACTCACAGTTCCTGCCCACACTCAAGAGGAAGGGATTACACAAGGGCAGGATCCACTGGGGGTCAGTTAGGGTGTGTTGGTCACACTCTTCATTCCCTCCATTCTTTACAACAGATTTGTCAAAGTACCTGGGCTGTATAACCTGTAGAGTTTCCTATAGTCTGGATTTTGCTAATTGTACACTCCCGGTGCAATTCAGCATGTTCCTCTGTTCTCTGCATTTCTGGTGAATTGGCAGCTGGACACAGAGATCTGATCAGGCTCAGGTTGGATCCTGTTAGCAACATTTTAGGTGGTGGTGTGTGGTCTTCACGCAGGAGGCACATAGCATCTGTCTTTTGGTGATGTTAGTGGCTATTGAGACTTAATGCCTACATTAATTAATTAACTAGGGGCAGCAAAATTATGGTATTCTAATTCTATTCTTTCTTTTTCTTTTATTCATTTTATTTATTTATTTATTTATTTATTTTGAGATGGAGTCTCGCTCTGTCACCCAGGCTGGAGTGCAGTGGAGTGATCTTGGCTCACTGCAACCTCTGCCTCCCGGGTACAAGCAATTCTCCTGTCTCAGCCTCGTGAGTAGCAGGGACTACAGGTGCCCTCCCAAGTAGCTGACACTAGAGGTGCACACCACCACGCCTGGCTAAATTGTGTATTTTTAGTAGAGATGGGGTTTCATCATATTGGTCAGGCTGGTCTCGAACTCCTGACCTCAGGTGATCCACCCGCCTCGGCCTCCCAAAATGCTGGGATTACAGGTATGAGCCTCTGTGCCCAGCCTGTAATATTTTTATAAGATGATGCTTTCCTTCATCTATTATTTAAGTCTAGTTCATATAGGGAAGGAAGGATAAATGTTTGATTCACTTATTTACCAGTTTTCAAGATAAATATATTGGTGACCAGTTGTTTTTTAACAGCATTGTGAACCCATGGATTTAAACCTCTTTGATTGATTTGAACTCATTGCAATTCTTGTCCTTATTAAAGCTCACATGGTCTAATGGGAGCCTCTTCAAACTGGCTTCTGAGTCTTTTTGACATTATCCTATTAGTCTTTGAGAGCTGCCTTGCAAGCTGGTATGTAAAGGTGATCCTGCTCTAGACTTGAAGCAAAGCATTTTGCCAAGAAGCCCTGATTGTTTTTTTTTCTTAAGAGATGGGATCTTGCTCTGTTGCCCAGGCTTTAGGACATTATAGCTCACTGCAAACTTGAACTCCTGGCTTCAAGCAATCCTCTCACCTGGGCCTCCCAAAGTGCTGGGATTACAGGCGTGCCACTGTGCCCAGCCCCCAGTTGAAACAATATTTCAAGACTACAATCCAGGCTCTGAGGATGCTACTGTCATTGGGTTAGCCTTTTTGGTGGACAAAAGTAGGAAATATAGGCTAGGCGCGGTGGCTCATGCCTGTAATCTCAGCACTTTGGGAGGCCAAGGTGGGAGGATCACCTCAAGTCAGGAGTTAGAGACCAGCCTAGTCAACATGGAGAAACCCGTCTCTACGAAAAAAATACAAAAATTAGTGGGGCGTGATGGCGTGCACCTGTAGTCCCAGCTACTTGGGAGACTGAGGCAGGAGAATCACTTGAACCCCGGGGGGGCAGAGGTTGCAGTGAGCTAAGATCGCACTGTCGCACTCCAGCCTGGGCGACTCTGTTTCAAAAAAAAAAAAAGTAGGAAATATATATGATGTAATTATTTGGGAGCTCATCTGATATGAGGAAGAAGAGGGAGAGGTTGAAACCGAGAGGCAATAAATAACTGACACATCCACTGTTTTCTGGCCTTTCTGGCCTGCGTTTCTATGGTCCCCGTTCTGCTACTTAATTTTATTCCATGGCCAGCGGTTTCTGCCGGGTCCTGTCTGCACAGAACAGGGAGCCCTGGAGGGTCTGTTTCAGGATGTAGAGAAGCTTGATCAACCCCATATGCTGCCTCAGCCCCTCCAAGCTGCCTGCGCTTGGCTGCACCCAGTTTCAGCTGCTCTTCTCAAACTCGCTGCCCAGCTTTCTCCTGAATGTCTGCTGCCTATTTTAGGATCCTCCTGTTTTCAGGTCCACCTGATGCTACCCTGGTTGCCTCCCTCTCCTTCCTCCCCCACAAGTCTTGTGACTGTCAGTGTTTTGTCCTCATTCACTCATATTTTAGGCTTTGCGGACATAGCTTGTCACCAGTTGTGTTATAAACCTTGTCCAGTGGTTTCTGGAGATGGCTAGGCTCATTCACTCAGCTGGTCATTGGGTTAGGCTGGAAGGGCCACAAAAACTTCACTCAGCTTTCCCTGTCATGCAGTAATCTGAGCTTTTTAAAAGCATGGCGGTGGCTTTCCCTGAAAGCACAAAAGCAGAAGCTTCTAGGTTTCCTAAAAGTCAGGCGGTCACTCCCACTGCCTTCTGGTACTGAGAGCAAGTGGCAAGACCAGCCCAGAGTCAAGGGCAGGGACACAGACTCCGCCTCCCAGTGGGAGGAGCCGCAGGTGCACATAGGCAGAAAGGGGTGTATAGTGTCATCTTCAGAGATGCCAGCTCAGCCTTGTCTGACCCAGAGCCCAAGCAGGTGCCATCCCTTAGGAAGCTTGCTGCAGGCCAAATGAATACTATACCTTAGCTGTTGCTAAGGGGTGGGGCGAGGGAGGGAAAGGATTCCTGGTGTGTCCACTACGGGATTCCACGTAGGTATGGAGTTTCCACCTGGGGCTATAGGGAGCACAGGGGTTGGCACAGGACTGGCAATGTGGAAAGGAATTAACTCCCATCTTTCCTCTCCACCCTTGTCTCTTGCAGGCTCTCCCAGGGCTGGCAGGGCATACGGCCCTATCGGTGGTAAGTCAAGCCGGGAGCCCTGCCAGGGAGGGCCAGATGGAGAAGGAGGAAAGCACAACTCAGCCCTGTGGCCGGCACCATAAATAATGCTCCTGGGTGTGGGTGGCAGCTCTGCAGACCCATTTGATCAGCATGGAGTGTCAGGGCCTCAGCCCTCCCTGTCTCTGGCCTGAAAGTCTTTTTTTTTTTTTTTTTTTTGAGACGGAGTCTCGCTCTGTCGCCCAGGCTGGAGTGCAGTGGCGGGATCTCAGCTCACTGCAAGCTCCGCCTCCCGGGTTCATGCCATTCTCCTGCCTCAGCCTCCCAAGTAGCTGGGACTACAGGCGCCTGCCACTACGCCTGGCTAATTTTTTGTATTTTTAGTAGAGACGGGGTTTCACCGTTTTAGCCGGGATGGTCTCGATCTCCTGACCTCGTGATCCGCCCGCCTCGGCCTCCCAAAGTGCTGGGATTACAGGCGTGAGCCACCGCGCCCGGCCTGGCCTGAAAGTCTTAATCTGCTTGGCATAATGGCTCCCTGCAGCCTGCGGTGGGAAGGCAGATAATGTGACGTATCAAGGCCACTCCAAAAGCCATTCTTTTATTCCCTCCTGGCTGGGGGGAGGTGCATGGGTGCATGTGGGGAAGAGCCATCGCCTGGGGACTTGACATTCTGATGGACCGAAGGGCAGGCATTTTCCTCTCTGATGCCTCAGCTCTTTTTCTGGGGCTGGCTAGGAGCACTGGCAAGGCTGATGCCATATGGCGGTTCCACTTCCTCAGCCATGGAACTGGATCTTTGCAAATTGGAGAGCAGGCGCTGAGCCTCACTCCTGCTGTCTTCTGTGCCTGACTGTCTCCCTTCAAGGTGGAGATTTGACTTTCTGCCTCAGGTCAAATTCCACAGGCTGTCCCTTTTATCCTTAGGAAGCAGAAACAGGGAGTTGCACCTGCCAGAACTCCCCAGATATTTTTGCTGTCAGGCTCCCAGTGAGCCAGAGCGGATCAGAGGGCGCAAAGATGAGAGAGGATGAGGGAGGAAGTCAAGAGCTCTGTGCTGCTGGCATCTTGTAGTCCCCGTTCTCCCTGTATTCGGTGTCACTGCATTTTTTTGAACAGGAAAACATTTTAGAGCTCTGATTGTCAAAGTGTAGCCTGGGTCCCATCTGAGAATCACCTGGGGGAAGCTTTAAAAAATGGCAGGTTCCTGGGCTTCTCCAAGACCTGATAAATCCTAATCCCTAGAGAAGAGGCGTGCTGGAAGCTGCATTTTAAACAAGCCCTCTGGCGATTCCTTAACCTTTCTTGTCTTTGATGGCATTAAGAAAATGAGCTCCAAAACCAAACTGCCTAGCACGCAAACCAGCCTAGAAAAGCAACTAGTGTGGCCGGGTGGCTCATGCCTATAATCCCAGCCCTTTGGGAGGCCGAGGCAGGAGGATTGCTCAAGTCCAGGAGTTTGAGCCAAACCTGGGCAACATACAGAGGTCCCTGTCTCCATTAAAAAAAATAATAAATAGGCCAAGCGCAGCGGCTCATGCCTGTAATCCCAGCACTTTGGGAGGCTGGGGCGGGCAGATCACCTGAGACTGGGAGTTTGAGACCAGCCTGACCAACATGGAGAAACCCCATCTCTACTAAAAATACAAAATTGGCTGGGCGTGGTGGCGCAAGCCTGGAATCCCAGCTACTCGGGAGGCTGAGGCAGGAGAATTGCTTGAATCCGGCAGGCAGAGGTTGTGGTGAGCCAAGATCATGCCATTGTACTCCAGCCTGAGCAACAATAGCGAAACTCCATCTCAAAATAATAATAATAATAATAATAATAATAATAATAAATAGGCCAGGCGCAGTGGCTCACGCCTGTAATTCCAACACTTTGAGAGGCCAAGACGGGCAGATCACCTGAGGTCAGGAGTTCAAGACCAGCCTGGCCTACATGGTGAAACCCCGTCTCTACTAAAAATACAAAATTAGCTGGGCATGGTGGTGCACACCTGTAATCCCAGCTACTCAGGAGGCTGAGGCAGGAGAATCACTTGAACCCAGGAGGCGGAGTTCGTAATGAGCCTCGATGGTGCCATTGCACTCCAGCCTGTGCGACAAGAGCAAAACTTCGTCTCAAGAACAAAACAAAAAAATTAATTAATTAATTAATAAGTTTTATATATATTTTAAAAAGAAAAGCAACTTGTTCTTTCTGTGTGTCAATTTTCTCATCTACACAATGGGGATGATAACAGCACTTACCCACAGTGTAGTAAGGGTTAAATGTAGATAACAATCATATATTATCATTATAATGATCAAGCACTTTGTTTTGTCCAAAGGCGGAAGGAGGAGGCCAGGAGAGGGGCTGTGCCCATCTAAGTTCTCTCATCAATGTGGTGCCAGAGTCAGAGGAGGGTCCAGACCCAGGTCAGGTGCCCAGCTCACCTGCCATGTATGCTGTCCTGGGCCTCAGTCCCTCAGAGCCCAGCCTGGACTGGGTGGTGACAATGACAAACTGCAGAAAGACACAAACTGAACTCACTTGCCTTTCCCCAGGATGTTTCCAAAGTAACCCTGCATTAGCCCATTTCCCTGGCAGACAGAGCAAGGGCTTACTTTAGGAAAGTCGGGGACACTGGCAGTGGGGCTGGAGGTGCTGTGGGTATGTTGCCTGATGTCCTGGCTACTAGGGATGGTGTCAGCAGCATGGGATGGCACTGGTACAGAAGTATATGGAGCACAGCCTTCTGGGAGGCTCCCTGGTCCTGTGGAATAACTGTACAAACAAATGCAACCTAAGGAAAGTTTAGCATAACACTAAGAACAATAACAGAACAGGTTGCCTGTGTATTATATGCCAGCTCTGTTATGGTTATAATCCCATTTTACAGATGGTGAAACTGAGACACAAAGAATTTAACCAATTCACACCAAGCCATAAAGCTGGTAAAGTGCAATAAGCCTGGGCGGCATCCTGAGGCCTGGGTTTGGTTCCATCTTTACCTTGAGTAGGGGTGCAGTGAGGTCTATTGGAATGGCCTGTGTCCAAACCCCAGCTATGTTACTCACCACCTGTGTGACCTTGGGAAAGCCACTTAGCTTCCCTGAGCCTTGGTTTCTCCATCTGTTAGATGGAAATAACCATTACCTTGCAAGGCTGATGCAAGAGTTAGAGTCTAGCAGGGTGTATTAATTTCCTACTGCTGCTACAATAATTACCACAAATTTAGTGGCTAGAAACAGCATACATTCGTTCTCCTACAGTTCTGGAGGACAGACATCCAAAATAAGTCCTACAGGGCTAAAATCAAGGCGTCAGCAGGGCTGGCTCCTTCTGACAGCTCCAGGGAAGAATCTGTTCTTTGCACTTTCTGGCTTCTACAGGCCTCTTGCATTCCTTGGGCACAGGCCACATCACTCCAATCTCTGCTTCTGTTGTCACATTGCCATACTCTCTTCTGTACTCAATCTCCCCCTGCACCCTTTATGAGGACACTTGTGATTACACTTGTGATTACACTACCCCGATAATCTGGGATAATCCCCATATCAAAATCCTTCACTTAATCACGTATGGAAAAATTTTTTACCATGCAACATAACATATTCACAGGTTCTGGGGATTCGGACATGAACATCTTTGGGGGTCACCATCTGGCCCACTGCACAGGAACTAACAAAAAGGAAGGTGAAACGGGTGGTCATTTTATATTCTAGCCTCAGGTCACTGCCAACTAGTATTGATTCTGGGCAAGGCATTTTACTTCCCTGAGTCTTGGCATCCTCCTCTGTAAAGTAGGGGCAATGATAGAGGCTGTCAAATGAGGGAACTGCAATCAGAGGTGAAGATGGCCGATGGATATTTTTTGCATGAGTTTGGGGAATGATGCTTAGACTCTGAGGTCCCTGTGCTTCTTAGTATATCCCCCTGGATGGAGGAGGGGAGGCCTCGGGAGGGAGGCTCACTCCACAGCATGGAGGAATGGGGTGGGAACAGGGTGAATCAGAGGCCCCACTTCTGGAGGTGCATCTGGAGTGGTGGACACTGTCATTGCAAGCCTGCTCCTGGTGCTTGTGATGGGAGCACAGTCAAGCACAGTGGGGTCTGATGGGTCTGGGAACTTAGCCACAGCACACCTCTGGTCTGGCTTGTTTTTTTTGTTGTTGTTTTGTCTTTTTTAGATGGAGTCTTGCTCTGTTGCCCAGGCTGGAGTGCAGTGGTGTGATCTCGGTTCACTGCAACCTCCGCCCCCTGGGTCCAAGCGATTCTCCTGCCTCAGCTTCCTGAATAGCTGGGACTACAGGCATGTGCCACCACGCCGTCTAATTTTTTGTATTTTTAGTAGAGACAGGGTTTCACCCTCTTAGCCAGAATGGTCTCTATCTCCTGAGCTCATGATCCGCCCGCCTGGGCCTCCCAAAGTGCTGGGATTACAGGCGTGAGCCACAGCACCCAGCCGCACTTCCTGATTTCAAAACTACAGGACCAGGTGTGGTGACTAGCTCATGTAATTCCAGCACTTTGGGAGGCTGAGGCAGGAGGATCACTTGAGCCCAGGAGTTTGAGACCAGCCTGGGCAACAAAGGGAGATCCTGTATCTGCAAAAATAAAAAATAAAAAAATTAGCCAGGCATGGTGGCAGGCTCCTGTGGTCCCATCTATTAGGGAGGCTGAGGTGGGAGGATTTCTTGAGCCCAGGAAATCAAGGCTGCAGTGAGCCGTGATTAGTGCCACTGCAGTCCAGCCAAGGCGACAAAGGAAACTCCATCTCAAAAATAAATAAATAAATAAAAATTAATTAAATTAAAATGCATACAATTCTCCAGGACGGTGGCTTACGCTTGTAATCCCAGTGCTTTGGGGGACCAATGGGGAGGACTTCTTGAGGCCACAAGCTTGAGACCAGCCTGGGCAACACAGGGAGACCCCGTCTCTACCAAAACTAGGGAAAAATTAGCTGGGCGTAGTGGCACACACCTGTAGTTCCAGCTACTCAGAAGGCTGAGGTAGGAGGATTGCTTGAGCCAGGGATGTTGAGGCTGAAGCGAGCCACGATGGCGCCACTGCCCTCCAGCTTGGGTGATTGAGTGAGGCCCTGTTTCAAAAAAAAAAAGTGTACGATTCAGTAGCATTTATTACACTCATCATGTTGTGCAAAAATCACCACTACCTAATTCCAGAATATTTCTATCCCCCCAAAAGGAACCCCATATTCACAGTCACTTCCCGTTCACCCCTCCCCTCAGCCCTTGGCAATTATGAATCCACTTTCTGTCTCTATGGATTTGCCTATTGACCCCATTTAAAAATATATAATTTTAATCAGATTTATTTTCATTATCAATTTTCATTGAGAAAATATTTTCTGGAGTGAATAGTATTAAACAAGATCATTCCTTAAGTAATTTTCTATAGCATGCAGTAACTTTTTTCCATTTTGATTTTTACCTTGCTGAGATTATTATCACTGGGATCAATTCTTTTCTAACAAATTTTAAAATCCCATGTGACTTATTGACTTTTTGGGGGGCCTGAGGGGAGAGTATACAGCAAGTTTCATTGTTTAAATTTCCTCTAACTGTGAGTATTTTTTGTGGCTATTATTTTTACCAGGTATCATTTCTCTAATCAAATTTTGCAGATTCAAATTTGAGATGTTTTAATTCTTTCTTCTGGACATTTTCAATTTTAATGTTTTTATTTATTTATTTATTTATTTGAGACAGAGTCTCGTGCTGTCATTCAGGCCGGAGTGCAGTGGTGCTACTTCGGCTCACTGCAACCTCCACCTCCCAGGTTCAAGCGATTCTTGTCCCTCAGCTTCCCAAGTAGCTCAAACTAGAAGTGTGTGCCACCACACACTGCTAATGTTTTGTATTTTAGTAAGACGAGGGTTCACCATATTGCCCAGGCTAGTCTTGAATTCCTGAGCTCAGAGGCAATCCACCTGCCTTGGCTTCCCAAAGTGCTGGGGTTATAGGCGTGAGCCACCGCTCCCGGCTCTTCCGGTCATTTTTATGTTGTATTGATGATTTCTTGGGAGCATTCACTGACTTCCCTCTAAAGAATATCTCCTATTATTCTCTAGCTCTCCAAACCCCTGTTATGCTTTGTAGCATTTATCACCAGCTGATGTTATTTTATATTTATTTGTTTATCTGCTTATCATCTTTCTTTCCTCCCAGTCTGTGAGCCCCATGAGGGCAGGGATTTTGTCTGTCTTGTTCATAGCCATATTCCCAGCACTTAGAACAGTGCCTGGGACACAGTGGGCTCTCAGTACATGAAAAGAATGTACTGAATTGAATGACTTGAATAGAACACTGATGGTCTGAATTTGTCCCTTGGTTGGTCCATGGGTAAAATCACGAGGAAACTTCTTAGACACACAGAGAGAAACAATGCCAGACAGAGAAGGGTCCAGGGCCCAAATGATGGGGCCAAGCCATCCTACTGCACACTGAGGATGAGGCAAGTTCCTAGGAGTTCCAGTTTTGCTGGGGAGACACAGGTAGCCAGCAGAGCAGCCTCAGCTTTTGTATTTGATTTACTGATGCTACAAAATGGTGACTTATGGCTTAAGGGCAGCAGAGAACATTGTCAGTACGACCAGAAATGGTGTTAATGGCGCTACACAGACCATCAGGGCAAAAGGAGAGACCAAAACAGACAAGGAGGCGGAGCTTTGACAACATTTGAGCCAGCACCTTACAATAGCTGTTGTTGCTGGAGGCCGACACTGAACAGCCTGGCTGGGGTCTCTGCTTTCTCTCCCACCATTTTGCCCAGTTGAACACCATTAACCAACAGAACCACAGCCAAGACCTGGGACCCACAATGAGTGATCTCATTTTTAAAAAAATTTAGGTGGCCGGGTGCGGTGGCTCATACCTGTAATCCCAGCACTTTGGGAGGCCGAGGCGGGTGGATTACGATGTTAGGAGATCGAGACCATCCTGGCCAACATGGTGAAACCCCATCTCTACTAAAAATACAAAAATTAGCTAGGTATGGTGGCGTGTGCCTGTAGTCCCAGCTACTCAGGAGGCTGAGGCAGGATAATCGCTTGAACCTGGGAGGCGGAGGTTGCAATGAGCCGAGGTCGTGCCACTGCACTCCAGCCTGGGTGATAGAGTGAGAGTCTGTCTCAAAAAAAAAAAAAAAAAATTAGGGACAAGATCTCATTATGTTACCCAGGCTGGTCTCGAACTCCTGGGCTCAAGTGATCCTCCCACCTCGGCCTCCTGAGTAACTGAGATTACGTGTGCGAGCCACCATGCCCAGTAAGTCACTTCACTTTAAAGCCTCCATTTGGGCTGTCCCTTGCTGCGTAACAAACCACCCTAAAGTTTAGTGGCATCAAACAACAATGTATGAGTATCTCTCCTGATTCTGTGGGTTGACCCAGCTCAGCTGGGTGGAGTCTCTTGTGTTTTTGCAGTTAGGTTACTGCTGGGGCTGGAGTCTCTGAAGGCCTGATGGGGCTGGAAGTCTAGGACAGCCCTCTCTCTGTCACAGCTGCTGGTTGGTGGTGGCTGTCAGAGGGCTGCTGAAAGGAGTATCCACATGAGGCAGGAAGCAGAAACTGCCAGCTGGTTAAGGGCTAGGCTGGGAACCAGCACAACATCACTCTGCCATCTTCTGTTGGTCAAAGTAGTCACAGCACCCTACTTGAAAGGGATGGAGAACAGACCCTCCTCTTTTTTTTTTTTTTTTTTTGAGACGGAGTCTCACTGTGTTGCCCAGGCTGGAGTGCAGTGGCACAATCTTGGCTCACTGAAACCTCCGCCTCCTGGGTTCAAGCGATTCTCTTGCCTCAGCCTCCCAAGTCGCTGGGATTACAGGTGCGTGCCACCACACCCGGCTTATTTTTGTATTCTTAGTAGAGACAGTGTCTTACCATGTTGACCAGCCTGGTCTCCAACTCCTGACCTCAGGTAATCCACCCACCTCGGCCTCCCAAAGTGCTGGGATTATAGGCATGAGTCACCACATCCAGCCCAAAGTGAGTTATTTTTATTTTTATTTAATCAGTTAATGAATTTATTTATTTTTGAGACCGAGTTTCACTCTTGTTGCCCAGGCTGGAGTGCAATGGCATGATCTCAGCTCACTGCAATTCCTTTGCCTCCCGGTTTCAAGCAATTCTCCTGCCTCAGCATCCCGAGGAGCTGGGATTAATTATAGGTGTGTGTCACCACACCCAGCCAATTTTTGTATCTTTAGTAGAGGCAGGGTTTCACCATGTTGGCCAGGCTGGTCTCGAACTCCTGACTTCAGGTTATCTGCCCACCTCGGCCTCCCAAAGTGCTGGGAATTACAGGTCTGAGCCACCATGCCTGTCCCTAGGTGGTCTTCGGGCTTCAGCTCCAACATATCATGCTGCAATCCACCTTCACTGCGTTGGTGAGGAAACCAAGGCTGAGAGGTGATGTCCCATCCCAGGTCACGTGGTGAGTTGGCGGCGGAACAAGAATCAGATGCAGCCCTTGGCTCTAAACTCTGTGATGTATTCCATGTCATCTGGGCTGGGCCCTCCTGGCTCTGAGAAGAGGGGGAGCATGAAAAAGGGACAGAAGGCAGGAGGGCCATGGCATGAGCAGGCTGATCTGCCTGAACTGTGGTTTTCTCCTCCTTGGCCTAATGCTTGGCTGCATGATGAAAGAGGCCCAGCTGGAAAGAAGACCCTGTGCTCCCAGACTGAAAAGCAGCAAAGAGATTGTGGGCTGGAAGGGGTGCTTTGCAGCTGTGAGCCTTGTAGGAGCAGACAGGTGTGATCTCTTTCCTCACCCATCCTAGGGATCATGCCAACACTCTATAACAAAAGGCAGGTTAACAAGACAAAAGCATACCACATTTATTTAATCAAGGTTTTATGTGACATAAAACTTTGTCACATAAAGTCACAAAGCCTTCAGAAATGAAGGGCCAAAGACCCCTGGAAAATGGTCTGTTTTTAAGCTTAGGTTGAAAAATGGACAGCCATGTAGAAATGGGATTGGACAAAGGAGCATGATCTAGTGGTAACAGACTGAAAGGGGAAGCCCAGTGATGACAGTGGCTGCTGCCCTCACACTGGCTGCAGCAGGGAGGTGTGGCTGGGGCTGCACACTCCATGGAGCTGGTGGGGTCCCACCCTTTCTGAGTTGGGGCGGGAGTTCCCTGGGTGACACTGCAGCTGCCCAAACCATGGCTGCAAACCCAGGCCTCCTGCTCTACGGAGCAGGCAGGAGCCCTTGTCCTCCTGGGCAGGGCTACAGTTACCCAAACTGTGGCTGTGGATCCCAGCCTCCCTGTGCTCTTGGAGGGGGTCAGGAGCAGGTAAGATCTGCCCTCCTGGGTGCAGCTGCAGCCCCCTGACCAACAGCTGCAGACCTGGGCCTCCCACTCCATGGAGCAGGCAGGAGCTGGGGACAAGCAGGAGCCCCGCCCCTTCCGAGTTGGTGGGGTGGGAGCTCCAGGGTACAGCTGCAGCTGCTGCCCTCTCAGGCACAGGACCTGGGAGTCTCTGCAGCCTGCACCCTCAGGGGCCCCAGGAAGGCCCCCCCAACCTTGCCCTGTCCCTGCAGGCTCGAAGGTGTCTGCTGCTTCCACTGCCTGGCCTCTCTCCTCTCTCAGCACCTCCTCTGATCTCAGAGCAGGGTTGGGGCTGAGCCCTAGGGCCATGAATGGCAGCAGGAGGCCTGGGCAGAAGGGGGCAGGTTCCTGGTAAGGCCCTACCTTCAGGCTAGGGAGGGCCTGAAGGCTGGAGGCCAGGCTGCCAGTCCCGGCAAACTGGAGTGGGGACTCATGGTGCCTCTTCTGGCCCGCCCATGGCCACCCTTGGACCAATCGGCAGGCGCTTCCTCCCCTCTGAGGTCCATAAAAGCCCTGGGCTCAGCCAGAGCAGGGCAGAGGACAGCCAGAGAACAAAGAGGGTAGAGATATGATGGGACACAACCAGCTGCAGAGAGGAGCTACCCTCTCTACTTACAGCTGGAGACAAGAGGAACTACCCTCTCTGCTGATAGCTGGAGATGACTCGATGACCAGCTGCAGAGAGGCACTCCTCTCTCTGCTGAAAGCTGCCACCCCCTCCAGGGCCTCCTCTCTGCTTAGAACTGAACACTTGACTGAGGGATGCCCTGCCTACAGAGAGGAGCTACCCACTGCGGGTCTCTTCTGAGCTGTTGCAACACTCATCTTCGTCTCGTTCACCCTTCACTTGTCTGTGTACTGCAGGATGAGAACTCGGGCAAAGGCACCGTGTCTGGCCAGAAAATCGACATCCCAAAGATCCTGTAACACCAGCAAGGCCCAGCAAGGCCCAGCAAGGCCCTTCTGTTCAGATTCATCTTGGTCTCTCTGTGTAGCCTTCCTTCCCCCAGGGTCTGGGGCAGGACCTTTCCGCAAGGAGGGTCTTCAGGAAAGAAGGGAGAGAGTGACTTTTCTAGGTTTTACGGCTTGCTTTGGGGGAAAGAGGTTCTAGTTTCTATGTCTCACCTTGGAGAAGAGAAATTCTGGTTTCTATGACTTCCCTCAGGGGAGAAAGAGGGGCGAGAGACAGGAGCTCACGAGAGAAGGGCAAGAGACTTTGTTTCTGAGGCTGCTTTGGAGGCCTTTCCTTTAGTTCAAAGTACTTAACCTGCCAATGTGTCATATTCTGGGGTATCATTTGCTCAGCCCAACGGCCTCATGGCAGTGCCTCTGCTTAACTCTTCTTCTTGGGTGCATTTGCTTTGGACGAAGTAGAAGCTGAAACACAGCCCAGGATTGGAGAGGAACTCAGCCCTAAAATTCTGGAGACCAGAGCTTGAGGCCTAAGCCTGCCATGGACTCACTGGGACCCTTGGGCAGCTCACCCAGCCTCTCTGGGCCTGGGATATGGGAGCTTGACCCAGTGGGACCTCTCCAGTTACAAGATACCGGTTCTGGCCACCAGGCTTGGGTTCAAAGACCAGCTCAATTGATGCCCCTTGGATGAGTCATTTTCTCATTAAAAAAAAAAAAACAAGTAGGAGTCAAAGTAATGTTTGGCATGGTAAAAGTCAAAGGAAACAATGCATGTGGAGGCTCTTGGAAAAATGAAAAATCAATACTTTGTACAGATTCTCCCCTGCCTGCCCCCCACCATTAATTTTGAGGATGACATTACTAATGATGAACTCTGCCCAAGACCACATCTTAAATATAAAAGATGATTATCAGCCAGGCGCAGTGGCTCTCACTTGTAATCCCAGCACTTTGGGAGGCTGAGGCGGGTGGATGGCTTGAGGCCAGGAGTTCGAGACCAGTCTGGTTCACATGGCAAAATCCCGTCTCTACTGAAAATACAAAAATTAGCCGGGCATGGTGGTGCATGCCTGTAGTCCCAGCTACTCGGGAGGGTGAGGTGGGAGGACTGCTTGAGCCTGGAAGGCGAAGGTTGCAACAAGCCATGATTGTGCCACTGCACTCAAGCCTAGGAGACAGAGCAGGACCTCTTTTCAAAAAGAAAAGAAAAGAAAAGAAAGTTAAAATTAACTGGCATCCTAAACAAGCAAACAAAAATTACAAAATCTGTCAAGTGTTGAACCTGCCGGCCAGCCTTCACTTAGGTATTCTGCTTGCGTTTAAGGTACAACGCCACTAGGTGGCAATGGTATCTAGGCCATAGAGGCTTGTTCCAGAGCTGTTACCCCAGGACAATCTCAAGTGTCCTCTCTTTTTATACTTGGAGAGAGGCACCCCTGAAGGACCCAATGAGCCTCAGTTTCCTCAGTTGTAAAATGAGGATAAGAGTACTTACATGAGGGCAAGTAAGTAAACTCCTCCTGTGCATAGTAATGCCTTTAGTAAATATTTGCTTCTTTCCTAGCTGTATGATTAGGAACATGGCTTTTGGAACAAGACAGCCTAGGTTTGAATCCCAGCTCCTACCACCTACCAGTTTTGTGACCTCAGGCAAGTTACCTAAACTCTGTGGGCCTCCATTTTCCTGTCTGTGAAATGGGGCCTGGTAATCAGACCCATCCCTGTAGTTTCCATGTGTAAAGCTTAGAAAGTACCAAGGCTGGGTGCGGTGGCTCATGCCTGTAATCTCAGCACTTTGGGAGACTGAGGTGGGCGGATCACCTGAGGTCGGGAGTTTGAGACCAGCCTGACCAACATGGAGAAACCCCATCTCTACTAAAAATACAAAATTAGCTGGGCGTGGTGGCACATGCCTGTAATCCCAGCTACTTGGGAGGCTGAGGCAGGAGAATCACTTGAACCCAGGGGGCAGAGATTGCGGTGAGCTGAGATCATGCCATTGCACTCCAGCCTGGGCAACAAGAGTGAAACTCTGTCTCAAAAAAAAAAGAAAGTAAGTACCTGGTCCAGGAAAAGTGCTATGTTTGCCACAGTGTCTGTATGTCCTGGGGTGAATAGGCTGGGTCTGGGTCTTAACTCTGGGCACCTTCCAAGACTGAGGGCCTTGTCAAGGTGAGATGTCATCTTCAGGGAGTTTTTAACTTCCCAGGCATGAGTCATGGACTGAGGAAGGCCCAGTTCTGAGGCTCCTGACATGCTGGTTCAGGATTCAGGACACAGCTGGCAACAGCCTCTGTCCACCAGGCAGGTGATGGCACTCAATTTGCAAGTGTGAAGCCAGCTGGTGGGAGGATAAGGCAAGGGCAGAAGGAGCTGTAAGACTGTTTTTAAAGTACTTTTGTGCCTCAGGGGTGTCCTGCTCAGGTCCCTGCGTGCTGCTGAAAGGCAACTCATAAAATAAAACACCACAATGGGTGACTGGGCCAATTGCTTTCCACGCTCTGACCTGCCCACCTCCATGCAGGTTTGCAGGGGAGGAATCATGTGGCAAAGACGGCACCTGACCAGAAGTCAGGAGATCTGTTTTTGGCTCCAGCTCTGTCACGGATGTGCTGTGTGACCTTGAATGAGTCACTTTCCCTCTCTGGGCTTCAGAGTCCTGCTCTGCCAAAATTCGGGAAAAAAATCCATGTCCTTTCTTTTTAACCAGAGATGTGGTAAGAATAGAGAAACTCCTCAAAACCCCACCTCCTCCTTGAAGCCTTTCATGTTGGATGGAACAAAAGGGAACCCACAGCGCTACCACCACCCTCCTGTTCTCCTAGGCTAAACATGTAATATTAATTAGCATCCATTATTCATTTCTTGGTTGGTTGATTTCACAGGCTTGTCCAGTGCTGGTCTGTCCTTTCCACAAGTTATATCTGCATGTGAAAACTCCTCTGGGGAGGTCTGTAGGCCTGCCTCATTGCCCTCTATGGTACAGACAGCCTAACAGAGGAGGCTTCTGATGGAGGGAGGGCTCGAAGCTCTCAGTGGGAAAGAAGGTACCATGGAAACTGAGGCTGGTCAGATCTTAATGGGACTGAGAAAAAGTGCACTGAGGCCGGGCACAGTGGCTCATGCCTGTAATCCCAGCATTTTCGGAGGCCAAGGTGGGCGGATCATGAGGTCAGGAGTTCGAGACCAGCGTGGCCAACATGGTGAAACCCCATCTCTACTAAAAATACAAAAATTAGCCAAGCGTGGTGGTGCGTGCCTGTAATCCCAGCTACTCCAGAGGCTGAGGCAGGAGAATTGCTTGAACCTGGAAGGCGGAGGCTGCTGTTAGCCGAGATTGTGCCACTGCACTCCAGCCTGGGCAACAGAGCAAGACTTTGTCTCGGAAAAAAGAAAAAAAAAAAAGTGCATTGAGGAGAAAAAAGATGTGAAAAGTGCTTTGAAAAGTGAAAAGTGCTGTGCAAAAGGGAGAAAGTCTTATTCTCTGAGCGGGGCACAAAACAATAAGAGAAAGAGGTGAGAGGAGAGAGAGAGGGAGAGAGAAAGTTTATCTTTGATGAACGTTAAGTTTTACCGACAGAAAATCTAGAAGAAAGCTAGTTTAATTTTAGGAAGCATGGAAGTTGTGTCAATTCCTAAAATAACAGTTTATTTTAGATTACACAGGACAGGGGTGTGTGTGTGTGTGTGTGTGTGTGTGTGTGTGTGTGTGTGTGTGTTCCACTCTCATTTTTTCGGGGCTTGAAGCTGCTAAGGTCTGAATTCAGCTTTAGGGAAGCCTCAACTCCTAAAGGAGTAAGCCCAGCTCAGTCTTCTCCCTCACCCCTCTCCCCACCCACCTCCTCCCTCTCCCTACCTCTGCCCAATCAGGTCTGACCAGCCATTGCCCTTCCACACTGTCCCCAAGTGGCTCCGCCCCTGGGAAGGCAGAGTCCTCCCTGTGCCCTCTGCATTACACCCTGTCCCCTGTGAACGTCCTCTTCCTGCTCTTGCCATCCTCCACCGAATGCCTGCTGCCGAGGAACATCGAGTGTCCTCTCTCAGTCAGTGTCCTGTGCTCTGGACTTCACTGCCTTTTCAAAACCTTCCAGGCCTGGGCTTCATTCCGTCTACATCAAAGCTCCTGATGACACATTGAGCCAGGCTAATGTATTAGTAGGGGAGGGGCCAATTGTTAGTCCATCCATCCTAGATTGTCTTTTAAGAGCCTCTTGGGGAATTAGCTTCTTTACATTAAGAAAGTCCTCGTAGGCCAAGCACGGTGGCTCATGCCTGTAATCCCTGCACTTTGGGAGGCTGAGGTGGGGGGCTCACTTGAGCCCAAGAGTTCGAGACCAGCCTGGGCAACATAGGGAGACCCTGTCTCTACAAATAATTTTTAAAAATTAGCTAGGTGTGGTGGCATGCGCCTGTAGTCCCAGCTATCCGGGAAACTGAGGTGAAAGAGGATTGCTTGAGCCTAGGAAGTCGATGCTGCTGTGAACTGTGATTGCACCACTTTATTCCAGCCTGGTCGAAAGAGCAAGACCCTGTCTGAAAAAAGAAAAAAAAAAAAGGTCTGTCTAAAGAGGGGTGTTTCATACCACTGTGGTAGACCAGAAAGGGAGAAATTTTGGGGTGCATGTAGTTGATGATAATAATAATACCATTATTTTGGCACACCTACTAAGTCCCAGGCACTATACTAGGTGACTTAACATTCTTTGTCTAATTGCAATAACCCTATGAGGCAAGTGTAACCATCATCATCATCATCATCATCATCATCATCAATACAACAAAACTAACTGAGTACGTATGTGCTAAGCAGTTCACCTAATTGTCTTGTGAGGTAGGTGCTGTTGCCATGCCCATTTTCCAAGCCGGGGAACCAAGGAACAGATCAAGTAAGCAACTTGCCACACAGCTATTAAGATGAAAAGGCTGAATCTCAAGGGGTTGAGTTACCTGTCCATGTTCACCCAGCAAGCAAGCAACTGAGTGAAGTCGATGTTCCCCCCACCCACCCACATGCTTGTCACACCTCCTTCTGGGGCTACTGGGAAATTCTAGGTTGAGGTAAGGGCAGCTAGGACCAGGAGCTGCTGGAGTGGGAGTGGGGGGTGGGGCTTCACCAGCCTGAAACAAACAGCATACCCCTTGCACAGAGGGTGTCCAGCAGTGCTCCACGACCCAGTCCTAGCCACTTGCCAAATGTCCCCTGGCATTTTGCTGACCTTTCCCAGCAATCCATCCCTGCCTCCTGCCCTGTCTGGCTCATCAGAATCCCAGTAAACCTTTGGCACCCTGTTGGAATGCTGCCTCCTCCAGGAAGCCTTCCTGGATGGCCTAAACCAGAGCCTTATACTGACCTTCTCCAGAACATTGTCCACTCACTTAGCCGCACTGGTCAGCCTTGACGTACATACTACCATCTGGCCTCCCCAGCTAGGTGTTGAGTTCCCCCAGGCTCCAACACCTAACATGCAGTCAGTGCTCAGAGAATTCTTATTGCACGAATAAATACTGCATTCAGGCATTGCCCTGGGTCACTGGGGCATGAATTTCAGTGCCTCTCGTGAAGTGTGTGGAGAGGGAAGTCAGGAAATATAAACATGTGATTATCCCAGGCTCAAACAATAGGGAGCTCTGTGGCAAACTAGAGTCTGCATGCCTACCTGAGGGGCTCACATTCAAATTCAGCCACCACCCCCACCCCGCAATCCCTACACATGTAAAGGGCAGGGACCCATTCTGGTCCTGAGCAATCTCACTTCTTTTCCCTTCCTCCGGCTTTATTTTTATTTTTATTTATTTATTTTTTTCTTTTCTTTCCTTTTTTTTTTTGAGATGGAGTTTCGCTCTGTCGCCCAGGCTGGAGTGCAGTGGCGCCATCTCGGCTCACTGCAAGCTCCGCCTACCGGGTTCACGCCATTCTCCTGCCTCAGCCTCCAGAGTAGCTGGGACTACAGGGGCCCGCGACCACGCCCGGCTAATTTTTTGTTTTAGTAGAGACCGGGTTCCACCGTTTTAGCCAGGATGGTCTCGATCTCCTGACCTCGTGTTCCGCCCGCCTCGGCCTCCCAAAGTGCTGGGATTACAGGCGTGAGCCACCGCTCTTGGCTCCCGCTTTATTTTTCTACTCTGTGCATACCACTTTAAAATACACTCTTGGCCCGGCGCAGTGGTTCACGCCTGTAATCTCAGCACTTTGGGAGGCCAAGGCGGGCAGATCACCTGAGGGCGGGAGTTCGAGACCAGCCTGACCAACATGGAGAAACCCCATCTCTACTAAAAATACAAAATTAGTTGGGTGTGGTGACTCGCGCCTGTAGTCCCAGCTACTCGGGAGGCTGAGGCAGGAGAATCGCTTGAACCCGGGAGGCGGAGGTTGTGGTGAGCCGAGATCGTGCCATTGCACTCCAGCCTGGGCAACAAGAGCGAAACTCCGTCTCAAAACAAAACAAAACAACAACAACAAAAACCAAACAAAACACTCTTAGCTGCTGATATTGAGTATCTATCTTCCCTCACACATGTGAACTATGAGATGGCAGAGTTTTGGTCTGTTCTGTCCTCTGCTGCAGCCCAGCCCCTCATCAGTGCCTGATACAGAACAGGCCTTCAATAGGTATGTGCCCCGCTCCTCCCTGCAGCGTCCAGGCTCCAGGCAGCATTCAGGGCTCAAGTTCGGAAGAGTGAAGGCCGTTGAGGGTCCCCTATTAGGCCCCAAGCCCCCTAGAGAGCTCCAACGACATGGCCTGGAGTTTGCTTTGGCGACAGCCGGTCCTGCTGGAACTAGGACATGAGGGTTAGCGATCCCGCCCCATGGGGTCACAGGGCAGAAGCTGCGGGCAGGGGTGGGCATCAGTGGGGCGGTGGTGCAGGGGGTGTCGCTCCCAAGTCAGCTCACACGCACGTCTTCAACACACCCACCACACAGGCACCCGCACGCACCAAGGGACGCCGAGGCTCGGGAGAGGAGGAAAGGCCAAGGCGATGGGGAGATGGGGAGAGAGGCAGGGAGCAACATCCCGGGCTCCGAGCGCGCCAGCTGGGAGGGCTGGGGAGGAGGGCGCACCGGAGGGCTCCCGGCACGCGCGGGGCCGCGGGCAGCCCCCAGAAGAGGGAGCCAGGCAAGACTGCTGGGGCAGGGGTCGGCTGAAGCAGCGGGGAGCCGGACCCCACCCGCCACCCGCCACCCGCCACCCCCGGCGCCTGCCAAACTGGTTGCTGCCTCCCCGGCAGCCGCGGCGCGTCCACCTGCGCAGCCACCGCGCCGCCCTGCCCGCGCTACCATTGGCTCGCTAAAAATGCCTCTCTAATCTGCTCTGCTCGGTGCACGCCTCCTCCTCATCCTTCCCCCCTCTCCGCCTCAGCTCTGACCTTCCTCCTTCCCGCAGCCCCGGCGAGATCCCAGAGCGACGCGGTGGCGGCGGCAGCGCCAGCCCCCTCCTCCCCCGGGAAGTCGGCCGGGCTTGAGGCCGGGCCCCAGACGTCCCGCTTCGCCCCGAGTCGCCGCCGATGGTCCCCGGAGCTCCTGCCCCCAGGTAGGAGGTCTGGCCCTTGAATAGAGGGCGGGGGGGTTGTGTGTGCGGGTGTCCAGTTAGGGAGTGCGTGTTGGAAGTGGGCGCCGGGACTGACATCTCCCTGGGCCAGAGCCCGGGCAGGGTTGGGCAGTTGCCTGGAGAGAAGCGGGTGCGCGTTCGGGGATGCCTTCAGGGGACGGAGTTCGCGGGCATCACCCAGGCAGTGCCAGGATGCCACTGCGCTGGGTCCCTTGGGGGAGCGAGCTGGCATCGGAGGCCCTTACCCCAGGAAAAGCGCCGGAAATAGGTTCCTTGGGAAGCTGGGGCCTGGGCCCGGGCGGTCCGGGTCTCTGGACTGCTACCAGAAGGGGTGGGTGGGCTGGTGCCAGCTTGGTGCATAGGCTATTTATGGATCAGAGTGGGCTGGGGAGAAACACAGCAGCTGATGCCTGTCTGGCTTATGGTTAAAGGTATTTCCTTCTGTCCCCTACCCCTTCCCCCACAGCTGGGATGGGAGCGGGGAGGGGGGAGGAGGCAAGAAGGAGGCGATAATGCTAAAAGGCCCCGCAGATACAGAAGCCATGGGCTGCTGGGCACTGCCCTCCCCTGCAAGCCCCAGGCCACTTGCTGCCTGTTGGAGCTGCCTCTGCCCCTTATTTTCACCTTACAAGAGGCTATGAAAAGGTTAAAGGGTCATCAGGGTGTAGGAGACATGGTGGCAAACCCGGGAGCTTGGCCAGACCCAGCTTCAAGCCCCAGCTGCCCCTACCCACAACAGCCCAGGTCTGCACCACATAGGCAGTGACACATATGGCCGCTTATTTCTAGGCACAACCATAAATAACCCACATTGCCCCAGCCCCTGGCACAGCTGGGGTGCAAACAGGACTGTCTGTCAGTGATTTTGCTTCCATCCTCCATCCTGGCCTTTCTATCACAAGTCCAAATCATCACCCTCCAGCAGCTTCCCTGATACCCCAGGTGAGATCCTTGCCCCCTGCCCTATGTTCTTGGACTGCCTTGTGGCTGGGTTATTTGTCTTGTTCATCTCCTTCTAGACCAGAAGTACCTTCAGGCTGGGAATCTGATTCATCTCTGTCATTGCCCCTGCACCAAAGCAGGGTTTGGCACCAAGAAAATATCTTGTGGAATGCATGACTTATTGAATGAGTGAATGTAAACTCTGGGAAATAGCTGGCAACCTGAGGGAGGGGGTCGAGCCCCTTCTTGGGCTTTCTCTCTATTCCCCAGGACCAAAGAGCCACTCCACTCAAACCAGGTGGTTCTCTTTAGTAGGCCCTTCCTTTTTTTTTTTTTTTTTTTTTTGAGAGAGAGTTTCGCTCTTGTTGCCCAGGCTGGAGTGCAATGGCACGATCTCAGCTCACCGCAACCTCTGCCTCCCGGGTTCAAGCGATTCTCCTGCCTCAGCCTCCTGAGTAGCTGGAATTACAGGCATGCACCACCACACCCGGCTAATTTTATATTTTTAGTAGAGACGGGGTTTCTCCATGTTGGTCAGGCTGGTCTCGAACTCCTGACCTCAGGTGATCTGCCCACCTTGGCCTCTCAAAGTGCTAGGATTACAGGCCTGAGCCATCATGCCCGGCTAGGCCCTTCCTAAGCCTGGAGTTGATGGGCAGCTATGCCTTTTGGAGATAGTGTTGCAACCTGCTGGCTCCAGAGGGTCTTATGGGCCCCTGGTTTGAGTGTCCAGGCCTGGTCCTGGCTTGAGGGAAGGCCTGATGTGAAGGTCTGGCTCTCCTCAGGCCGCTGGGTTGGCACTTTCTTCCCGGGGTGCCAACTTTAGACCAGAGTCTCTGCCTCTGTCCCAGCCCTTGGGAAAATCCAGGTCAACATCAGGGAAGCTGGGAAGGCCCAAGCCAGGCCTTCCTCAGCCTCTAAGGTCTTCATAGCAAGCTCTCAGGGGTCTCATGACCCTAGTGTGTGGAGGAGCAAACCCACTTCAGAGGAAGAGGCTGCCAACAAGGGTTCTGGCTTAGCCACAGGCCTGTGTCTATGAAGGACATCAAGATTTCCAGGCTTAGGAGGGGCCTAAAGAGAACTGTCTGGTTTGGGTGGCTCTTTGGTCCTGGGGAATAGAGGGAAAGCCCAAGAAGGGACTCAACCCCCTCCCTCAGGTTGCCAGCTATTTTCCAGAGTTGACATTCAGTCATTCAATCATTCATTCATTCCACAATGGCTCGCATTGCTATTTGACAGCCATGCAGTCTCCCTAACGTGGCTCTGCCACCATTCCCACACCCAGGCTGACTCTCCCTTCTTGCCCTCCCTCTGCCCCCTGGCTGCCCTGAGCTACTTTCAGTTCCTCAAGCAAGTGGGGCTTCTGTCACCTGCAGGCCTTTGCACAGGCTGTTCCTGTCTCCTCCTCTCCCTCTTCCTTCCCACCCAAATCTCTCACCCTCGGGAGTCCACTGAGACTCCTTTTTCCTCCAGAAGCTTCCCCAGCTTGGGCTGGGAACCCCACCCATGATCCCCTCCCCACAGCCTGGCTGCCTCCCCTGGGAACCCTCCCATCATGCAGTGTCCTCTCCCTGCTGGGCTGTGGGGTCTGTGGGGGCAGAGTCTGTGTGCTGTTTCCGGTGGCCCCATGGCCTGGCACAGAGTAGACCCAGCTCTGGCTTGTGGAGTGAGTGACTGTTGGTCCCATCATCTACTTTCTCTCCTCACCAATATCAGGACATATTTTGCATTCGTCTCCCATTAGGAGATGAGGGACCCATTCAGAAGTTTGCACGTATCCCCACAGCAAGAATGAGTTGGTGGTAGAAAGCCTTCCCTGGAGAAGTGAAACTGGCTACAGGTCTGGAAGGACAGAAGGGACAGGAGAGGACATGAGGGGTGGGGGCATTCACTGATTTGGGGGGCCCTCCCTGGGGAACCAGGTGGAGGGGTTGGGGGACGAGTGGGTATACCAGATAAGAAGGATGCTGCTTGGTTTGGTTTTACATTTTTCTTAAAGAAAAATAGCTTTTATTATTTTTTCTTATTACCAAAGTAATATAGGTTTGCTGTGGGCAATTTAGAATGTACTAGAAAGCCGAATGAAGGAAGCCCATTAGCCACATCAGACCCACCCACCATGGGCACTTCGTAACTGATTTCCAGCCAGGGGCAGGATGGACCGGAGGGGAGGTCTGGGCTGGGGACTTGGCGGGCAGGTCAGGGTCCCAGGAAGTAGCCGTGAGGATTGGCAGGCAGGTAGAGGAGGGGTCCCGGAGCTTCACTGTGGAAAGCAGGGAAGGAAGTGGGATTGGATGAAGGGGAAGTGGACTCTGATGCAGCCCAACAGGCAACAGGGTGCCCTGGGGCTAGAGTGGCCTTTCAGGTCATGTCCATTTGCCTGTGAGAGTCAGGCCCTAGACCCCAGCATCCTGCGCCCATCAGGCACAGGGTTTGGGTGTGCCTTCCTGCAGGTGGCTCTGTGGTAGCAGCAGTCCCTGAAGCATCTGCCCACTGAGGTCGCCTGCTGACAGCACCCACCCCCTGGGGCAACAGGTAGTGTTCACCACCAGGAAAGATGGGTTGGGAGGAACCCAGAGGTGGGCTGAAGGGACAAGATCAACCGGAGCCTGGCCTCAGCTGGCTCTGGGGAGACAGGACCTCTAATGCCAGGGAAGTTGCTGGTGCCGTTTCCAGAAAAGGAGCGTGTCTGTGGGGAGCAATTTAGAATGTACTGGAAAGCCAAATGAAGAAAACCTATTAGCCACTTCAGACCCACCTGCTGGGGACACTTTGTGGCTGGTTTCCAGCCAGGGGCAGGGTGGCCTGGAGGGGAGGGCTGGGCTGGAGACTGGGGTCGGGGGCTCCCCTCCACCCTCCCCTGGGTGCTGTCTCTGAAGACCTCAACCTTGGGTGTGAGGGGCTGCAGGATACCTGAAAACTGGGAGGGCAGGGGAGGCCTTGGCTATTATTATTATTATTATTATTTTTGAGACGGAGTCTCACTCTGTTACCCAGGCTGGAGTGCAGTGGCGCGATCTTGGCTCATTGCAACCTCCACCTCCGGGTTCAAGCAATTCTCTGCCTCAGCCTCCTGAGTAGCTGGGATTACAGGCGCCCACCACCACGCCCGGCTAATTTTTGTATTTTTAGTAAAGACAGGGTTTCACTATCTTGGCCAGGCTGGTCTTGAACTCCTGACCTCGTGATCCACCCGCCTCGGCCTCCCAAAGTGCTGGGATTACAGGTGTGAGCCACCGCACCTGGCCTACCTTGGCTATTATTTTAAAATCACTCGATATTGTTATAATTATTTTCTTTTTAGAGGCAGGGTCTTGCTCTGTCACCCAGGCTGGAGTGAGTGACACCATCATAGCTCACTGCAGCCTCGACCTCCCGGGCCCAAGGGATCCTCCCATTCAGCCTCCTGAGTAGCTGAGTGCTACCATGCCTGGCTAATTTTTCAATTTTATTGTAGAGATGGGGTCTTACTGTGTTGCCCAGGCTAAAAATAACTTGATATTAAAATGCTGGGTAGGGGCTAGGGTAGTCTTTCTATATAAAATGCAGCATACTCAGGTAATTTTAAATTTCAGAAAAACAACAAATGTGTTTTTGTTGTTTTTTAGTCTAAGTATGTCCCAAACATTGCATAGGACATATTTTTAATAAAAAACTGTATTTGTCATTTATCTGAAATTCAGATTTAACTAGGTGTCCTGAATTTTTATTTTATTTTATTTATTTATTTTTGAGATGGAGTTTTGCTCTTGTCGCCCAGGCTTGAGTGCAAGGCTGCGATCTAGGCTCACTGCAACCTCCGCCTCCCAGGTTCAAGTGATTCTCCTGCCTCAGCCTCCTGAGTAGCTGAGATTACAGGTGCCGGCCACCACACCCAGCTAATTTTTCTGTATTTTTAGTAGAGATGGGGTTTCGCCATGTTGGCCAGGCTGGTCTCAAACTCCTGACCTCAAGTGATCTGCCCGCCTCAGCCTCCCAAAGTGCTGGGATTACAGGCATGAGCCACCGCGCCTGGCCCTGAATTTTTATTGACTAAATGTGGCCACTGTAGGCTGGGGTAGGGAGGAGTGGAGAGAGAGGGTGAGAATTTTCTGTTCTTGAGTGTGGGGGAAGAATCAATAGATACTTGTTTGAAGTTGACAGTTTTAAAACATTAACACATCCATTTTTAGAAACAGGTGAGATGTTCCAAATTTCCCATCTGTTAACTTTCTATACTGGCTAGAGAGTAGTCCCTTATTTGTGGATTTTGGCTCCTTAGTGCTGCTGAGAAATAATAAAACAATAGTTTTCTCATTTATGCAGGTGGGACAAAGGGAGATGTGGTGATCAAGGGTGGAATCACTAAATAGGGGTAATCCATTTGAGAAATAAAAGTCCTCCTAAGAAAGCTCTCATTTGGCGGAGGGCGTGGGAAACTAGAACTCTCACGTCAGTCGGGGAGCATACGTTAGCACTGTGTTTTTGGCAACAGTGGTCACAGTTTTGACTTGGCAATTCCACTTTTTGGGACTTATTCCACAGGTACACTCTGAGCAGGGTGCAAAGATTAGCTGGGCAGAGACAGTCAGTGTAGCAAAGCTAGATGTCTGTCAGGAGGACCAGTGACAAAGTCAAGACCTCTTTGTACGCTGTGATTTCGGGCAGTTGTTCGTTCTGGGATTTAATCAATGGATCTCTGAATGTCGCTGCCTGCCAGGCACCACTTTAGGTGCTTGGGGACACTGAGACAAGATGGGGCGGAGCTTATTACCAGTGTGGAAAGATGGTCATCACGTACTGATAAGTTAAAGCAAGTGGCTTTGTAGAACAATGTGTGTAGTCAAGGTCAGGAGTTCGAGACCAACCTGGCCAATATGGTGAAACCCCTGTCTCTACTAAAAATACAAAAATTACCTGGGTGTGGTGAAGGACGCCTGTAGTCCCAGCTACTCAGGAGGCTGAGGCAGGAGAATCGCTTGAGCCCAGGAGGCGGAGGTTGAAGTGAGCCGAGATCGGGCCACTGCACTCCAGCCTGGGAGACAGAGCCAGACTCTGTCTCAAAAAAAAAAAAAAAAAAAAAAAGAACAATGTGTGTAGTATGATACAATTTTTAAAGTACATGTACATATGTTCTTCTCTGTTCATATTTACATAACAATGTGTAGAAGGCTGCATACCTGATTGTGATTAGAGCTTGCCTCTGGGCTGAGGCCTATCGCAGGGATCTGGAGGGAGAATGCGTCCTCTTTATTTCAGCCATTCTGTGCTGTTTGCATTTTATAAACAAATATCATTACTCATGAAGAAAACAATTAAAACTGCACTTGATGATACTGGGAATTTTTTTCTTAGAAACCTAAAAAAATGAGCACGTAAACTCCATTCCCCTTAATCTGATGGCATGTGAGTCACATGCTGCCACGTGTGTTTGGAGAGTTTTTATCTGTGGTTGGTTCCTAACTGGTCCCCTCATGGGCTTATATTCCCTCTCCCTCCTCCCAGGCCTGTGGTGCCTGAAACCTGGCGGGATGGGAAAGGGGGTAAGGTAAGGTAACATCTGGGTATCAGGAGGGCTGTAGAAGGAGTATGGCAGAAGTGGGGTATCTGGCAAAGTGGTGGTTGTGTAGCACTGGGGAGTCTTGTAGGGGCACAAAGGAGGGGCCGGGGATCCCTGACATGTGCCAGGCGCTCTTTTGTTTATCCATATTTATAACTCATTTAGTCCTCTTAGTAAGCTCATGGGGTTATCCCCATTTTACAGATGGGGCAACTGAAGTTAAGTGACTTGCCTGAGGTCACACAGTAAGTGGCTGAGCCAGATTCACAGCCATGCAGTCTGGCTCCAGAAGCTGTGCTTGTGAGCCTCTCTGCCTCAGCACCTGTCGTCGAGGAATGGGGATAATCTCTTGTCTCAGAGACTGGAGGCAGGTGTGTTCTGGAAGACTGAAGGAGGGTTGTCTTCTGCAGAAGGCAGACCTGGAAGGAAAGGCTGGTCAGATCCAGAGACGGGGCGGGGGGCGGGGGGGTACATTCCAGGCAGAGTGACAGCAGGGACAAAGATGCAAAGGCTGGAATGTGAGTGGTGGTCTCAGGGGCTGGGGAGGAAATCAGCATAGGAACACGAGAGAGGACATGGGTCGTGAGGCTGGTGGGGCAGCCAGCTTGGATTGCTGCTGCAGGGCACTTTAAATGATCAGCCTCATTGGACCTTGTGGGACAGGTGGCCCAGGGCTGCTTCTCCTTGCAGGGCCTGGCAAAGACCCTGCATCCCTTAGCCCCACTCTGCCTAATCTGGGCCTTCCCTGAGGTCACACATTTCATCACTGGGTTCCCGGGGTCTAGCCTTGACCAGCCACTGAGGACAAGAGGGGCAGCCGAGGCAGGGCTGGAGGGCTGGGGGTTGGGGGTCCAGGCTGAGGTCCTGGCCCTGACACTGACTCACTGAGGGGCCTAGGGCCACTCAACCCCCTCCCTTGGATTCTGTTTCCTCTTCTGTCTTTTATTTGCAAACTTTTTATTGTGAAATATTATAAGCATTTACAGAAGTAGAGAAAATGTTATATAACAGTCATATACTCATGGCTTAGCATCAACAGATACCAACACATGTCCAATCTCATCTCAATCAAGATATTTCTCTAAAAGATAAGGACTTTTTCTAACACAATCACAATACCATTATTATACCTAAGAAGTATTAATTCCTTTATATAGTCAAATATTCACTTAGTATTCACATTCCCTGTTGTCTCAGACATGTCTTTTTGTTTTTTAAATTGTTTAAATCAAGTTCCAGGTAAAGTTCACACGTTATGATTGGTTGATATGTCTTAGTCTCTTTCAATCCACAGTTCTCCTCTCCATCTTTTCTTATTCTTTTGCAGTTTATCTATGGGAGGAAGCAGGTGGTTTGTCCTGCTGTGTTTCCTGCAGACTGGATTTTGTTGATTGCATCCCTGTGGTGTTATTTAGTATGTTCTTCTGTCCTCTCTGTAAATTGGGAGTTGCATTTGTCTGTCCCTGACACCTCATTTAGTCATCAACAAGTCCTTCAATTCTACATTCAAAACACCCAGAATCCACCCACTTCTTGTCACCTCCATTGCTGCCTTCCCTTCTGAGCCTCCACTATCCTCTCCTAGATCTTTGCAGCAGCCTCTACCTGGTCTTCCTGCCCCGTCCTTGCCTCACCAGCCAAAGGTCCTTTAAAACTTAAATCAGATCACATCCTTCCTCTGCTAAAGCTCTTCAATGACTCCCCTCCCATTCAGAATAAAGCCCAGAATCCTATAACAGGCTAGATGCAGTGGCTCACACCTGTAATCCCAGCACTTTGGGAGGCCGAGGCAGGTGGATCACCTGAGGTCAGGGGTTTCAGACCAGCCTGGCCAACATGGTGAAACCCCATCTGTACTAAAATTACAAAAATTAGCCAGGTGTGATGGCACACACCTGTAGTCCCAGCTACTCAGGAGCCTGAGGCAGGAGAATCCCTCAAACCTGGGAGGCAGAGGTTGCAGTGAGCTGAGATCATACCACTGCATCCAGCCTGGGTGACAGAGCAAGACTCTGTCTCAGAAAAAAAAAAAAAAAAAAAAAGCCCTATAATTGCCTGCAAGACCCCATGTGATCCGGCTGCCCAATACCTCAGACCTTCTCTCATACATCCTAGCCTCACTGATCCCCAGGTCATTTCTTGGACCCATCAAACACCCTGCCCCAGGGCCTTTGCACTCCTATTCCCTATGCCTGGAATTCTCTTCCCCAAAGGCCTACATGGCTCATGATGTTCACATCTCCACCCACATCACCCCCTCAGAGAGGCCTCCCAGACCACCTTATCAAAAACAGCCCTCGTTGTCCCCCATCTCCTGATTCTACTTTATCATCTTCATAGCACTTATCCCTGACATTATGCTCTTGTTGGTTTCTTGTCTGTCCCCCTTACCTGCCCAAGCATTCCATGAAGGCAGGGTTTGGGTGGGGGCAGAGCAGCATGACTGGGCTTCCCCTACCCCTCACCCCTGCCCACAGAGCTGACCGCCTCCTCCTCTCACATTGCTAGCTCCTCTACTTTCAATGTTTCCTAAAATTAAAAAAAAAATTAAAAAAACACATATTTGTGCCTAGTGTGTCATTGTTTACAAAATACTTCCTGTCTCAAGTCTGGTCTTCTAGAAGCAGAGCTGAGACAAGGATTCCCGGGCAAATGATTTATTGCAGGCATGCTCATATTAGAGCGGGAAAAGATTTGCTTACAGCTAGGATCCCACGGAGAGCTCTAGATTATGAACAGCCAGTCTCCCAGGGTTACCTTCCTCCAGACAAGGGGCCAGGCCTTTGTAGCCCCTTAGCTGGTGGTCATTGTCTGCAAGCTGCTCCCGGGGAAGGGCCTAGCCTCCCCCTGCATCTCCAGATGAGGCAGCTCCTGTAAGCCAAGGGCAGCTCTCAGGGGAAGGGGGCAGCTGTGAGCTGCTAGCAGCCAGCACCCACAGCTGCTGAGAGATGGGTACCCCACCTGATAGAAGGACACTGGCAGTACCCCCTCTACTTCCATATCCATTTCTGCTTTGAGCCTTGCCACAAGCCTGTGGGGATGGTATTTATTAATGATAATTATTCCCATTTCCTAGAGGAGGAAGCTGAGGTTCTTAGGGCTGAAATGACTTGCTTGAGGTTGCACAGCCAGGAAGGGGTTAGATTTAAGCTCAAATTCTTACTCAGGATCCTCTGATTAGCGGACAAATCGTCTTAGTGGCTGCTGGTTTGTAGTTTTACTCTCAAGCATTCATCCTTTTGAATGTTAAATGAATATGTATTGCGTGTGGTGTGCTGTGTGCTGAACTAGGCACCAGGCCATTCAGCAGTGAATGACACACACTTTGTCCTTGTCCCTGGAGTTGCCAGTCAGTGGATCTGCCCAGTATTTAGCCGCCACCACCGTGGTTACCCCTACTGAGCCCTCATGAGTCCCAGCTTCCATAATGACAACACGATGTCTGTTGAGCATGAACTATGTGCTAGCACTGTGCCAGGCTCCCCTTCACCTTCACAGCACCCCATCTTCAGATGGGTAAGCTGAGGCTACAGAGGGACTTGCAGCTCCCAGCCGATGTCTCTCGCCAAGCGTGTGATAGAGCTGGGATTCGAAAGCATGGGGCTGAATTTGGCTCTCCTGCTTCCTGCAGCCCCTTCCCCAGCCCTCCCCACACTCCCTCCCCCCTCCACCAGCAGGATATCTGGTGTCACCTCTATCATCAGCTCCATCGGACACTGGGCTGCCACTGCTGCCTGCTCCCCAGGTGTTGGATGACTGGCCGCCATCTCACCTGCCCCACTTGGCCCTGCCCCAGATGGGGCACCTCTGATAGGAGGCTTCCCCTACACTACAGGGCTCAGGATCCCTGCCTCTGCCGCCTTGCCAGCCCCTTGTCATTGGCCCTGACAGCTGGGTGGGCCTTTCTGCCAGCCCCAGCATGGCCTGGGTGTTGGTGGCCCCTCCCCCTTGCACCAGCTGGCCTGGTAAGCTGCAAAGCTGGCTTGGCTTGGCTTGGGGGCCCCTGGACAGGGCCGGGGGCGGGTGGCAAATCACAGGGGACTTCCTACTTTCCTGCCAAACAGGGCCAAGACAATCCTGACAGGGAGCAACCAAATCACAAAATTGCCACCTGAGGAATGTAAGGGTGGAGAGGGCACCCCCCAGGACTGCCTTGGTAATGGGCATCTATGAGGCAGTAGCTCGGGGGTGGGCACTCCAGGCCTGTGTCAGCTCGGGATTTCCCTTCTCTCCCTAGGACCCCCTCGTTCCCTGGCCCTCAGGCCTCTCTGACCATTGCTCATTTGGGCTGTGGCAGAGGAGGCCAGCACTCTGTTCCAAACCTCAGCCCTGAGGGCTTCCTCCAGGGGCTGCACTGAGGGACTGTGCCTCTGTTGGCAGAACTTCAGGAATCTTTGTGTGAATTTTGTTTGCAAAACATATGCAAATAAGCATGTCCAGGCCGGGCATGGTTGCTCATGCCTGTAATCCCAGCACTTTGGGAGGCCAAAGCGGGAGGATTGCTTGAGTCCAGGAGTTCAAGACCAACCTGGGCAACATAGGGAGATGCTGTCTCTATTTAAAAAAAAAAGAAAAAAGAAAAAGAAGAAAGAAAGAAAGAGAAAGAGAGAAAGAAAGAAATCAAGAAAAAAAGAAGAAAGAAAGAAAGAAAATCATGTCCATCTCACTGTGGGTGTGGCCTGTTGAGGTGCTGTGGTCTGCAGGGAACAGGCATTCCCTGCAACAGCTGGGGGACCAGGGGCACAGAAAGATGAGGGCCCCTGAGGGCTCTGGCCATCTCATCTTTACTGCAAGCTCAAGTCCAATTTCCATCATATTTTCTCTTCTCCAGATGGTTATTTCTTTTTCTAATTTGATCATTTTGTTTGCATTTATGAGCTAGACTTCTACAAAGAACTATTCCTCTTCACCTATTTTGTTATTCTGAAACATGGTGCATACTGGAGGATAAAGGCTCCATTCCTTCACTTTATCCTTTGTTTGTTTGTTTGCTTTTTGAGACAGGGTCTCACTCTGTTGCCCAGGCTGGAGTGCAGTGGCATGATCTTGGCTTACTGCAACCTCAACCTCCTGGGCTTGAGCTATCCTCACAACTCAGCCTCCCCAGTAGCTGGGACTACAGCTGTGTGCCACCAAGCCTGGCCATCTTTTTTTTTTTTTTTTTGTAGAGACAGGGTCTTCCCATGTTGCCCGGGCTGGTCTTCAACTCCTGGGCTCAAGCAATCCTCCCGCCTCAGCCTCCCAAAGTGCTGGGATTACAGGCATGAGCCACCATGCCCAGCCCCTTTATCCTTTTTTTTTTTTTTTTGAGACAAAGTCTCGCTCTGACGCCCAGGCTGGAGCACAGTGGCGCGATCTCGGCTTACTGCAACCTCCGGCTCCCGGGTTCCAGCGATTCTCCTGCCTCAGCCTCCTGAGTAGCTGGGACTACAGGCGCATCCCACAGTGCCCAGCTAATTTTTTGTATTTTTAGTAGAGATGGGGTTTCATTATGTTGGCCAGGGTGGTCTTGAACTCTTGACCTAGTGATCCACCCTCCTCGGCCTCCCAAAGTGCTGGGATTACAGGCATGAGCCACCACGCCGAGCCTATTTATCTTCTTTTTTTTTTTTTTTTTTTTTGAGATGGAGTCTCGCTCTGTCACCCAGGCTGGAGTGCAGTGGCACGATCTCGGCTCACTTCAACCTCCGACTCCTGGGTTCAAGTGATTCTCCTGCCTCAGGCTCCTGAGTAGCTGGGATTGCAGGCATGCGTCACCACACCTGGCTAATTTTTGTATTTTTAGTAAAGATGGGGTTTCACTATGTTGGTCAGGCTGGTCTCGAACTCCTGACCTTGTGATCCTCCTGCCTCGGCCTCCCGAAGTGCTGGGATTACAGGCATGAGCCACCACACTCAGCCTATTTATCCATTTTTAAAGAAATGAGTTGGTGCTGTAGCAACCTCCAATGGTGACCAGTGAATATTTTTTCCTTTTTAAAAATATAAACATATATAAAATAGGTTGTACATTTGTCTTAGTCTTTTTTGTGTTGTATAACAGAATACCTGAGCCCAGGTAAATTAAAAGGACAAGGAGCTTATTTGGCTCACAATTCTGGAGGCTGAGAAGTCCAAGCAGCATGGCGCCGGGTCTGCTTGTCTTCTGGTGAGGACCACCTGGCTGCATTCTAATACGGCAAGAGGAGGTGCCAGAGCAACAAGTGGGCAAGTGCAAAAGAGACAGACGAGAGGCTGGGCTCACTTTATAACAGCCTGCTCTCATGGGAACTAATCCATTCCCACAGCACTCCAGCAAGGTGGCATTAACCTAGTCATGAGGGCAGTGCCCCATAATCCAAACACCTCTCACTAGGCCCTACCTCCCAACACAGCCACATTGGGAATCAGATTTCAACATGTGTTTTGGAGGGGACACACTCAAACCATAGCAACATTTTAACAAATTTAATATAAAGCCAATGTCTCCATCATGTAGGTAAAAAAAAATCAAAACATTGCCACAGCACCAAAGGACCCCCTCAGACCTTTCCCCATCACAAGCCCCTCCCTCCCCCACTGGAACCCACCATTCTAAACAGTTAGGGTTATTCACTGCTTTGTTTTTGGTTTTACCATGTAAATATGCATCCAAAACCAAAGAGTTCTGTTTCTTTTTGAATTTTCTGATTTTTCTTTCTTTCTTTCTTTTTTGAGACAGGGTCTTGCTCAGGCTGGAGTGCAATGGCACGATCTTGGCCCATTTAGGCTCAATCTCCTGGGCTCAAGCAATCCTCCCACCTCAGCCTTCTGAGAAGCTGGGACCACAGGAGTGCACCACCATGCCCAGCTATCTTTTAAATTTATTTTTATTTTATTTTATTTTTTAGAGAGATGGGGATTCCCTCTGTTGCCCGGGCTGGACTTGAACTCCTGGGCTCAAGTGATCCTCCTGCTTCAGCCTTTCAAAGTGCTGGGATTACAGGCAGGAGCCACCACACTTGGTTTTTTTGAATTTTAAGTAATGAATTATGTATTCATTAAAGTCTGTTGTTTTTTATTTTATTTTTAATTTTATTATTATTATTACTTTTTGAGACAGAGTCTTGCTCTGTCACCCAGGCTGGAGTGCAGTGGTGCAAT
Source organism: Homo sapiens (assembly GCF_000001405.40). Taxonomy (NCBI): domain Eukaryota; kingdom Metazoa; phylum Chordata; class Mammalia; order Primates; family Hominidae; genus Homo; species Homo sapiens. Next base: position 34,479,892 of record NC_000006.12, read on the forward strand.
CTCAGCTCACTGCAACCTCCGCCTCCTGGGCTCAAGTGATTTTCCTGCCTCAGCCTCCATAGTAGCTGGGACCACAGGCATATGCCACCACACCCAGCTAATTTTTGTATTTTTAATGGAGACGGGGTTTCACCGTGTTGGCCAGGCTGGTCTCGAACTCCTGACCTCAGGTGATCCACCCACCTCGGCCTCCCAAAGTGCTGGGATTACAGGCATGAGCCACCACTCCTGGCAACTAAAGTTTGTTCTCTTTTTAAATTAACATTTTCTTTTTACCAGGATCCAGGTTGTTATTTGTAGCATCAGTCCTTTCATTTTCTTTTCCTTCTTTCTTTCTTTTTTTTTTTTTTTGAGAAAGGATCTCACTCTGTCACCCAGGCTGGAGTGCAGTAGTACCATCACGGCTCAGTGTAACCTCTGCCTCCCAGGCTCAAATGATCCTCCCACCTCAGCCTCTCGAGTGGCTGGGACCACAGGTGTGCACCACCACACCCAGCTAATTTTTAAATTTTTTGTAGAGATGGGGCGCTCCCTATTTTGCCCAGGCTGGTCTTGAACTCCCGGGCTCAAGCAATCTGCCCACCTCGGCCTCCCAAAGTGCTGGGATTACAGGCATGAGCCACTGTACCTGACTCATTTTTCATCATATATAATAGTTTCTAATATGTAAATAAACCATGATATACTTGTCCAGTCTGTTTACAGACATCAGGGTTTTTTTCTGATTTGTGTCTACTGTGAAAAGTTCTGCTGGCTTCCATGAAGGGATAAGATAAAAAGTACTTTAAAAAAAGTTTCTGCTCTATATATATCCCCAGGTAAACATATGCATGCAGTTCTCCAGGGTTTATGCAAAGGAATGGAATCACTAGGTCATAGGGTATGTGATCTTCAATCTTATAGATAATGTGAAACTGTTCTCCAGAGTGCTTGTACCAAATCATACCTGCACAAAGCAGTGTGTGCAGAATCCCAGTGGTCCACATTCTTGCAGGTATGTGGTTACTAGCAGACTTTTTTTCTTTTTTTTTTTTTAGAATTTAGTTTTCATTATCATTATGGATTTTTATAAATTTGATGTGTTTTAGCACTTGCAGTCATTATTCTCAGTAATGCTCAAATTGTCTCATCTTTGGCCAGTGGGAACTTCTTCAAGTGGACTCTTCTTTTTTTAGACAAGGTCTCACTCTGTTGCCCAGGCTGGAGTGCAGTGGTGTGATCACGGCTCACTGCAACCTCCACCTCCCTGGGTTCAAGTGATTCTTCTGCCTCAGCCCCCCGAGAGCTGGGACTACAGGCATGCATCACCATGCCTGGCTAATTTTTGTTTCTTTAGTATCTTTAGATGGGATTTCACAATGTTGGCCAGGCTGGTCTCAAACTCCTGATCTCAAGTGATCCAGCCTCCTTGGCTTCCCAAAGTGCTGGGATTACATGTGCAAGCCACCGCGCCTGGCTTCTGACATCTTTTTCATACGTTCACACGGGTTTTTGAAAATGCCCTTGCTTGGCCGGGTGCGGTGGCTCACGCCTGTAATCCCAGCACTTAGGGAGGCCGAGGCGGGAGGATCACGAGGTCAGGAGATTGAGACAACAATGAAACCCATCTCTACTAAAAATACAAAAAAATTAGCCAGGCGTGGTGGCGAGCGCCTGTAGTCCCAGCTACCAGGGAGGCTGAGGCAAGAGAATGGTGTGAACCCGGGAGGTGGAGCTTGCAGTGAGCCGAGATCGTGCCACTGCACTCCAGCCTGGGCGACAGAGCAAGACTCCATCTAAAAAAAAAAAAAAGAAAAAAGAAAATACCCTTGCTTTCTGGTGTGAAGATGTTCTACGTTCCTCAGAGCTGGACTCAGCCAGCTCTCCAAGGAGCTGTGGATCTTTTATATAAACACATTTTTTATTGAAATACGATTCATATACCATAATATTTACTCTTTTCAAATGTACATGTCAGTGGCTTTTAGTATATTTACAAAGTTGGGTAACCGCTATCTAATTCCAGAATATTCCATAACTCCAAAAAGAAACTCCATATCCATTAACAGCTACTTCCCAATTCCCCCTCCCTCAGCTCTGGAAATCACCAAACAACCTTCTGTCTCTATAAATTTGCTTATTCTGGAAGATTCATATAAATTGAATCATATAAGCCTTTTGTGACTGGCTTCTTTTTTTGTTTTTTTGTTTTTTGTTTTTTGTTTTTTGTTTTGAGATGGAGTTTCACTCTTGTTGCCCAGGCTGGAGTGCAATGGCGTGACCTCGGCTCACCGCAATCTCTGCCTCTTGGATTCAAGCGATTCTCCTGCCTCAGCCTCCTGAGTAGCTGGGATTATAGGCGCCAGCCACCATGCCCAGCTAATTTTGTGTTTTTAGTAGAGATGGGGTTTCACCATGTTGGGCAGGCTAGTCTTGAACCCCTGACCTCAGCTGATCTGCCTGCCTCGGCCTCCCAAAGTGCTGGGATTACAGGTGTGAGCCACTGCGCCCAGCCTTGGCTTCTTTCACTTAGTATAATGTTTTTAAGGTTCATCCCCCTTTGTAGCAAGTAACTAGTGCATTCCTTTTTATGGCTGAATCATATTCCATTGCATGAATATACTACATTTTGTTTATCCACTCATCCATTGATGGACATTTGAGTTGTTTCCACTTTTTTGGGTTTTTATGAATAATACTTCTAAGAACATTTATATGCATGTTTTTGTGTGAACATATGTTTTCATTTCTCTTGGATATATACCTAGGAGTAGAATTGCTGGGTCATATGGTAACTCTATGTTTTTGTTTTTGTTTTTTTTTTTTTGAGACAGAGTCTCACTCTGTTGCCCAGGCTGGAAAGCAATGGCATGATATCGGCTCACTGCAACCTTCCCCACCTCCCGGGTTCAATAAATTCTCCCTACCTCAGCCTCCTGAGTAGCTGGGATTACAGGCGCCTGCCGCCACACCCAGCTAATTTTTGTATTTTTTTTAGTAGAGACGGGGTTTCACCATGTTGGCCAGGCTGGTCTTGAACTCCTGACCTCAGGTGGTCTGCCCACTTTGGCTTCCCAAAGTGCTGGGATTACAGATGTTAGCCACTGCGCCCAGCCAACTCCATGTTTAACTTTTTTTTTTTTTTTTTTTTGAAACAAGGTCTCACTCTTGGTGCCCAGGCTGGAGTGCAGTGGCACGATCATGGCTCACTGCAGCCTCGACTTCCTGGGCTCAAGTGATCCTCCCACCTCAGCCTCCCAAGTAGCTGGGACTACAGGCGTGAGCAACCACGCCTGGCTAATGTTTTGTATTTTTAGTAGATACGGAGTTTTGCCATGTTATCTAGGCTGATCTTGAACTCCTGGGCTCAAGTGATCTGCCCACCTTGGTCTCCCAAAGTGCTGGGATTACAGGCGTGAGCCACCACGCCCGGCCCAGACTTTTTGAATTCTAGAAGTCAACCTAAGGTCCCATCCAATAGTCTCTGAAGCTCTGGACAAAGGACCTTGGGATGTAGGACCAACCTTGCCCAGTCCCTTCATCTTACTGTAATGCTGTGGGACAGAGGAGGGGAGTGGCTTGCGCAGGGCCACGTAGCCGGTGGGCACCAGAGTTGGGTCCCAGTTCAGTTCCTACTGCTCCTCTAGGGGTCCTCACCCCAGCTGGGCACATGAGCTCCAAACCTCCAAACTCCACCGCTCCCTTTACGTGGTTTCTGGCGCCTGGCTCTGTGGCTCTTAGCCACAGTCTCTCTCCTTCAAGGACTTTTTTTTTTTTTTTTTTTTTTTTTTTGAGACAGAGCTTCACTCTTGTTGCCCAGGCTGGAGTGCAATGGTGCAATCTTGGCTCACTGCAACCTCCGCCTCCCGGGTTCACATGATTCTCCTGCCTCAACCTCCCGAGTAGCTGGGATTGATTACAGGCATGTGCCACCATGCCCGGCTAATTTTGTATTTTTAGTAGAGACAGGGTTTCTCCATGTTGGCCAGGCTGGTCTCGAACTCCCAACCTCAGGTGATCCACCTGCCTCGGCCTCCCAAAGTGTTGGGATTACAGGTGTTAGCCACCGCGCTCAGCCCCTTCAAGGACTTTATGGGCTGCCCCAGCTGAGAGAGGGGACTTGTCCTCCTAGTATGAGCTCCTGTGGCACCCAGGAGGTGGGAGGTGGCACCTGGACAGATTGTCCATGGTCAAATTTGGGAAATTTACTTTTGGGTTCAACCCAGGTAAAGGGTGCTCTTTAGGGTAGGCCTCATCAGGGCCTTTAACATGCTGCTGTGTCCTGTGAATGTCAAGACATTTCATTGCCAACATTTAGAAGCAATCAAGATGTCCTTCAATAGGCAAATGGTTATATAAACTGTGGCACATCCTGGCAATGGAATATTATTCAGTGTTCAAAATAAATGAGCTATCAAGCCATGAAAAGGCAAGGAGGAACCTTAAATGCATTTTACTAAGTGAAAGAAGCCAATATGAAAAGGCCTCACACTGTATGATTCCAACTAGATAACATTCTGGAAAAGGAAAAACTGTGGAGATGGTAAAAAGATCAGTAGTTATCAGAGATTGGGGTGGGGCAGGGAGAGGTAAACAGGTAGAAAGCACAGAGGATTTTTAGGGCAGGCAACTTTTCTGTATGATACTATGATGGTAGATACATGTCATCAACATGAGTCAAAACCTATAGAATATACACCACCAAGAGTGAACCCTAATGTAAACTATGGACTCTGGGTGATAATGATGTGTCAGTGTAGGTTCATCAGTGCTAACAAATGTACCACAGAGATGCACGGTATGGACAATAAGGGTGGCTACTATGTGGGTGGGAGAGGGTGTATGGGAACTCTCTGTATTTTCTGGTCAATTTTTCTAGGAGCCTAAAACTGCTCTAAAAAATAAAATCTATTAATTAAAAAATATATATATATCCACATACACACATATATATTAGGAAGTGATAAGTGTTACAAAGGAAAAATAAAGCAGGGGTGAGGGTTTAAGTAAGGGGTGAGGGGCATGGGCTGGCTGTTCTGGATGGGGCGAAAGTGGGGGTCAGGATCATGAATCAGAGACTTAAAGCAAAGGAAATGCGCCCTGCAGATGTCAAGGGAGGAGCATCTTGGGACAGGAAGCCGCAGGTGCTAGCCCCGACTCAGGGAAGAGGAAGCACAGGGGGTCTGGAGTGGAGTGAGGCGTGGGGAGTGGTTGGAGGTGAGGATGAGTCAACAGGTTGGGGCCCAAAGGCACAGCGATCCTGTTCTCAGATTGGTGAGTCACTCGCTGGAGGGTTTCAGCAGGTGTGTGATGTGTCAAAATTATATTTATGTTTTTATTTTTCAATTTTAAAAAAAGCCAGTCAAATTGAGCAGTGGGGGGTTGTGTATCAACTTTAGTGACATTATTTATGTTTTAAAAAGATGACTGCAGCTGCCGTCTGGCAGATAGACAGTAGGGGGTGAGGGTGGAAGCAGGAGGGCTCATTAGGAGGCCACGTAGCCCTCCGAGTGGGACAGGGGGCTGGGGCAGACCCTGGCATCTGTGGCCGACAGGTGAGAGGTGGCTGGATTCTGGGTATATTTTGAAGGGAGAGTCAGCGGGGTGTGGGGTGAGGGAGATTCCTGAGTTCTTGGGTGAACAGTGGTGTTGTGTCCTGAGATGGCAAAGGCCAGCGTTGGAGCAGGCTAGGGGGCAGTCATCTGGGGACATGTGGCCTGTCCCATATCCAGGTGGGGCCGTTGAGGAGGTGGGTAGATTTGTGAGGCTGGAGTTCAGGGGACTCTAAGGCCACGGCCCCGATGAGATCCCAGAGGGAGTAGACGTTGAGTGGAGAAGAGAAGAGGTCCCAGACCTGAGCCCTGGCCCTGTGAGGGCCCACCCAGGGAGAAGGAGTTGTGACACAGAGTGGGAGTGTGGTGTCTGAGGAGCCCAGAGGCGGACAGCATGCTGCCAAGGAGGAGGATTGGAGACTGGCCATGGGGGTCAGCAGTGGCTGGGGAGGGCCAGAGGCCAACTGGAAAGGCTTCGGAGGGAGTGGAGATGGGGAGGATGGACAGGCCTTTCCAGGAGTGTCCTCTGCCACCAGAGGGAGGAGACACATGGGCCCGCAACGTGGGCGGCACTGGGTGGTCTAGGGGGCCCTTTTGACTTTCTCTTAAATGAGAGAAACAACAGCATGATTCTCTCTGGGTGGGAAAGATTCTCATGTGAGGGAAAACCGATCATTCAGGAGAGGGGAGAGCACATCCCAGCCCTGCAGCAGGAGTGCCCAGACTAGGGGGTGAGGGGTGGAGGGACAGGGGGCCTGGGAACCCAGGGAGAGGGAGGCAGGGCCTAGGGGTGGGGTGAGGTGGGTTTGGGGCCACAGTGTCTCTAGGTGCCTCCCTTTTTCTCAGAGCACAGCTGTCAGCTGAGAGGGAGGGAGGAGGAGGTGTTGTAAAATATTTGTCTCCAATGTGGTTCTCACAGCCATGGGGTGAAGTAGGTGCCATCATCCCCGCTTTGAAGATGAGAAAACAGGAAGGGGGCCAGGTAAGTTGCCAGCTAGGGCAGGACTGAGGTTTGAACGGGGCCTGGAGGCCACGGGGTATGGAACTGGGATTCAACTACATCCTGCCCCTCCCGCTTCCCATTTCAGTCCAGTGCTGCACTAGCAGGGAGGACACTGGGGTCCAGACAGGGAAAGTGATGTCCCAAGGCCAGACAGCAAAAAGGTGACGTTGCCATCGCTGGTCCTCTTCCTCCCTCCCCTAAGCTCTATGGGCACAACACACCTGGGCCACTCTGTTCCCACCCCTACTCCTGTCACCCCTGCAGGGCTGCCTTCCGGGGCCCTCCTCCGTGGGCCCCTCTCTTTCCTCCTGCCTTGGAGCCTTGGTTCAGTTGCTCTGCGAGTTGGGACAGTGCCTCTTCCCCACTTCAGTAGACCCCAGCCTAGGGTCTTCTGGACCCTGGCTGCACATTAGAATTTTCTGATTTAACTGGGCTGGGGCCTGTTTTAAATTGAGATATAGTTGGGTGTGGTGGCTCACGCCTATAATCCCAGCACTTTGGGAGGCTGAGGCAGCCAACTTACTTGAACTCAGGAGTTTGAGACCAGCGTGGGCAACATGGCGAAACCCCATCTCTACCAAAAAAAAAAAAAAAATTAGGTGGCCGTGGTCGTGCATGCCTGTAATCCCAGCTGCTTAGGAGGCTGAGGTGGGAGGATCAGCCGAGCCCAGGGAGGTTGAGGCTGCAGTGAGCTATGATTGCACCACTGCACTCCAGCCTGGGTGATGGAGTGAGACCCTGTCTCAATCAGTCAATCAGTTAATCAATTAATTAAAGTACAAAGTGCACGTCAGTGAACATGAGCCACTACACAGAACAAGATATAGAACACTTCCCGCATCCTGGAAGGTTCCCTCCTGCTCCTTCCCAGTTAATGTCTGCCCCTGGTAACCAGTCTTCTGACTGTCAGGATCAGGTTTGCCTGTTATGGAACTTCACAGACATGGAATCACGTGGAATGTGCTGTTTGGTGCTCAGTGCTCTGTCTGTGAGAGTCCCCCGTGCTCCGGTGGGCTGAGTGGTTTTCCCTTCTCTACCACTGTGTAGTTGGCGTAGGTCTAGTTTCTGGAAAATACTCTGAGCTGAAGGTTTGGATGCAGGAGGTTTGGATGCAGGAGGTTGCTCTCGGAATCAACAGGATTGAAGGATGGAGGACTGGACTGAAGGAGAAGTCACAGTAGAGGCCTCAGCTGACCCCACATGGAACCCTGAAGCTGGGGTGACTCTTGAACATCATACCATATTAAGACAAGGGGCCAGGGCTTTGCACCCTCGCATTGACCAGTCACTGGACGCAGGCTGTCTCTGGGGAGGAGGCATAACCTTTGACGAGGTGGCTCCCTTCAGCCAAGGGCAATGCCCAGAGAGGGACTCAGCCGTGGACCATGAGCAGGCAACACTCCCAACAGCTGGGGTCAAAAGTGACCTCACCCTGGGAAGGTGGCAAACCTACAGCATCCACTGCAGCCTGCCCCTCATGCTACTTGGAAATCTGAGCCCTTATAATAATTCATCCCACCTGGGAACAGCTTCTTCAGGGTCCTGGTTGGTCTCTTTTCCTGGGGAGGCTTATAAGGGGAAGGTCAGTGAGATAAGCCACAGTCCCGCTGCTGCAGCAGGACTCTGGGCCACAACAGACACTTGCACTCTCCCTCTTCAATGACCCTGACCTTGGCCAGCACCTCTGTTGGTCTGGGTGGCTTCCCTTTTGAGGGGACCTGGCCCCTCATGTCTGAGGGAGTCTGAGTCTCTGGCCATCCTGCTCTCCTCAGACCCTGACCATTGCCCTTTCCCATTTCCCATCAATACCAGGCAAGGGAGCACCAAGAGATGTCCCAGGGAATTACCTGGCTGCCAAGGCTATTATTCTTCCCTGCCCCTTGCCATACAAACAGTGTGAGGCTTGTACAGAAGGCCCAAGTGGATGATCAGGGCCAGTTATTCCTGCCAGGATGGTGACTCTGTGTTGTTGTTTTTTCCCTGCTGGTTTCTTGCCACAAGGGGCCTGAAGGGAAGTGGTGGCAGTTACAGCTGAAAGTTTAATGTGACTCTTGCTGTCTCTTGGTGGAACTATTTCCCCTTTGGGAACCAGGATTTCTAAACTTGCAGTGCCCAGAGTTGTCCCTGGGTGTGGTGGTGAATGGGGCTGCTCCTACTTCTACCCCATAGTTCTTAGATGCATGTATTCTAGTCCCATTAGGGACTCAGCACCATACAGTAGTCATTAGAGTGTGTGCCATGTTCCAGAAGACAGCTCACCATCCTTGCAGGAGATCAGCTCCAAGCTGGCACCTCATCTGCATCTTTTTATTATTATTTATTTGATTGATTGATTTGTTGCCCAGGCTGGTCTTGAGCTCCTGGGCTCAAGCAATCCTCCCTCCTTTGCCTCCCAAAATGCTGGGATTACAGGCGTGAGCCACCTCACCCGGCCTATTATTTTTTAAAGTGACAAATAAAAATTGACTATATTGGCTGTGCGCAGTGGCTCACACCCGTAATCCTAATACTTTGGGAGGCCGAGGCAGGTGGATCACTTGAGCCCAGAAGTTCGAGACCAGCCTGGGCAACATGGTGAAACCCTGTCTCTACTAAAAATACAAAAATTAGCCAGGTGTGGCGGCATGCCCCTGTAGTTCCAGCTACTTGGGGGGCTGAGGCAGGAGGATCGCTTGAGCCAGGGAGGTGGAGGTTGTAGTGAGCCGAGTTGGTGCCACTGCTGCACACCAGCCTGGGTGATAGAGTGAGAGTTTGTCTCAAAAAAAAAAAAAAAGTATATTTTTATGGTGTGCAACATGATGTTTTGAAATTGTGGAATGTCTAAATCAAGCTAATTAACATATGCATGACCTCACATATTTTTATGGTGAGAATACTTAAAATCTATTCTTGTAGCAATGCTCAACAATACAGCACGTTGTCATGAATTACAGCCACCATCCTGTACAGTAGAGCTCTTGGTCAGCTGCATCCAAAAGGCTGTTGCATCACCCCATCCAGCAGCAGTGCTGGGTGGTGCGGTGTATGGTGAGACCCGCAGGCCTCCACGTCGAAAACCCACAGCCACACCTCCTTCAATGGCAGGTAGTTTCAGAGGCAGACAGTTTCAGAGGCTTCCAAGAGCTATCATAGTAGCTCTTGCCCCGCAGGCCAAAGCACCAGTGTGGGGGTTCTGCAATGTGTGTCTATTCCAGTTATACACTCAGGGACCAGTGAGACTACCACTGGATGTCCTGTGGATCCACTGGACTCCCTGTGAGCCGAAGCTGGGCCAGGACTCCACTCATCACCTGCCCCCATATGCTTCCGCCCTAACAGGGGGCCACGATGCCTCTTTGGGTCCCCAGACCAATGTCCATGTGGACCCTATGTCTGACAGTCTTTGAAATGCCTGGGTATTCATCTTTCTCCCACATATAGTTACTCACATAAAAAGCGTGTAAGCCCTTCTTGGGAGGGACTGATGGAATCATCATCACATGTGCTGATTCTGGGGTTGCAGGGTCCTTCCTTCTGGGGACCTGGTCTCTCCTTCAGTCAGTTGGATCTGAAACCTTACTCAGATCTGGAAACTTCTCAAAGGACCAGGACTTTCCATTGGGTTGCTGCCCTTAACCCCCATCATGAAGCCTTGGATGTTCTCTCTTGTTTTTTTTTTGTCACCCAGGCTGGAGTACAGTAGTGTGATCAGGGCTCACTGATGGCAGCCTCGACCTCTGGGTTCAAGTGAGCTTCCCACCCCAGCCTCTTGAGTAGCTGGGACAACAGGCATGCACCACCACACCTGGCTAATTTAAAAACTTTTTTTTTTTTTTTTTTTTTGTAGAGACAGGGTCTCCCTATGTTGCCCAGGCTGATCTTGAACTCCTAGGCCCAAGGGATCCTCCCACTTACGCCTCCCAAAGTGCCAGGATTACAAGTGTCAGCCACCATGCCCAGCTCTTGGACTCTTTTGATTGCATCAAGTGGGCAGTGTCCTTGTTTGCTGCCCTTCTGGCTTGCCCTGGGACACAGAGTCTATGAACCATTTCCATGGCTTGGCGGGTCTGGCAGCTCTGACCCAGCTGCTAGCGGTGGTAACTGCCTCCATCTCATGACTCCTGAGCCTGCCCTTCTGATGACCGAGCGCCGCCACCTGGCCTCTTCCTTCAGGATCCTGTCATCCGCACTGTTGTCAGGGCACCCAGTTCTGTAACTGCAGCTCCAACTAGCAGGTCTTCAGAGGACATTCACCTGAGCTTCTTAGGGGCTTTCCCGTTGGCCCTGGTAAATGAGGTGCCTGCCCGGCCTTCCTGAAGAAGACAGATAGTGAGTGGGTTTCTGGCCAGACATGGCGGAAACCCAAGCATGCCCCCCTTCTCCAGGCCTTTGGATCCTTTCTTCCACTGCCTGACACGGCAGCCCTGGCGTTTCTGCTTCTACTGTGGGCTTTCGTTTTCTCCAAGCAGCATGTTAAGGCCCTCTTGCCAGGGTGTTAATTCTCGTATTATGGGATTGACTCTATTTTATCCCACTTGATGTCCCACCCCCGCCCTTGGGCCAGCCCCTGATCCTCTGCATAGTCTTCGAGCAGGGGGAGTGCTCGCCGGGGGTCACTTCTGCACCTCACTCTTTCCCAAGCAGGTTCTGACCTTGACGCAGCCGACTCATCGTGGGCTGAGCATTGAACTTCTTCTGTTTTACGCTCCCCTCATAACTGCGCCCTGGGCCCGCTCCTCAGCTTTTTCCTCTCCAGCTGCAGGAGAGGAGGATCTATTTGCTGCTAAAGAGGCCCTTGGCTTTCTCACTTGGCCTTAAATTAGTGATGAGTCACACTCAGCCTTGCGTTGTCTTTCTCTAGTGCACGCGGGCCCCAGCACAGCCGTCTCCTTCCACAGGCTTTATAATTAATTACCACTCCCCCAGCCTCTCCAATTCGGGAGCTCTTGTCCCTGCAGTGCGGTCCCTTCCCTGCTACCTGCTGGGTTCCAGCTCTCCTAGCACCAGTGACAGTGGGCGACCCAGCTTCTGGGTCCCAGTGTTCAGAGGCTGCTTCCTAGAATCAGTCCTGACACCAACTGGGGTAGGTTAGGTTCTGACTTGGAGACTTGTGTGCAGGAGGGTCGCTGCTGGGAAGTGCCCCTTAGAACACCACGTATAAGAGGAGAGGGCTGTGTGCTCCATGGTGTAAATGCACCACATTTTCTTTTCTTTTTTTTTTTTTGAGGCGAAGTTTCGCTCTTGTTGCCCAGGCTGGAGTGCAACGACGTGATCTCGGCTCACTGCAACCTCCGCCTCCTGGATTCAAGTGATTCTCCTGCCTCAGCTTCCCGAATAGCTGGGATTACAGGCACCCGCCAACATGCCCAGCTAATTTTTGTATATTTAGTAGAGACGGGGTTTCACCATGTTGACCAGGCTGGTCTTGAAGTTCTGACCTCAGGTGATCCACCCGCCTCAGCCTCCCAAAGTGCTGGGATTACAGATGTGAACCACCGCGCCCGGCCCCCACATTTTCTTTAATCCACCACATTGATTCCCTTTTTTTGCTATTGTGACTAGTGTAAAGATGAACATACAAGTGCATGTTCTTTTTGGTGGAATGATGTGTTTTTCTCCGGGTATATACCCCAGTAATGGGATTGCGGGTCAAATGGCAATTCTGTTTTCAGTTCTTTCAGAAATTTCTAAACTGCTCTCCATAGTGGCTGAAATCATTTACATTCCCACCAACAGTGTATATGTGTTCCCTTTTGTCTGCAGCCTTGCCTGCATCTGTTCTTTTTTGACCTTTTTTTTTTTTTTTTTTTTTTTTGAGGCAAAATCTCACTCTGTTGCCCAGGCTGGAGTGCAGTGACACAATTTCTGCTCATTGCAACCTCTGCCTCCTGCCTCTTGGGTTCAGGCAATTCTCCTGCCTCAGCCTCCCTAGTAGCTGTAGCTACAGGCACGCATCACCATGCCCAGCTAATTTTTATTTATTTTTATTTTTTTTTGAGACAGAGTTTCGCTCTTGTTGCCCAGGCTGGAGTGCAATGGCACGATCTCAGCTCACCACAACCTCTGCCTCCTAGGTTCAAGCGATTCTCCTGCCTCAGCCTCCCGAGTAGCTGGGATTACAGGCACGTGCTACCATGCCCAGCTAATTTTGTATTTTTGTAGACATGGGGTTTTGCCATGTTGGTCAGGCTGGTCTCGAACTCCTGACCTCAAGTGATCCACCCACCTCAGCCTCCCAAAGTGCTGGGATTACAGGCATGAGCCACTACGCCCGGCCTGGAGGCCATAATTCTAGTGAATTAATGCATGAACGGAAAACCAAATAGTGCGTGCTCATTTGTAAGTGGGAGCTAAACATTGAGCACCCAAGGATATAAACATGGGAATAGTAGACACCATGGACTTCTAGAGGAGGGAAGGAGGGAGCTGTGGGTCATGAAACTACCTACTGGATAGTATGCTCACTACCTGGGTGCAATATATACCCATGTAACAAACCTGCACGTGTACTCCTGTATCTAAAATAAAAGTTAGAAATAAATAAAAACCACACACATGAGAAAAGAGCATAGGGAAGTGGAACAGGGCAGAAGAGTGGGAGAGGGTGAGCTAAGATGCCCTTTTAACACAGGCCTCAGTTGATCCCATATGGAGCGCTGGGGCTGGGAGGACACTTCAGAGTTGTCCCAAATCAAGCAAGGGATCCAGGCCTGGGTCAAGCACTTGTTGGATATGAGTTGCCCCTGGGAGGGGGCCAGCAAGAGGAGGGCAATTCTTGGAAAAGAACTCTCAGAATTGTCAGCAGTGAATATCCCCTGCAGCTGGGGGATGGAGTGTCTTCACCCTGATGCTGGACTTTGGGGTGGCACAGGGCATAACATTGTACACAGTATATCTGCTTAGTCTTTCAGCTATTGGTGGACACGTAGGTTGTTTGGGGGCTACTATGAATATGGTTGCTGCAAGCATTCATGTGCGTGTCTTTTGGTGGCCTGGGCACTCATTTCTGCTGCATGTAAACCCAACGGTGGAAGTGCTGGTCTAAGGGATATGTGTGCCAAACTTCAGTAGAGATTGCTGCATAGTTTTCAACATGGCTGATCCCATTTTACAATCCCACCAGCAGTGTTTGAGAGTTGTGATTACTCTGCATCCTCGCCAACACTTGATATTATCTGTCTTTTCATTTTAGCCACCCTGATGGTCCAGACATCACTGATTCTGTTGTGAACCCTGGTGGGGAACCAGTGCTCCCCAATGGGTAGGAGGACGTGAGATGTGGGGAGCCCTTGGACCACCCCCACTTGACTACCTGATTCTAATACCAAGGGTCTTCAAAACCAAATCCTGGCAGACACATTAGAGTATTATCAGATCGTAACATCCTCAAGTGCCCAGGCTTGTCCAGCTCCTTTCAGCATGGGATTCCAGCTATCAGATGTGGGAAGGGAGCAGGGGTAAGCTTCGCTGCCTGGAAGGCCAGGCTTCTGTGGACACTAGGAAGCAGCTGCTTTGACTTGCCCTGTCCAGCATTTCATGGCCTCCAATGCACTTTCTCATCTTAGCTCCTTTGGTTCTCATAATAGCTCTAAAGGCAGCAAGAGAACAGAATATCAGCTCTATTTGACAGAAGACAAAACTGAGGCCAGTTACTTGGGCAAAGTCACACAGAAATCAGTAAAAGTGAGCCTGAAACCAAGCTGTAGATTCCAAGTCTGGGACACAAAATTTACCTACTTGTTAGTTTTATTGGCCTATCTTACCCTCCCCTTCCTTTAGAAAGCAACTCAGGCTGGCTCCTTGGTAGAGTTACCCTGCTCTGCCCAGTTCCCCAGTGCCCATCCCCATTCTTTGTTTCATGGTATGCCCCTACCTCTTGCTCATCAATGTCCTCTTAGAAGCAGGTCATTCCCAGAGCTCTCTGTGCTTAAATGTTAGACCAGAGCTTCTCCAAGTTTAATGCACACAGGTGTCTTCTGGGGGCCTTTTAAAAAGATTCTGATTCAGTAGGTCTGGTGGTCCTAAGAGCCTGCATTTCTTTTCTTTGTTCTTTTTTGAGACAGAGTCTTGCTGTGTTGCCCAGGCCTGAGTGCAGTGACGCATTCATAGCTCACTGCAGCCTCAACATCTTGGGCTCCAGCAATCCTCCTACCTCAGCCTCCCAAGTAGGTGGAACCACAGTTGTGCACCCCCCATGCCTGGCTAATTTTTAAATTTTTTGTAGAGATGGTGTCTGGCTGTGTTGCCCGGGCTGCTCTTGAACTTCTGGGCTCAAGCAATCCTCCTACCTTGGCCTCCCAAAGTGCTAGGCTATGAGCCACCAAGCCCAGCCACAGCCTGCATTTCTAACAAACTCCCAGGTCATGCCAGTGCTGCTGGTCCTTGGACCATACTTTGAGTATCGAGGCATTAGATCACTTCCCCAGCTATCGGCTGTATAGGCAGGTTTTTATGCTGTGCTCATCCTCTCCCTCAGAGCTCAGGCAAACACTGGTTGGTTGCTGTCTGAACTCTGGCACCAGTGCTAGTTACTGTAAGTCCAAGCCTCTCTCTGGTTTTCCCATTATGGTATTTACCATTCAAGTCATTTGGCTCAGTTCAAGGCGCCTCACTCTTAACACCTCTCTCAGAAGCACCTCTATTCCCTCCCTCTGCCAGCTCGCTTGTCTTTCCTCCTCCATCAACACTCCTAATTCCTACCCTCTCCTCCTCCAAAATGGGCAGGATCTCAGCTAGGCATTAGGCAAAAAGCTAGCTGAGTGCGCTTATTTATACTAAGGTGTGAATGACTCACATCTCTTCCCTTAACTCTCCCAGTGGTTATTTAGATGTGCAAAAGGAGCTTTTGGTTGTTGGAAATGGTGACAGTGAGGGAAAGAACAAGAAATATTCAGGAATTCTTTCCTTTACCACCTAACATTTCCCATATATGGGCTAATGATTGGAATCACATGAAGGAACTTTACAAGTCAAAACTAAAACAGGGACAGTTGGATTTTACCCTAGATCAGCAGAATCAGAATCTCCAACGTGGGGATCAGGAATATCCTTTTTTTTTTTTTTTTCCAGACGGAGTCTCACTCTGTCACCCAGGCTAAAGTGCAGTGGCACTATCTTGGCTCACTGCAGCCTCCACCTCCCGGGTTCAAGTAATTCCCCTGCCTCAGCCTCCTGAGTAGCTGGGATTACAGGCGCGCGCCACCACACCCAGCTAATTTTTGGATTTTTAGTAGAGACAGGGTTTCACCCTGTTGGCCAGGCTGGTCTTGAACTCCTGATCTCAGGTGACCCGCCCACCTCGGCCTCCTAAAGTGCTGGGATTACAGGCGTGAGCCACCGTGCCCAGCCAGGAATGTGTATTTTTTAAAGGATATTTTGTTGCACACACAGGTTTAGAAACTACTTCCCTAAATCATACCAGTTGTGTTTCCATCTCCCCCGTTTCTAAAGGAGAGATTACTCAAAGGGTCCCTCTGTCTCGCCCAGGCCCAGGAGAATGTAGAGTGGGAAGAAATGGGGCATAGGAGAGGTGTTAAGGTCTAACTCCTATCAGAACTCAACTGTTTACAGGCCCCTTATCCTTGGTGAAGCTGAGCCTCAGTTTCCCCATCCCTACAACAGGGATGAAGCCAGCTGCCTGCTGCTCCCCTGTGTGGTTGTAGCTGGAGAGCAGAGAGGCAGCAAGTTGTGCAGATGCAGGTGATTGTGCCATAGGACTAAAGGCAGCCTATGGTGGGGAGGGTGAGGGACCAAAACCTGGCTGGAGAGGCCCAGCACCTGGGCTGAGTGAAGCCTTGGTCACAATGGCTCATTGGGGATAATTGCTGCGGTAATTATGAAGATTGCACAGGCAAATGGATTCTAGTTTACATTCTGCTCTCCTGCAAAGGTCATCTGTAATTGCCTGATTTCCTCCCTACAGTGGGGAGGAGGCTACGGTGGGGGCCTGTCAGAGGGTCACTGGGCTGCAGGCCCAGGCTGAGGGGGGTGGGGGCTGAGGTCTTCTGGGGTGATCTCTGCCAGCCTGAGGCGGGAGGCACATGGGTGAGCTCTTGGCGCAGAGGCTGCTCGGCCTCCTCCTGCTGGATGGTACCCCAGCTCCTTAGTGCTCCTTCAGCTGCGCTGGCTGGAGACGGGAGAGGCAGAGCTTGCTGACTCGTGGGAAGACTGATGCTGAGGCTGAGGCCGTGGCTTGTCCTGTCTGTGAGTCTGTTTAGAAGCCTCAGCTGCACACCCTACTCCATCTGACATGCTCCCTTCTCTGGTCATCTTTCTGTACAAATGAAATGGTTAGACCAGACAAAATGGCTTTGGGTGGCCCCTTCCAACTCTGGATTCCTGGATTCCAGGACTCCAGCCTGTGGTCCCCAAGTTTTGTGGAAGATTTGTGCATAGGCTTTGGAGCTGGATACAATAGAGTGAATCCTGGCTCATTCCTGCTGTGTGACATTAGACAATTGACTTTACCTCTCTGAGCTCCAGTTTCAACTTAAAAAAAAAATAGAGATAATGATATGCATCTCTTTCTCTCTCTCTCTTTTTTTTTTTTTTTTTTTTGAGACAGAGTCTCATCTTGCTCTGTCACCCAGGCTGGAGTGCAATGGTGCAATCTCGGCTCACTGCATCCTCCACCTCCCGGGTTCAAGCAATTCTCATGGTTCAGCCTCCCAAGTAGCTGGGAATACAGGCGCCCACCACCGCACCTGGCTGATTTTTTTTATTTTTAGTACAGACAGGGTATCACCATGTTGGCCAGGCTGGTTTCGAACTCCTGAGCTCAGGTGATCCTCCTGCTTCAGCCTCCCAAAGTGCTGGGATTACCGGCTGAGCCCCGCGCCCAGCCAATGGTGTGCATCTCTTAGGGTTGTTGAGATTAAAGGAGATAATGATGGAATATATAACTGACATTATTGAGTGCTTCCTGTGTGTCAGGCACTGTTCCAGGTACTTTTCATGCCTTAGCCCAGGTATCCTCCCAGTTGCCCTGTGAGGTAGGTGCTGCTATCATCCGCGGTTAAAGATGAGGAGGCACCGTGGAAAGCTTGGGCAGATAGGCTTTCCGCAGAAGTCAGCTGCTGCAACAATTGGGAAGCTTCTCCAACGAGGCTCCTCGCAGGCTCACCTTGAGCTCTTCCTCCTTCTTGGAATCCCCTCCAAGGGTGTGCGTGCCCCAGCCCTGCCCCCAGGCAGCCACACCTCTCTGATTCTGTGAACAGACAACCTGCCCCACACTGTCCATCACTCTGTTGCCATCCGACTCTGTGGTCTCTCTCGATCCCTCCCACGCTCTGCTGGGGCTGAACCCATGGTCAGTTCTTGTTCATCTTCTTGAATGCACCTGTCAAAGCAATGGGCATGGCATGGTGCTGGGAGGCCCATTTATTTGAGAATTTCTAGGGCTAGAATCTCCCAAAGTCCCCACTGGGCCCAGTGTATACCCTATTCTATGTGTCCATGGGCCACGCCTCATGCTAGAAACTGAGAATACAGAGACTAATACAATTGGGACTAAGATTTCAGTGTAGTAGACAACGGTTTCATTCCAGGCTGCCCATGGGAATCACCTGGAGAACCTTGAGTTCTGATGCCTGTGCCCCACCACAGAGATTCTGGGGTGCAGAAAAGTCCTTTGCCTGTTTTTTGTTTGTTTTGTTTGTTTGTTTGTTTGTTTGTTTTGAGACGTGGTCTCCCTCTGTCACCAGGCTGGAGTGCAGTGGCACGATCTCGGCTCATTGCAACCTCTGCCTCCCGGGTTCAAGTGATTTTTCTGCCTCAGCCTCCCAAGTAGCTGGGACTACAGGTGCGCGCCGCCACGCCTGGCTAATTTTTGTATTTTTAGTAGAAACGGAGTTTCACCATATTGGCCAGGCTGGTCTCGATCTCCTGACCTTGTGATCCACCCGCTTCAGCCTCCCAAAGTGCTAGGATTACAGGCACGAGCCACCGCGCCCGGCCCTTTTGCCTGTTTTTTAACTGGGTTGTTTGGTATTTTGTTATTGAGTTGTAGAAGTTCTGTATATATTCTGAATATTAATCCCTCATCAGATATATGATTTGCAAGTACTTTTTCCCATGCAGCAGCCTGGTCTTGAGGAGTTTTAAAAGTGTCCCGGCTGGGCACAGTGGCTCACACCTGTAATCCCAGCACTTTGGGAGGCCGAGGCAGGTGGATTGCTTGAGCCCAGGAGTTTAAGACCAGTCTGGGCAACATGGCAAAACCTTGTCTTGACTAAATACACAAAAAAATTAGGCATGGTTGCACACACCTGTAGTCCCAAGTACTCTGGAGGCTGAGGTGGGAGGATCACCTGAGCCCGGGAAGGTCATGGCTGCAGTGAGCTGTGATTGCACCACTGCACCCCAGCCTAGGCCACAAAGCAAGACTTTGTCTCAAAAAAAAAAAAAAAAAAAAAGTGTCCCAGGTAAGAAAACTGGATATCCACATTCAAAAGAATGAAATTGGATCCATACCTTGTACCACAGTGGGCCCCAGCGTTTTTGGCACCGGGGACTGGTTTCGTGGAAGACAGTTTTTCCACAGACTGGGGTTGGGGGGTGGTTTTCCACAGACCAGGGTTAGGGGAGGGTTGGGGGATGATTCAAGCACATTACAATTATAGGGTACTTTGTTTCCATTATTATTACATTATAATATATAATGAAATAATTATACAACTGGCCATAATATAGAATCAGTGGGAGCCCAGAGCTTTTCCTACAACTAGACAGTCCCATCTGGGGGTGATGGGAGACAGTGACAGATCATCAGGCATTAGATTCTCATAAGGAGTGTGCAACCTAGATCCCTCGCATTCACAAGTTCACAGTAGGATTTGCGCTCCCATCAGAATCTAATGTTGCCAGACAGGAGGCAGAGCTTAGGCGGTAATGTGAGTGAGGGGGAGTGGCTAAATACAAGGTTCCTTGCTCACCACTTACCTCCTGGTGTGCAGCCTGGTTTCTAACAGGCCACAGACCAGTAGCAATCTGTGGCCCAGGGGTTGGGGACTCCTGTTATACTAGATACAAAAATTAACTCAAAAATGAATCAAAGACATAAATATAAGAACTAAATTTTTTAAATTCTTGGAAGAATATATAGGGACAGGCTAGACCCAGTGGCTCACGCCTGTAATCCCAGCACTTTGGGAGGCTGAGGCGGAAAGATCACTTGAGGTCAGGAGTTTGAGACCAGCCTGGCCAACATGGTGAAACCCCATCCCTACTAAAAATACAAAAAAATTATGCAGGCATGGTGACGGGCACCTGTAATCCCAGGTACTCAGGAGGCTGAGGCAGGAGAATTGCTTGAACCCGGGAAGTGGAGGTTGCAGTGAGCTGAGACGGTGCCACTGCACTCCAGCCTGGGCGACACAGTGAAACTTCGTCTCAATAAAAAAAAAAAGAAAAAGAAAATATAGGGAAGAATCTTTATGACACTGGATTTGGCAATAGTTTCTTGGATATAACACCAAAAGCACAGGCAACAAAAGGAAAAAAATAAATTGAACTTCATTAAAATTTAAAACTTTTGTACATCAGAGGACACTATCAAAAGGGTGAAAAGCAGCCCACAAAATGGGAGAAAATATTTGCAAATCCTATGTCTAATGAGGGGTTAATATCCAGACTATGTATAGAACTTCTACAACTCAATAGCAAAAAAGACAAACAACCCAGTTAAAAAACAGGTAAAGGACTTTTCTCCAAAGAAGATATACAGTTGGTCAATAAGCACAGGAAAAGATGTTCAACATCTCTGATCATTAGGGAAATGCAAATAAAAAACACGAGATACCACTTCACACCCATTATGATGGCCATTATAAAAACAGAAAATAACAAGTGTTGGGAGTCTCTGAGCCTACTCTGGTTTGGGAGGCTGCCTGATTCGCAAATAAAAATAATAAAATTAAATTAAAAAACGAGTGTTGCAGGGAAGTGTAGGAATTGAAACACTTGTATATTGCTGATGGGAATGTAAACTGGTACAGCCACTGTGGAATTGTCAATAAGCAGCAATATTTTGAAAGGAATCTTTTTTTCTGAGCAGTAGGTCTCAACAGTAGGCTTAAAACATTCAGTAAACTGTGCCGTCAACTTGGATGTGCTGTCATCCAGGCTTCCAGGCTTTGTTGTTCCATTTACAGACGCAGGCAGAATAGATTTAGCATAATTCTCAAGGGCCTTAGAATTTCAGGAATGGTAAATGAGCACTGGCTTCAACTTAAAATCACCAGCTGCTTTAGCCCCTAACAAGAGAGTCAGCCTGTCCTTTGAAGCACTGAAGCCAGGCATTGACTTCTCTCTAGCTATGAAAGTCCAAGATGGCATCTACTTCCAGTAGAAGACTATTTCATGGACATGGAAAAATCTGTTGTTTAGTGTAGCCACCTTCCACAGTGATCTTAGCTAGATCTGGATAACTTGCTGCAGCTTCTACATCAGCACTTGCTGTTTCAACGTGCACTTTGCTGTTATGGAAATGGCTCCTCTCCTTAAGCCTCATGAACCAACCTCTGCTAGCTTCAACCTTTTCTTCTGCAGCTTCTTCACCCCTCTCAGACTTCATAGAACTGAAAAGCATTGCAGTCTTGGATTAGGCTTTGGCTTAAGGGAATGTTGTAGCTGTTTTCATCTTCTATTTAGACTACTAAAACCTTCTCCCTGTCAGCAATAAGGCTGTTTTGTTTTCTTATCATTTGTGTGTTCACTGGAGGAACACTTCTAATTTCCTTCAAGAACTTTTTCTTTGCATTAACACTTGGCTGCACTCCAGCCTGGGTGCCTCCACTTCCCAAAGTGCTGGGATTACAGGCATGAGCCACTGAGGCTGGCCTCCAATTTTTAAAAAAATTACTTAGCGTGTATAGTTTGGTAGACAAAAATCTTTTTTCAAGACAGGGGATTCCTTGGGTGAAGAAATACCTAAAGGGTCCCATGGTGGTGAAGGGGTTAGAAATTGCTAATCTGGTCCAACCCCCTCAGTTTGAGGGGAGCAGACCTACACCCAGAGAGGGGAGGCACCTGGACCAGGCAGCCTAGCTAGGAGCAGACGAGGTCAGGGCTAGAAGCCAGGACCCGGGCTTGTTGAAGAAGCCAGTTCTGGGCAGGTTTCTTGGGTCCCAATGTGTGCATGTCTGCCCCAAGCTGTCAGCTCCCCCAGGATGGTGACAGTGTCTTTAGCATTTTTTTTGATCAGTGACCAGAACAGGTGGGGAGGTTTAAAAGTCTCTTTGATGGTGGCGTGATAAGATAGGACCTGTTCTCAAGGTGTAGTCAATAGAACACCAATATCAGCATGGGGAACTTTCAGAAAGGTAGGTTATTAAAAAATGCTAATTTGGCTGGGTGCGGTGGCTCACGCCTGTAATCCAGCACTTTGGGAGGCCGAGGAGGGTGGATCAAGAGGTCAGGAGATCGAGGCCATCCTGGCTAACATGGTGAAACCCCATCTCTACTAAAAATACAAAAAAAATTAGCCAGGTGTGGTGGCGCACAACTGTAATCCCAGCTATTCGGGAGGCTGAGGCAGAAGAGTCTCTTGAACCCAGGAGGCAGAGGTTGCAGTGAGCTGAGATCACACCATTGCACTCCAGCCCAGGAGACAGTGCAAGACTCTGTCTCAAAAAAAAAAAAAAAAAAAAAGCAAATTATTGGGGCCCACTACAAACTTGCTGGGATGGAGAAGTACATTGGTGTTTCTCACACCCACCTGTGAACAC
Organism: Homo sapiens; assembly: GCF_000001405.40. Classification (NCBI taxonomy): domain Eukaryota; kingdom Metazoa; phylum Chordata; class Mammalia; order Primates; family Hominidae; genus Homo; species Homo sapiens. The sequence goes on from NC_000006.12 coordinate 34,502,130, forward strand.
TATCTCCTGGTATTCACACCCTGGTGCAGCGTTTTCCACAGTGACACTAGGCTTGGCAATATGACTTGGTCTTGCCAGTAAGACATTGGCAAGCATGACACAGGTAGAGGTTTGACAGAGAAATGCTCACACACTGGAACTTGTCCTTTGGAATGCTCACTTTTGGAGCCCTGAGTTACCATCTAAGTGGGTCCAGCTATTGTGCTGGAGAGACCACAATGAAGGAGAAACAGAGGGAAACAGGGGAAGGGACAGGGACAAGCATCCAGCCAACTGCCAGCTACTGCAGCCATCCCAGCTGAGGATAAGTCATGTAAATGAAGAAGCCATCTTTTTTTTTTTTTTTTTTTTTTTGAGACGGAGTCTGGCTCTGTGGCCTAGGCTGGAGTGCAGTGGCGTGATCTCGGCTCACTACAAGTTCCGCCTCCTGGGCTCACGCCATTCTCCTGCCTCAGCCTCCAGAGTAGCTGGGACTACAGGCGCCCACCATGACACCCCGCTAATTTTTTGCATTTTTTAGTAGAGACGGGGTTTCACCGTGTTAGCCAGGATGGTCTCGATCTCCTGACCTTGTGATCTGCCCACCTCGGCCTCCCAAAGTGCTGGGATCACAGGCGTGAGCCACCGCGCCTGGCCGAAGAAGCCATCTTGGACATTTTAGCCCCAGCTGAGGGCATGTGGAAGAGAAGAGCCACCCAGCTGAGCCCAGTCAATCCACAGAGTCATCATAAATCATCATTGTTCTAAGTCACTAAAATCTGGTGAGCTTTGCTAGGCAGCAATAGACAACTGAAACCCCTGCTGAATCAGAATCTCTGTGGCTGTGGCCTGAATCTCCATTTTGTACAAACCTCCCGTTGGTCCCGATGCTTACTAAAGTCTGAAGACCCCTGGAAGGGGCACTGCATTTGGAATCCAAAAGCTTGATTCAGGCCAGGCACAGGGCAACATAGTGAGACACTATCACTACAAAAAAACAAACCCAAAAATTAGCCCGGCATGGTGGCCTGCACCTGTAGTCCCAGCTACTCTGGAGGCTGTCCGTAGGAGGATTGCCTGAGGCCAGGAGTTTAAGGCTGCAGTGAGCTATGATTGTGCCACTGCACTCCAGCCTCAGCATCAGAGCGAGATCCTGTCAAAAAAAAAAAAAAGAAAAAGAAAAAGAAAAAAAAAGCCTGATTGAAATTCCCAGGAGCTATGTGACTTTGGACAATTCCTTAGCATCTTTCATACTCCAATGCTTTGTGTGAGATGAGTAAAGACTCCAGAGAGCAATGGGGAGGAAAGTGCTTTGTGAATCGGAAACACCAGATGGAAGTCAGAGTGAGTATCGTCAGCACCGTTAGCCACACTGGAGCATGCATTGAACACTGCTGCATGCCCAGCCTGGTGCAGGCTGCTATGTTGGACTGTGGTTGCGAGTACCCTTGCCCTATTTAATTCCCCTCAGGTACCAGAGGTGAGAATGTGGGCTAGGGGTGCTCACAGAAGTCACTCAGTCCACCTTACAGCAAGCCCTGTGGTTCCATCTCCGGAGGGTGCCCTGAATCGACCCTTTGCCACTGTACTATCATTGCTCTCACGGACTGTTGCAACAGCCTCTTTTTTGTTGTTTTTAATTGAAGTGTAACTTATAATGTTATATTTTTAAAATTGAAGTATAACACATGTTAGCCATGCAATTCAATGAACTTTACACCTGTGAATACTGCCACCCGGATCAGAATAGAAAATATTTCCAGTGCCCCAGAGGTGTGCTCCTGCCTGTTGACATCTCCCAGAAGCAACTGCTGTTCTGACCTCAATCTCTATGAATTTAGATTTGCCTGTCCTGGATTTATCTGTAGTGTTTTTGAGTGTATCTTTTTGTATAGATTTTTTTTAGTAGTTGCTCTAGGTATTACCATATATATCTACATACCTATATCTATTTGTCTATATCCATGTCCATCTACCCATCCATCCATCCATTCACAGCCTGCTGGTGTCAGTGTTTTACCAGTTCAAGTGAAGTGCAGAAAACTTACTTCCCTTAAGTTTCTTTACCCTCCCATTTATAATCTAATTGTCATCAATATTTCCTCTGCATGTTTTGAGAAGCACATCAGACAATGTTATGTGTGTGTGTGTGTGTGTGTGTGTATATATATATATATATATATTTTTTTTTTTTTTTTTTTAAACGGAGTTTTGCTTTTGTCACCCAGGCTGGAGTGCAGTGGTGCGATCTAGGCTCACTGCAACCTCTGCCTCCGGGTTCAAGCAATTCTCCTGCCTCAGACTCCCGAGTAGCTAGGATTACAGGTGCCCAACACCGCACCCAGATAATTTTTGTATTTTTAGTAGAGACAGGGTTTCGCCCTGTTGGCTTGGCTGATCTCGAACTCCTGACCTCAAGTGATCCACCTGCCTCGGCTTCCCCAAGTGCTGGGATTGCAGGCGTGAGCCACACAACAGGCCGTAATGTTATAATTTTTGCTTCAACCCTCAAACATAATTTGGAAAGCTCAAGAGAAGGAAAGTTGATCATATTTACCCGTATTTTTACTCTTTCCATTTTTCTTTCCTCCTCCCCAGTGTTCCAGGAGGATTCCTTCTTGTATCTTTCCTTTCGGTTTCAAGAACTTCCTTTAACTATTCTTTTAGGGTAGGTCTGCTAATAAAAAATTCTTAGTTTCCTTTATCTGAGAATACCTTGATTTTCCTTCATTCTTGAAGGATATTTTCTCTGGATATATGGTTCTGGGCTGGCAGTTCTTTTCTTTCAGCATTTGAAAACTGTTTTGCCACTTCTTTCTGGCTTCTGTGGTTTCTGATTTTAAAAATCTGCTGTAATTTGTTTTTCCCTGTTATTATTATTATTATTATTATTTTAGATTTTTTTTTAGGAATGAGGTCTCTGTTGGAGTGTCGTGGCACAATCATAGTTCACTGCAGCCTTGAGCTCTTGGGCTCAAGTAATCCTTGGCCCCAGGAGGCCTCAGCCTCCCAAATAGTCAGGACTACAAGTGCACGCCACCACACCCAGCTGATTTAAAAATTTTTTTTTGTAGAGATAGGGTCTTGCTATGTTGCTCGGCCTGTTTTTCCCTTTTAAATAAAGTGTCATTTCTCTCTTTCTCTGTTTTCAAGATTTTTTCATTGTCTTTAGTTTTCAAGAGTTTGACCATGATGTGCCTTGGAGTGGATTTCTTGGGGTTTTACCTGTCTGGAGTTCACTTAACTTCTTAAATCCATTGTTTGTCTTTTGCCAAGTTCAGGATTGTTTTCAGCTACTATTTCTTTGAATGTTTTTTCAGCCCCGACTCTTTCTCCCCTTCCTCTTGGACTCTAAAAACATGAATGTTAGAGCTTCTATTTTAGTTCCACAGGTTCCTGAGGTTCTGTCCTTTTCTTTCTTTTTTTTTTTTTCAAGCCATTTTCTCTCTGTTGTTCAGATTGGGTAATTTCTATTGTTCTATCTTCAAGTTCAATTACTTTTTTTTATCTCTTACCTCCATACTTTTTTTTTTTTTTTTTGAGATGGAGTCTCACTCTCTCACCCACCAGGCTGGAGTACAGTGGCACAATCTCGGCTCACTGCAACCTCTGCCTGCCTGGTTCAAGCGATTTTGTATCTCAGCCTCCCCGGTAGCTGGGATTACAGGTGTGCACCAACATGCCTGGCTGATTTTGTAATTTTAGTAGAGATGGGGTTTCACTATGTTGCCCAGGCTGGTCTCGAACTCCTGGCCTCAAGTGATCTGCCTGTCTTGGACTTCCAAAGTGCTGGGATTACAGGTGTGAGGCACCACACCCAGCCTCCATTCTATTTAGAAAGCTCACTGGACGTTGAGCCCATCCAGTGAGCTTTCTAAAATTCTATCAGTTTGGTTCTTCTTTGTAGTTTCTACATAATTGCTTAGGCTTTCTATTTTTCATTTGTTTCAAACATGTTCATAATTGCGTGCTGAAGCATTTTTACGATGGCAGCTTTAAAAATCCTTGTCAGATAATTCCAGTATTTGTGTCTTGGTGTTGTTGGCATCTGTTGGTTGCCTTTTCTCATTAAAGTTGAGATTTTCCTGGTTCTTGGTGTGACAAAATTTTTCCTTTTTTATTTTTTTGAGACAGAATCTTGCTCTGTTGCCCAGGCTGGAGTGCAATGGCACAATCACAGTTCATTGCTGCCTCGACCTACTGGGCTCAAGCAATCCTCCCACCTAAGCCTTTAAGTGTCTGGGACTGCAGCCATGCACCACCATACCAGGCTAATTTTTTCATTTTGTAGAGACAGGGTCTCACTATATTGCCAAGGCTGGTCTCAAACTCCTGGCCTCAAGTGATCCTCCTGCCTTGGTCTCCTAAAGTGCTAGAATTGCAGGCGTGAGCCATTGCTCATGGCCACAGATTATTTTTGTATTATACCCTGGACACTTGGGGTATTATGTTATGAGATGCCGGATCTTCTTGAAATCTGTTTCAGCAGGCCTCCTTTAACCCTGGGCCTTATTAATGCCAGGTGGGGGTAGAAATCCAGGTCCCCTACTTGACCTTGGTTGACACCCTGGTGGGGGTCAGGGGTGCCTCCTTACTTCTGGGCAGTGGTGGGAGTTCTGGCACCAGTGATCCCTCCCTGCGTGGGAAGGGAGGGTGCCTTGTTACTGCTCCTATGTGGTCTCCACTGACCTGATTACTCTTGGGTGGGGGTGAAGGTCAACCCAGCATGGAGAGGGAGGGGCACCTTGTTATTGCTGGGTGCAGTGGAAGTCCTGGCTCTCCCTCATTCTTCACTGTTGTCACCCTGGCGGTGGGGGATGGGGCTCCTAGTTACGGCCAGGCAAGGCTCCCCACCCGGCCTTTCCTCACAGGGGAGCATGGGCCTGGGGCTGTAGTTTCTTCCATGGTGTTTGGCTACAGTAGGGACGTCATTGTTTTAAAGGTTTTTGTCTTGCTAGGCTGGGTCTCTGCTGATCCTTTGGCTAAAGAGAGCAGGTTTTTTCTATTTTTTGTTTTTGTTTTATTCTTTTTTATTATGTTTTAGACCTATCAGCAGGAAGCAAAGAGCAGGTTTTTCTTGGGGCTGTTTTTGTCTATGTTTATTGGTATTTCTGGGTTGCTGACTTCTTCCAGCTCCAAATCTGGCATATATTGGGCAAAAAGAAAACCCAGGGAACTCACTGCTCTGTCACTGTTTGGTCTTGAGATCTCTAGTCAGTCTGTCTTCTCTCTGCCTTTAAGAGTCTTCTTCTGTTTGTTTTATATATAGGGGTGGTTTTAGCAGGAGGAATGGGGAGAAGTGTGTATACTCCATCTTGTTCAGAATCAGAAGTCCAGATTGATCTATTCTTGAACTTCACATAAATAGAATCTACTGTGTGTGCTCTTTTAAGTTTGGCTTCTCTTGCTCGGCATGATGTCTTTTCAAAAAAACTTTTATTGTAAAAAAAAAAAACCCACATAACATGAGATCTACCCTTCTAACAGAATCTTAAATGTACAATATTAACTACAGGCCCAATGTTGTGCAGCAGATCTCTGGAACTTTCTCATCTTACAAAGATGAAGCTTTATACCCATCGAATAGCAGCTCCCCATTTCTTCCTCCCCTCAGCCTCTGGCAACCACCATTCTCCTTCCTGTTTCTGTGGATTTGACTATTTTAGATACCTCATGTAAGTGGAATAATGCAGTATTTGTCCTTCTATGACTGACTTATTTAAGTTATCATAATATCCTCAAGGTTCACCCATGTTGTGGCTTGGGATAGGATTTCCTTTTTTAAGGCTAAATATTATTCCACTGTGTGTATATACCACATTTTCTTTATCCATTCATCCATTGATGGATATTTAGATTGTTTCCACATCTTGGTAACTGTGAATAATGCTGCGATGAACACAGGAGTACAAATTTGTCTTTGAGACCCTGACTTCAATTCCTTTGGGTAAATACCCAGAAGTGGTATTGATGGATCGTATGGTAGTTCTTTTTTTGTTTGTTTGTTTGTTTGAGACGGAGTTTCGCTCTTGTTGCCCCAGCTGGAGTCCAATGGCGCAATCTCAGCTCACTGCAACCTCCACTTCCTGGGTTCAAGCAATTCTCCTGCCTCAGCCTCCCAATTAGCTGGGATTACAGACATGCGCCACCACACCTGGCCAATTTTTTGTATTCTTAGTAGAGATGGGGTTTCACCATGTTGGCCAGGCTGTTCTCGAACTCCTGACCTCAGGTGACCCACCCGCCTCAGCCTTCCAAAGTGCTGGGATTACAGGTGTGAGCCACCGTGCCCAGCAGTAGTTATTTTTTAAATTTTCTTTATTTTTATATTTATTTTTAGTAGAGACGAGGTCTCGCTATGTTATCCAGGCTGATCTTGAACTCCTGAGCTCAAGCAATCCTCTTGCCTCTGCCATCCAAAGTGCTGGGATTAGAGGCGTGAGTCACTGTGCCCAGCCTATTTTTAATTTTTTGAAAAACCTTTTTACTGTTTTTTATAGCAGCTGCACCATTACACATTCCCACCAACAGGGCACAAGTGTTCAAATTTATCCACATCCTTGCCAACACTTATTTTATTATTATTACTTTTTAAATAATGGCCATCCTGACAGGTATGAGGTGATATCTCATTGTGGTTTTGATTTGCCTTTCCACAATGATTAGTGATGTTGAGCATTTTTTAATATACCAGTTGTTCATTTGTATGCCTTCTTTGGAGAAATGTCTGTTCAAGCCCTTTGCTCATTTTTAAATTTTTTTTAAGCTATCCAGTTATAGGAGTTTCTTATGTATTTTGGATCCTAGTCCCTTGTTAGATATGTGGTTTGCAATTTTTTTCCCCCATTCAGCAGGTTACGTTTTCACTCTGCTGTTTCCTTTGCAGTGCTTAGGCTTTTTAGTTTGATATGTAGTCCCATTTGTCTATTTTTGTTTTTGTTGCCTGTGCTTTTGATGTCAGATCTAAGAAATCATTGCCAAGGCCAATGTCCTGAAGTTTTTCCCTATATTTTCTTCTAGGAATTTTATGGTTTCTGGTTTTATGTTTAAGTTTTTAATCCACTTTGAGCTGATTTTTGTCTATGGTGTAAGATAATGATTCAAATTCATTCTTTTGCATGTAGAAAGCAGTTTTCCCATCACCATTTGTTGAAGAAGAACTATCCTTCGTATCATTTCCCCACTGTGTATTCTTGGCACCCTCACTGAAGATCTGTTGATCATATATGTATGGGTTTATTTCTGGGATCTTCATTCTGTTCCATTGGTCTGTATGTCTTTATTTATTTATGTATTGCTGGTGACCATAATATGCATATATGTCTGTTTTTATGACAGTACCATGCTGTTTTAATTACTGCAACTTAGTAATATGTTTTGAAATCAGGAAGTATGGGGCCTCCAGCTTTGTTCTTCTCAATATTTTTTGGCTATTTTGGGGACCTTTGTGGTTCCTATGATTTTAAGATTTTTTTTTCTATTGCTATAAAAATGCCATTGAGATTTTAAGAGGGATTACATTGAGTCTGTAGATTGCTTTGAGTAGTATGGATATTTTAAGAATATTAAGTCTTCCAATTCATGAACATGAGATGTTTTTGTTTGTTTGTATCTTCTTTAATTTCTTTCATCAATTTTTTATAGTTTTCAGTTTACAAGTATTTCATCTCCTAGGTTAACTTTATTCCTAAATATTTTATTCTTTTTTGATGTTATTATAAATAGAATTGGGTTCTTAAATTTTTTTCAGAAATTCAGAAATTTTAGAAAACTTTCAGAATTTGTCAGAAATTCTTTGTTATTAGTGTACAGAATCAGCTTGATGTCTTGAGATTTATCCATGTGATTATGTGTAGTGGGATCTTTTTCATTGCTGTGTAGTATTCCACTATGTGAACAAACCACACGGTAGAATTTATACAATGATATCCTACACAGCAAACTACCTCAACTATATGCAGTAAACTGCACAATTTGTTTTGCAGCCCCTCTGTGGGTGGGCATTTGGGTTGCTTCCAATTTGGAGATGTTAAGAACGAAGCTTCTATGAACATTCTTGGACGTGCGTTTTCACGGCTGTTAGCCCTAAATATCGCAAAAGCTTCTTAACTGGTCTCCTTGCCTCCACCCCGGTCTCCTAATCACTTCTCCACGTAAAAACCACTGTGATCTTCTGAAAACATAGTTTGGATCCCTTTCTCCCCGTGCTAAAAAATACCAATGGCTTCCCTTCATACTTAGAATAAAATTCAGAGTCCTCACCATGGCCTACAAGGGCCTCTGGGAGCCAGCCCCTGCCTGCCTCTTCTTTATCACTACCTCGTTTGCCACCTCTCTCTGTCTGGCTTGCTCTACCTACCATCCATTCATCCGCCCTCCCATCCACCCACCCAACCATTCAGCTGTGGGCTGCTTTCAATGCGCTCAGCTTACTCCCACCTCTAGGACATTTGCCCTTGCTGTTCCCTCTGCCAGAAACACTCTTCCTTCAAATCATCACATACCTCCCTTTCTCCCTCTTTTTAGATCTCTGTTCAAATGTCATCTCTTCAAAGGAGGATTCTAAAATGTTCCTGCCTCATACTCTCTGTCTCTTTAACCCACGTTATTATTATTGTTATTTTGAGACAGAGTCTCGCTCTCACCTAGGTTGGAGTGCAGTGATGCGATCACGGCTCACTGCAACCTCCGCCTCCTGGGTTCAGGCAATTCTCCTGCCTCAGCCTCCCGAGTAGCTGGGACTACAGGCACATGCCGCCATGCCCAGCTAATTTTTTGTATTTTAGTAGAGACAGGGTTTCACCGTGTTGCCCAGGCTGGTCGCGAACTCCTGAACTCAGGCAATCTGCTCGCCTCGGCCTCCCAAAGTGCTGGGATTACAGGTGTGAGCCACCGCACTGAGCCCACATTATTTTTCTTGGTAGCACTGCTCATCATTTGAACATATTTATGATGTGTCTCCCTTTGGCATGAAATCTCCCTGAGGTTATGGACATCATCTGTTTATCTACCGTGTTCCACCCTAGAGCAGTGCTGCACATAGTTGCAGTCAAGAAATGCTTGTTAAATGCATGAAGAAACTAGCATGGGATTTAGTCAGACACCTCAGTATTGACACCAGCTTCATTTTGCAGCTGTGTATTACAGTATGGGGCGAGCCCCTTAACCTAGGAGTCTCACACTCTGATCACCTGGGATCCTGTGAAAATGCAGATTCTGATGTGGGAAGTCTGGGGTGGGACCTGAAATGCCACATTTCTGACCAGCTTCCAGGTGGTGCCCAGGCTGCTGGGCCTTGGATAGCGAGGCCTTAACTGCCCAGAGCCTCAGTTTCCACACCTGTATAATGGCTCTTTATGAAAAAACACTGGATACGGTATAAAGCACCATGCACAGTGCCTAGATGTAGCAGGGACTCAGTGATTGTAATATTTGTTGCTCCTCCTCCGGGTGCCTGCCAGGGCCACTGGACATTTTCTACCCCCGATCTTCCCCCTCCCAAGTACCCACCCCACATGCTTAGCCACCTACACAGAATCCCACTAAAGCCTTTCCATTTTCTTTCTCTAGAGCTGGCCAGCCCTGCCTGTTGTGGGCTGGGGTTGGGGAGGATTCTGGCATTTTGACAGTCATGGGAATATTATGCAGATGAGATGCAAAGCAGCAGCTAATGAGCACTGATTGCATTTTCCCTGGCTCTGGGGAACACGTGGGATAACTGTGCTGAGCTGGGGAGAGGGGGCAATGAATGCTGTTGGGGAGCTGGATAAGGAGGCAAGGAGGGGGCTGACAGAAGGAGTAGGCATCTCCTAGGGGCATGAGGGCCGCTGCCCTGTGGTGTGGGCCAGACACCCTCCTCTGATCTCACCTGTGGGACAGGAACATGGCTAAGGTCCAGGAACAGGAGCTGAGGTTGGGCATGGAGTGTGTGTGTGTGTATGCGTATGTGCATGTGTGTGTGTATGTGTGTGCCTGTGTGTGTGTGTACATGATGTAGGGGGTGTCCCTGTGCCAGCGTGGGACCTGCAAGTGGGAGAGTAGAGGGCCTTCATTCCCAGCAGCAGTTGGGGCCAGATTAGGCTGACAGTGGGGGTGGGCTGAGGGTGGATGCTCTCTGTGCTGGGGAAGGAGGGGGAGACAGAAGGGGTCAGCTTCTTCCACAGGGCCTGTCTGGAATCCATTGAGTGTGGGAGGACAGGACGTGGGGTCTGCCTGGCAGCAGATGGGGCTGGATCAGGCTGACGGAGGGGTGGGTGGGAGGGCAGCTGTCTTTGGTATCCTTGGATGGAGCCCGGCTCTTTAAGAGAAAGATGATCCAGGGCTGGGGGCCGGCAGGTGGGCAGGGGGCTCTGCTTACAGCACCTGGGAACTCAATCCCTCCCTGTCCCCCAGCTGAGGCCTCCTCACTCTCTAGGAAGCCTCTGCTCTTGGGCGCCGGGAGTCCCCACCCTCCTGGCCTAGGCCTTGACCTGAACTCCCTGCCAAGGACCTCCAGGCCTGGGAATGGCTGACATCAGGCTTCTGGCCCAAGGAACGCAAGGCTGGAAGTCACTTCTGAGGTTGATTGTGGGGTCCTCGTGCCCACCACTTGACTGGGACTTTGAGTACTTACGATCTCATCCTGCCTTTGATCTAAGGATAGAAGCGAACTTGACTATGAAACTTTTAGAAACTGGGTGGCTGGTGCCGTGTTTCCCAATCAGATCTTTCTTAATGGAATCAATGTGAGGCACTGGAAAAGGCTTGGCAGACCGAGGGCTCGAATCCCAGCCTATCCACTGGCTGCCTTTGTCATTGTGGACAAACTGCTCCATCTCTCAGAGCCTATTTCCTAATCAGTCCAGTAGCCTCACCATGCAAGGCCCTGTGACAGCCAAAGACTGCAGGAGAGCCCTTGAGACAGGCCTGGGCTTTCCGAGAACCCACTAGCTCATCATCTCCTCAAGGGCAGGGACTCTGTTTTGCCCACAGCTGTATCTCAGTGTCTAGAACCATCTCTGACCCATGGTAGGTGCCTAGTCAGTGTCTGTTGAATGGATGAAATGCCCCATTTCTGCATCTCAAGATGATTTTTCTCTTATCTCTTGGCATCTCTAATACTGGAATGCTTCATGCAGCTATGTTTGAGTTTCACTGGCAGCAGCCTTGTGATTGAGAGGGGTCTTGGAAGTGATGAATACGGAAGAGCTATCATTATTACAAGAGGGCCTTTTGCTTAATTTGTGGTGGCTTCTGGTTCCTTTCTGTTGTATCTTCCCTCTCTGGGGAGTGTGGGGTCCCTGAGAATTACCCTGGGGCACAGGGGCTGCAGTGACCCTTGCCCGAGGCCCTGCAGTGGTGCTGGGCTGGGAATAGCATGTCCTGTGGGGCATGCTGTGTGTCCTGGGCCCCAGTCCCCACTCTGGTCTCCTGCCACCCACCACCCACACTGTCCCTCCTGGGGGTGGCAGAAGTCTAGAAGCCTGTGTGAAGCTTGGAATTCTCCTCTCTGGGAGAGTCATTTTACTGTGCCCTGTCATAACTCCAAGTACCGATGCTAGAGGGGTGAGTAGGGATATGTGTGAGCCCCCTAGGCTGAGGGGGCTCTAGGGGGGATCTAGTGTGGTTTTCCAGAATGAGAGTGAGGGAGGGTGGGCCCTGTCTCCAACCCCACCCCATCCCCCTTCAGCAGCAGAGCTGAGACACTGCTGAGATCAGATTAGTGCCTGATCCCCAGGTGGGGCGGAGCAGACAGGCAAATCCTCCCCTGGGAGGCCACTCATTATTCAGCCCCTTGATCCTGACACTTCTACTCCCATCCCTGAACCCTGCTCATGAGGCTAGCACCAGGGCTTGTGTGTGCCGCACTGAGTTTGTGTAGGAAGGGCTTGTGTGTTACAGGTTCTGAATCCATGTAGATGTGTGTGCACGTGTCTTAAAGATGTGCGTATGCTGATATTAGTGTCACAGTTACGTGTGTGTGTGTTATAGGTGCACTGTAGGAAGATACACAGACTTGTGGAAATGCATGTGTGCAAATATATGTAATGGGCGTTTGTATCTGTAAGTGTGTTGTTGGGGTGCACATGTCCTGGACACACGAGTGCTTAGGGCCACCCATGTGTGCGCTTGAGTGGTGTGTGGCAGCCATGGCCTGTGGGAGAAGTGTCGGAACTGGCATCACAAGGTCTCGGTGCCGACAGCTAGCCCAGGAACCTTGGACTCTCCAATTCTTTTACAGCTGTGGCCCTCAGCTTCCAATCTGTCAAATGGGTATGAAGCCTTATGGCACGAGGTTGTGCATGAGCATCTCTCACACTCAGCCTGGCCTAGAAAAAACTCAAAATTTTGAATTTTCATCAAATGAGAGAATAAATGATTAAACAAATAGAAATGCTTCACCCAGCAGCAAGCGCTTAGATTTTAAGGACCCAAGCAAAGTGCATGGAAAGGTGCAGCTGTCTGGAAGGACGATTGGGAGGTGGGATCTTGGGGAGAAAGGGAAGAAAGGGGATGGAGCAGGGCTTCCCAGTCGAGGGCGGCGGCCGAGCCTGTGTCCCCACCAGCGTCTCTGTGGCCGTGAAGTGTATGCATGCGTGCCCATGTTGATGCGGCGCCGTGCGGGAGGCGGGCATCCCCTGCTGTACATGGGAGGGAGGCTGTCTGTGCAGAGCATTGCCCAGTTGCCATAGAAACGAGCAGAAGGAGGTGGGTGGCTGGAGAAGGAGGCGGGTCGGGATCGGGGAGTGGGGAGGAGGCAGCGGTGGAGGGAGCTGGCTCCTGCAGTTCTGGCGCTGCTGCCTTCCTGAGTGAGCGGTGGAGGGAACCCTAGAGGACAGAGCCCCCAGCCCGGCAGCAGGCCCCCTCTCCGCCCGCCACCACGGAGGAGAAGGAGGACAGCCAGCCCCTCCAGCCCTGGCCTGGCCCAGCGGGGGCAGTAAGCTCCTACTTGCCCCCAGCTTGGTGCCCACACGGGCCCAGGTAGGCATTTCGATGGCTGGAAGAGGCTGTGTGGAGAGTGGGGAACGGGGCTGCCCTGCCTTCCTACCAGCGGCACCTGATAGGAGCCAAACAGGCCAGCTGGAGGGGCCGGGCCAGGGACCAGGCTGGGGAGCGGGGTGTGGGGCGCAGCCAGCATCCTGAGAGGTCTTGTCAGAACCGTCAGAACCTTGATCCTCCTCATCAGGGGGACTGTCCCTGTTGCCTTTCCTCCTCTGTACCTCTTGTCTCCACCACTGCCACAGGTCCTGACTTTGTAGCCATGCCCCCTCCTTGGGGCAGCAGGCCGAGGGAGGCTGGAGCCTCCAGGGACCCACAGTCTGAAGCTAGACAGGGTATGCGGCAGAGGGCAGGGAGGAGTAAGGATGCCCCTGCCCCACTCAAGGCACTGCTAGGCTCTGGCCATTTGGGATAAGCAGACTCTCCTCCCACCCCCGATGACACCAGAGCCTCCCTGCTGGCCCTGGATGGTCTCAGGCACTGGGCTTAGAGCCCCCTGGTCAGGTCAGAGGCATCTACCTCCTGCCCCAACCTCAGGCCCTTCCCCTTCCTCGTTCTCCCTGGAGACTTAGTGAACTGTCCCCAATCCCAGATCTCCCAAAGGACCCCCATGCCCATCCCCAGCAAGCCCAGGGTCTCCAAGTTGGGGTACCAGGGAGCAGGCCTCTGATGGGGTGGGAGTGCCTGTGGCCCTCCCTCCTGCGCTCCCTGTCCCTCTGCTGCATTGCTCCTGGGGACAGACTCGCTGCTGCTGGGGGAGCTCTTGGGCACTGCCACTGCGGAGGAGCCTCTGCCAGCTGCTCAGGAGGGGGCAGGGTGGGGTGCAGGGGAGGAGCTGGGCCCTCTGCCCCAACTCTGGGCAGGGAGGGGGCTGGAGGGGGCCCACAGGAGTTCACGGTGGGGCACACCTGGTCCAGTTTTGCCCTGAATGGAGCTGAGCCACCTTGGGTGGCATAGGGAGGAGATGCTAGCCTGCAAGGGGCAGAAGGTTGATGTGTGCAACTATGGGCGTGCTTAAGGTCCTGCCCTTCTCCACCTGCTTTCTCTCCCGCACCCCCTGAGAGCCCAGCTGGGTCTTTCACTGGACCACAGTGTGGGGTGTCCCCTTCCCATGGGCACTCGGGTCAGAGGGCCTGGTGCAGGGGCTGAGGAGGGGTCACATGATGGGTAGGGGCATACACGCTGAGAAGCTGGCGTGGCTCTGCTCATTTCTGCAAACGTTAGACGCACATTCACAGAGTGCTGGACTCAGGGGCTCCCACTTTGGGATCAAGGGCCTAGGAGGGAGAAGGGCAGGTCTCGGGGATGGCAGAAACGGGATGCAGATTCGCCTGTGCGCACTGACACTGCCTGCCCCTGCTCCTCCGAACCCCGCACTCTCCTCCTTCCTGACCAGGGTGGGAGCTGATATCTGCCCTGCCTCACCTCCTGCAGCCAGGCCTGCTGGCCTCAGTTGCCCGTCAGCGGCCGCCCCCACCTCCACTGGAGCAGGGGCTGGTGAGGCCTGGAGGGCAGGTTCTTTGGGTGAGAGCTGAAGGAACGTCTGTCCACTCAGCAGGCCCTCCAGGCCTGGCCCCGACCTCCAGCCCCTGGCCTGCCTCCTCTAGGCCCGGGCCCCTCCCTGTCAGGTTGCTGCTTCACAGGTTGGCTCGGGGCTGCCAGGATGGGCTTCTGGGACACATTTCCCTGGCCCAATTCATTGCACACAACGTGCCCACAGCCCAGGGCACCTGCCTGGAAGCCGGATTGAGACTTGACCTCCCCTGGCAGACCTTCTCATGTGAAAGGGAGCTTGAGGGAGGCCCCAGGAGCACTGAGAGGCCTGGAGCTCAGCAGGGGCTGGGGCCTGGGACACAGGAACAATCTGGCTCCCGGCTGGCCCCTCCTCACTGCCCTTGACCCCCGTGCAGGAGCTGGCAAGGGTGAGGAGGTATCTCCAGCTGGCTGTCCATGGGCATCTCAGGGCTCCAGAACTGAGCTCCCATCCCCCCAACGCCGTTCCTCCCTCGGTATCCCCAGCTCAGCAAACAGCAGCTCTGTCTGCCAGCTGCTCTGGCAGGAGCCATCCTTGACTTCTCATCTCACCGCCACATCCAAACCATCGGCAGATCCTGTTGGCTGGAATGCCACAGCACTTCCAGACTCCAGCCTCTTCCCGCTCCTTCTAACATTACCTCCTCATTCTGAGCCCCCATCTTCCCTCACCTGGGGGACTGCAGCCACCTCCTAGAGCTTCCCTGCCCACTCTGCCCCACCATGGTCTGCTCTTCCCCCAGCAGCCACAGATCCTTTAAAACAGAAGCCAGATCACATCCCACCTCTTCCCAAACCCTGCAATGGCTCCCATCTCACTCAGAAAAAGCTAAAGGCCTCCCTCTGACCTACAAGGCCCTCCCCAGTTCCCTCCCCCAACCTCTCCAGCCTCACCCCTCCCCTTCCCTCATCTGCGCAGGCCACATGACCCCCTTGCTCCTCAAGCCTGGCAGCCGGCTTCTGCCCCAGGGCCTTTGCATGGGCTGTTCAGGCTGCCTGAGTGCTCTGCCTGGCTCCCTCTCCACCTTCCTCAGGCCTTTGCTCCAAGGCCACCTGCTCAGAATGACCTTCTCTGACCATCCTCCATAAAAAAGCACAACTCCTCGCCCCCATCTTCCCTCCCTGTCCCCTCCCCTGCCTTGCTTTCCTTTACAGCCCTTATCACCTTCTAACATCCTTGATTACCACTTATTTATCTCGTTTCTTGCCTGCTCAGCCTCTCTAGAATGTCAGCCCCACAAGGGAGGGGGTTTTCTGTCTTGTTCACTGCTGTAGCCCAGCTCTGCACCCTGAGAATCAGGGCTGCAGTGTAAAGCCAGGAGTGTCTCCCTCGGGGGCTGGCTCAGCATCTGTGCTGTCGTGGGGGCCTATGATTCTGTCCTCACAGGGGAAGATGATGCCCACCTACCTGAGCCATTGCCTCAGGGACATTGGGTTGGACAGGACACTGGGCCTGCACTGGGTCCACACATCTTCCTTTTCTCCAATCCAGCTGTGACCAGAGCTGCTCTGCCCGGCCAGGCCCCGGAAGAGGGCAAGCTGCATGCATCCCACCCCAAGCCACTGAAGCGGGAGGGCCACGGCCCCTTCTTCCTGGTCAGAACTCATCCTTGAGTTCCCTGTGTTGCAAAAACGTGCTGCGCACTCCCACCAGGAGTGTTGCCCACAGAGGAGGCAGCCTGGCCCCTGCTCTCCAGGTGGCCACAGAGGCAGTGGGCTCAGGACAGACAGACGGACCCCTGCAGAGTGGCCAAGTGTGTGCTGACTGGTGTTGAGAAAAGAGATGCCCCAGAGCAGACAGGAGGGGGCCCTGCCTTCCCAACAAGCTCCTGTCTCTGCCTCCCCATCTGTGGGCATCTCACTTTGGGCTCCCCGAGAAGCCAACCCCAAGACAAGGATATGATTCATTTAGGAGGTGGCCCACAGAAACACTGAGGGTGGGAAAATGACACAGGGAGACAAAAAAGGGTGCTTTACCAAGCAAGTTACCACTGCGGGCAATTCAGCTCACTCCCGCTGGAGAGCTCTGGGAGGGGTTTTGAACACACCTTTGACTCAGTCCAGGAGGGCAGGGGAGCTGGGGTATGTAAACGCCACCTTCCAGTGGCTCTCCACCACCCTTTGCCCTGTCCCTCACGCTGGCTGAATTTTCTCTGAACTGTTGTCACCACCTAATGTGGTGATATTTATTGTATTTTCTTCTTGGCTTTTTGCCCATGCTGGAATGTAAGCTCCATGAGGGAAGGGCTGGTCTTACTCCCTGATGAGCCTGCCCCACCTGAAACAGGCTTAGAGGCCCTCTAAAGATGTGGGCTGTGCAAAATGGTGTCTTGTCTACTTGGCTTGAGAGCAGGGGAGGGATGTGGGCCTTTTGGGGTGATTTTCTGGAGGAGAGAGAGAGGGTCTGGGCTCTTAAGAGGGTGGCCGGAGGAGGAAGGGAGAGCACAGGGGTGGTGAAGGGTGAAAGGTCAGACCAGGAGTGGGCTAGGGAGGAGGAGGGGCCAGCCACAGAGGCTGGGGTGCCTGAGGCTGTGTCTGAGGCTCGCCTGTTCTCACAGGTGGGCCACCAAGGGGTGCCTTGGGCCCCTTCCTAGCTGGGATGAGCCCAGCTGGTCCCCTCTGCCCTGGGCCTCTCTGGGGCCCTCCAGCCTTGAGTAAGGTTTGAGCTCTGCCTCCCTGAGTCTCCCCATTTGTGTTTCCATCCTCCTCCTTCCTCCTCAACTTGGGATCATCATTTCTAATGAGCAGGCTCCCTGGGGACTGCCTGGAACACCCCAGGTTAGAGGGGATGGAGGTCCAGGGGACTGGTTTTCAGACCCAAAGAGAAAGCAAGAGGAAGCCAGGCCTGAGATCTTCCTTTCATGGGGGACCTGGAGACCTGAAGGTCCCAGGTGAGGCCCAACAGTCCTGGAAGGGCTCTGGGGGTATTAGCTGAGGAGGGGAGAAGGGGAGCCAGGTGATCCAGAGAGATGAGGCTCCTGTCATGAAGGCTCTGTAGCTGTTAACACCCATAATACTGCAGGTGAACTCTGGGCCTTCTGTGCACTGGGCACTCATTTCCTCCTACACCCCATGGGGGTAGGTGCTATCATGGGGGTAGGTGCTATCCCATGGGGTAGGTGCTATCATCACCTCCTTTTGCAGATGAGGAAACCGAGGCACAGAGAGTTTAACTAACTTGCCAAGGTCAGTGGCAGAGCAGGGATTTGAACCTCATCTGCAGATATTCTGTCTGGCCTCTTGGTGCTGTTAGCTATTGTGCTAATCAGCTTTTTGGGACAGCAGGTTGCCACTCCTGAACCAGCAAGACTGTTTAGGGGAGGGCATGCCTAAGAATGGCACCACAGTGTTGGTGTCAGATGAGGGGAGGGGTAGGCGAGGGCTGGGGTATTTGGGGAAGACTTCTTGGAGGGACAGGGACTGAGCTGGCCCTTGAAGGGAAGCAGAGGTTTTTTGGGGAGGGGTGAGTGATGGGAGGGAGGATGGCATGTGCCCTAGCCTGGGTTGTGGGGAGACATGAGCAAAGGGGCAGAGGCTCTAGTGGACACGGTGCATCTCAGCTGACTCAAATCCTCCCCGCTGCATTGGGAGCCCCAGCAGAGATGGGTCAGTCCCTGTGTGGCCCCAAGCCAGGCGCTGTGAGCCTGTCGGTCTATCTCTGGGTAAGGCGAGGAGTGGGTTGGGGGGCACTGCTGGGAATATTTGTAGGACCTGAGACCCTGGGGGATAGGCAGGCAGCTCTGGTTTCCCCATGTCCCTGTCCCTGAGCTGAGCCTGTTCCGTGGGGAGAAGGCCTTAGGCCAGGAGGGCTGGAGTGACACCCACAGACAGCCAGGAGCAGGGGCAGGGGAAGGACCCACCCCTGGGTCTGAGTCTGGCTCTGCCTCCTTCCTGCTGTGTGACCTTGGACAAGTTATCTAACTTCTCTGAGTCTCAGGTACTCATCTCTAGAACAGGGAAGGCAACAGCCATCTCAGTGGGCTGTGAGGTTTGGAGATAAAGCATGTGAGGAGGCGCTCACAATGGCACACAGTAGGCGCTCAAAAATGGTTGTGTTGTTGATGCCGCCTGCGTGCTGCAGTACCCCTGAGGACGGAGGAAGCCATGCTGAGGGCAGGATGGTCCTGGGACCACAGGGAGGAGGAGACCCTGGAACCGGGCCCTGAGGGCTGACCAAGAGGAGGGAAGGGCTCTCCAGGAGAAGCCCGGCTTGGAGACAGAGGGCGGGTGGGACTCGGGACCCCCTCCTGGCTCCTGGCTCCTGGTTCTGGTTGTGTCATCATCATCATCGTCAACATTGGCTGGGCGCCCACTGTGTGCAGGTAACTGTGTCTGGCTCTGGGATAGAAAATTCATCATTTCTGCTGTTTATTAAGTGAATGTTAGAAGGTCCTTGGCATTTATTCATTCATTCATTCAACAAAAGTGCACTGCGCACTTACTATGTTGCCGGCACTGCACTGGATGCTGGAAATACGGCAGATAACCAGACAGATAAACACCGCTGACTGGACTAAGTGACATTCCTGTGGGAAGGAGGACACGCAACGTGATGAATGCCGTGCTGTGGATGCCGTGTCCGGTGGTGACGAGGGCTGTGAAGAATAATACGGAGAGGACAGGGAGGAGGTGGGGGCTCAGGACCTGCTGGTGGCTGGGAGCAGCTGGGTGACTCCCAGGCCTGTGATTGGTGACCACTGAGGTAGGAATCCACACGGCGCCTTGGTCCACACGAGGCCTGGCCTCTCCAGGCTCCTGCTCTTAATTCCTCTGTCCCTTCCTCAAGCCAGGAGTAGATGGAACACAGCTGAGGGCCCTGCCCTCCAGGGTCTCCTAGAGGCAGCTTTCAGGAGATGCCTGGGCCTGAGGAGAGATGCCCTCCACGCTGGGGCTCCTTTGTCACTGAGGCCGCCATTACAGACTTGGCCCACATCTCACTGGTAGTAGTTGGGTGAGCTGGCTCCAGAGCCCTGCACCCCCCAGTCTGCACTTCACAGGCTGCATCATCCTCATGGACAAGAAAGGCAAGACCCTTCCTGGCTCCACAGAGAGAGAGGGCCACCCCTGAGATGGAGCTGTTGCTCCACTACAGGCAACGGCGGTGGTGGATGGATAGTAAGCGCCGACACCTGTGGAGAGCTCGCCGTGTGTCAGGCGCGGTCCAGTGGCCCGAGGTCTAGTGCTCCGTTTAATCCTTGCAACAGCCCATTTTACAGATGCGGACGCCGAGGCCTGGGAAGAGGGAGAGAGCCACACACGGTCTCACAGCCCATACATGAGAGAGCCAGGGTTTGAATCCAGATTATTTGGCTCCAGAGTCTGGGATGTAATCCTACTCTGCGCTGCACAGGCCCCAGGGTCAAGTCCTTACTCTGCCACCTGTAGCTGCGCGATCTTGGCTTACCTCTCTGAGTCTTGGTCTCCGCAAGAAGAAAAAGAGGAAGCCCCTCTCTGTGAGGATTGCTGTGAGAATGAACGAGGTGCTGGGTGTGAGGGCCTGTCCTGAGGAAGTGCTCAGTAAGCCTTGCTTCCGCTCTCCCTCAGGGGTCCCGGGGAATGAGGCTCAGCAGGGGCCACGCAGCAGTGGCTTCGGCTGGAGCGAGGATTCAATACCAGCTCCGCTGTTTACTGTCTCAAAGGCCATGCGTGCACTATTTTAGTCACTCCGTGCCTCAGTTTCCCCATCTGTAAATGAAAATAAGGCACACATAAAGCATCTACAGCCGTACCCAGCACACAGTAGGCACTCGGTAAACGCCAGCTAGTGATAGCCAATGTTAATGTCAACACCTCTCTATGTAATGATAGTGTGGTGGTCAGGAGTGTGCGCTCTGGATCCAGACCCTGGGCTCAAATCCCAGTTGCACCTTTCCCTAGCTGGGTGTATTAGGCTCCCCAGAGAGACAGAACCAATTGGATGGATGGGTGGATGGATGGATGGATGGATGACAGATGGATAGATAGGTAGGTAGAGAAAGATGGATGAGAAGGGATTTATTAGGGGAGCTGACTCATGTGATTGTGAAGAAGTCCCATGTTACGCTGTCTGTGAGCTGCTGGGCCAGGGGAGCCGGTACCATGGCTCCAGGTCCAAAGGCCTGAGAACCAGGGGGGCCATGGGGTAACTCTCAATCTGCGGCCAAAGGCCTGAGGACCTCAGGGGCTGCTCATGCAAAGTCCCCGAGTCCAAAGGCCACAGAACCTGGAGATCTGATGTCCAGGGGCAGGAGAAGAGCGTCAGCTCCAGAAGAGAGCAAGAACTCACCTTTCCTCTGCCTTTTCCTTCTCTCTGGGCCCTCAGCCGATTGGGTGGTGCCCGCCCACATTGCATGAGGGCAGATCTTCCTTCCTCAGTCCACTGATTGCAAAGCCGGCCTCTTCCCGAAACACCCTCACAGGCATACCCGGAAATAATGCTTCACCAGCTCTCCGGGTATCCCCTAATCCCATCAAGCTGACCCCTGAAATTAATCATCACACTGAGCAACCTTTGGCAGGTTACTTCGCTGCTCCGTGACTCAGTTTCCTCATTTATAAAACAGTGTAACAGTAGTTCCCACATCACCTGGCCGTTGTCTATTCATTGAGCTCCCACATGCAGTGCTGTGCACCGTGCATGGGACATTCAGCCCTCACTGCCTGCTGGCCACTGTCATTGCTGTGATAGCCTTAAATCATAAGATCACACAGGGATGCTGTGATGCCCTGGGCTCACTTCTCCCGTGGTACCTGGACAAGCTCTGTCCCTGTTACATCCCGGAGCCCCTGGATTCTCAGCTACAGTGTGGGAGTGACAGCAGAATCTGCCTGGTCAGGTTGTGGTGAGGATTAGAGGAGGTAGACTTGACATGTGAATGGTATGTGCCCAATCAATGCCAGCTGTCATTTATTGAGACACTAAAGTGTCTTCAGGGCTGAGCTAGCCTCACAGCCACTGGTGAGAGAAGGCAGATGGGCCTGGTGCCCCTTTGAAGGGTTGAGGAAGGCCAAGAGCATGTTGAGTTTGCCCACAGGGAGTGCCAGGTGACAGCCACATCCCTTTCTGATGGTGAGAGATGCAGCCTTTTTAGTGACAGCAGGTACCGACTGCCCTTCAGGAAGGACATGGCGTTTGTCCAGAGTTGAGCCTCCTGCCTGCCCCTAGGGTGGGGGTGTGAGGTTAGTTTGGAAAAGGCAGAGGCAGGATGGGAAGGTGTGTCTAGCCACATGATACGGGGGTCCACATGCTGTCTCCTGGCTCTTCTTCCTGAGCCCACCACTGTGTGGGTCAGAACCGAGGTTGGAGTTGGGAGGGCCTAGGGTCTGCCATGGCTGGACACTCACCACCTCATCTAATCCTTAAGTCAGTCATTTCGTCCTCATTTCCCAGCAAGGCCCAGAGAGGCCTGCGAATTGCCCATGGTCACACAGCAGGTTGGTAGCAGAGCAGGGACCCTGAGGTTGGAGCTGTTTCACTACACATGCTCCCTCATCTGGAAGCTGGAGAGACACGTTACCTGCCAATACCAAGGGTGGACCCCAGCAAGTTCCAAGAACCCTGGGCCTGGCCTTTTCTGGACGAGGTAGAGAGTGGTCTCAGCCATTGGGTATTTTGGCCTGACATACCAGGTCTCAGCTGTACTGTCCCTTCCCTCCATGCTGACAGCACACTCCATCCTGGTTTCCAGCTCCCTCAGCTCTCCCCCAGCACAGGCCAGAGGGTTTAAAAAATGTACACACGAGGCACATTAAAAAATTCATGCACATGAGGCAAAATTAAAAGGGCACAAAAGGACCTACAGAGAAAAGTCTCTCTCCCCCTGCGTCCCCTGGCCACCCCATTCCCCGAAGATGGTCACCATCACCAGTTTCTCTTGTGGTCCTCCAAAACACTCCCTACTTATGTATTTTCCCCAGCCACATGGGTCTGCACCTTGCTCTTTTTGCTTTAGTGATATGGTCTGGGGAAGGTTCCATTTAGGAGCAGAACTTCCAAGACAGGCCTGCACCATAACTTATTGACCCAGCCCTCTGTGGACGGGTATTTGGGCTGTTTCCAGCCTTTTGCGTTTACAAGTAGTACTGTAGTAAATAATCTTGTGCATCATCTGGCTGACTGACTGGAAGTAAATTCCTAGAAGTGGTGTTCCCGGGTGAAGGGTGTGTACCCCATAATTGTATCAATAACAATTGTATGGTATTAAGTTACTTTCCCATCAC
Source organism: Homo sapiens (assembly GCF_000001405.40). Taxonomy (NCBI): domain Eukaryota; kingdom Metazoa; phylum Chordata; class Mammalia; order Primates; family Hominidae; genus Homo; species Homo sapiens. Next base: position 34,524,819 of record NC_000006.12, read on the forward strand.
CATGGGCGAGAGACAAATGGCTCAGGTTCTACCTTTGTTCCCATGAGGGAATGCCTCCAACCAACTCCTGCCCGCCCCCCAGCAGCCCCCTGGCAGCTATGCATTACGGGAGAGTTCTATGTGACATTAAGGGTTCTAGAAGGGACTGTGGCCCCAGGGATACCTATCTCACCTGGCTGACCATGCTTCCTTAAACATCCCTGCTTTTCACTTCTCTGTATCTAAATTTAAAACGTTCCTTATGAAGCAAGTACTGCTTTATAAGTGAAAAGTGCCAAGTTAAGAAAAGAAAAATTCAGACTCATTTCTTTGTCCCTTGATGAAATCCAGCCGTCCTCCCTCTCACCCACCCGCACTGTGCGTGAGTTTATGGGAAAGTCTGTCTGTGGTTCTTCTAAAAGGGAGGGAACAAAATATGTTTAGATGCCTGAGGGGTGCAAGAGGCAATACTGGGTTATTACTGGGAAAGAGCCCCAGGCCCTGGACAGATGGGGAGCCCTAGGGGGAGGGACATCCTCCACCAACCATTCTTACGTGTTATTGCCCCTGCCCTGAGCCTGAGAGCCAACTGCTGGACCCCCAGGTTGGGCTGAATCTTACAGAGGCCAGCCTTCCCTGAGCATCCACACTGTCAGGGTTCACAGTCCTGGGACTGCAGTGCAGAAGCAGGGAGGTGTCCCCTGGTGCCGGGATCCAGCTAGAGGCTGGCAGCTTGTATCAGGGCCAGGCGCAGCCTGGACTCTGCTGCCTCTTTGAAAACCAGGCCCTTGGCCCTCTGAGTCCTGGCTCCTGACTACTGAGCCATTCTTGCCTGGGGTAACAGTGAGGCCTGGCTGGGGGAAGGGAGGAGGGGAGTACCCACCTCGGCCCTGGGGCAGCGCACGGCCTAGATTGGATAACCCTGATGCCTGCCGACAGATCCAGGGCAGACACAGCCACCCCAGACGCTCCCATAGATCTCGGTGGTGTGACCTGTGGGCCAGGACACCACACATTTGGGACTCTCAGGAGACTTGTAAGAAGCTAATGGGGGCTGCTGAGGTTGGGAGCAAGGGCAGACAGAAGGGCATTTACAGGGTCCCGGGGCTCAGATAACTGAGGAGGCGCTGAGCCTGGGCTCCAACAGTCCAGGAGAGAGAGCCAGCTCTGGGGGCTGGGGCTGGCTTCTGAACGGAGGTGCTCATACTGGATAGAGGATGGATTCCAGGGAGGGGGAAGGAGGAGGGATGGGGAGTTGGGCATGAGGGTGCTACAGGGCGACTCTTGGGGTTACCTAAGTCTGGTGAGTTAGTCTCTGGACAGGAAGATGGCATCCTAATGCAAGCCTCCCTGGGTCCCATCGGTTTGGGGACCCAGGCCTGGAATGGGGCAAAGGGTGGAAGGCCCTTCCCTCATCTCCAGGGATCTCTCTCCTGCCCTCCCAGTGCATGAGCAGCCGAGCCTGCTAACCGCAGCTCCGCACTTGTCCATCCCCCTGCGGCTACACCATGTCCAGCTCCTACGATGAGGCCTCACTGGCGCCAGAGGAGACCACCGACAGCTTCTGGGAGGTGAGGCTCTCATGATCCCCAGGTTCGGGGACCAGACAGCCTGGCTGTTTGGAGGCCAGGCTCCCTTATCACTCACCCCATGACCTCAGGCCCCACTCCGCAGTCCCCCAGGCCCCTCCAAAGCCCTGGGTGTCCAACAGGCAGCGGTAGCCATGAAGTGGCTAAGAGCACTGCCCACTGAGCCAGGAGCTCCTCTCTCCCCACAGCTGCCCCCAGAGAGAGCCTGTGGCATTTCACAATGTGGGAACAGGCCCTTTGTGACTCTGTGGCACTTCCATCAGGCAGGTACAGCACAGCCTTTCTCAGCTGTTCCTATTTCCCTCGCTCGCCCCCCATCCTGAGGTGGGCAGGGGTGGAGCGCCGGACACAGAGAGAGGGAGTGAGCTCCCAGAGCCCCACGGGGCCGCAGAGCGGGAGGCACAGCCAGAAGCCAGCATTTTCAGAACCTTCGGAAATATTTGAGACCTGGAGAAAAAAAATTGCTATTGGCTCCGGAAACCCAAGACGAAAACTGCCAAACCTAAATTAATAAGCGTTTAATGAGATGTCGACAAAACATAATATTATGTCAAGAAGCTGCAGCTCAACTCAACGCTTATATGACTCTATATAAATATAATAGATTTAACTCGCAAAAACAAAATGAATAATTCATTCCAGCCCAAGTCCAAATTCTAAAAATCCTTCTGCATTTTGTGGCAGCAAGGAAATCATGTTTAAATTGGGGTGAGGGTGCGTGTAGACGGCGGGGCCTGAGGCAGGGTGCTGGAGCCTCCGAAAGTTAGTTTCCCTGGGGTGTTGCCGCTGCGCCGCGGGGCGGGGGGCGGGGGCGGGGGCGGGGACGGCGAGGCCGTAAGCGGGGAGGCGGGGCGGAAGACAGTGGGCGTGGCCGTGCTGGATGCGGCGGGCGGGGCTGGGGACGCTGGGAACCCGCGGGAGTGGTGCTCGCTGCTTGGCCGCCAGGTGGGGAACTACAAGCGGACCGTGAAGCGCATCGATGACGGCCACCGTCTATGCAACGACCTGATGAACTGCGTGCAGGAGCGCGCCAAGATCGAGAAGGCGTACGGGCAGCAGCTCACCGACTGGGCCAAGCGTTGGCGCCAGCTCATCGAGAAAGGTGCTCCCCCAGGCTCACATCGTGCGCGCCCCCAGGCCGTCACGAGCCCCCTAGGTCTGGGTCCTAGGAGCCCCGGCTACTTGCATGCACCATGCCCTCCATCTACCAGACACAGGACATTTTCAGGCGCTGTTCCCTCCTAGATCAAACCAGGCCTACCTGTTCATCTCTATTTTGTACAATTTTAGGTTGAATTAAAAAAAAAAAAACACTTTTTATCTTGAAATAATTCAAACTTTGTGAAAGTTGCAACAGTAGCACAGAGAATTCCTACATACCCTTCCCCCAGGCTCACTGGCCCCACGTTTTCTCACTGACTGTTTATTGATATGCATATTTTCTGAACCATTTGAGAGTAAGCTGGAGCCATTATCCCTGTTTACCCCTAAATTCTTCATGTATCTCCTAAGAACAAGAGCATTTGCTTAAGTAACCAGAGTTCAGCTATCAAATTTGGGACATGTAATACGACCCATACGCACATTTACCATGGCAATTGCGCTTGCTAGTCCAGGATCTAGTGCAGTCGCACATTGCCTCTATGCATTGTGTCTTCAGGTTCCTTTAATCTAGAACAGTTTGAAGTTGCGGTTTACATATACTTGTTCATGTTATTCTCTTGCAGTATACTCTAAACCCCATGAGAGCAGGGGCTGGGCCTGCACCACCTAACACAGTGCCCTGCACAGAGCTGGTGCCAGTACACAAACAACAAGTCAGTGTGGAATGACTGGTCCCCAGTGGCCTCTTGGCATCTGTCACAAGCTTCAGCTAACATTCCTGGAGCACCTACTGTGTGCTTGGCGCTGTGCTGGGCTTGTCAGAGCTCACAGGGTCCAGGCTGCCCCCCTCCGACCCCATTCCATGGGGCTCACATGCTGACAAGAGAGATAAGGAGGAGGGAGGTATGGCCGCAGATACTGTGAGAAGAATGCAGCGAGGGCTGCTGGCCATGGCAGGAGGGCAGAGCAGTCAGGGAAGGCTTCCTGGAGGTGGTGGCTGATGTGGGCCCTAGAGGATGGGGCCACGTAGAGCAGAGGAGGGCATTTCTGTTGCTATGAGAGGAAAGGGAAAGCCTCAGAGAAGGGAGATGTGAGGGGGGGCCTCTGGGCAGGGGCAATGAGGTTCTTGTGACCTATTGCCATTCCCTCAGGCCCACAGTATGGCAGCCTGGAGCGGGCCTGGGGTGCCATAATGACAGAGGCAGACAAGGTGAGCGAGCTGCACCAGGAGGTGAAGAACAATCTGCTGAATGAGGACCTGGAGAAGGTGAAGAACTGGCAGAAGGACGCCTATCACAAGCAGATCATGGGTGGCTTCAAGGAGACGAAGGAGGCTGAAGATGGCTTCCGCAAGGCCCAGAAGCCTTGGGCCAAGAAGATGAAGGAGGTGCTCAGTGGGTGCTGCCACGGGCGGGGTGGGGTGGGCCCGTCTGATCAGAGGGTGCTGATCCCAGGGAGGGCATCTATGGATGGGTGGGCTGGGCACTGCCCTCTGGGATTGTGCCCACAGGGGAGCAGCACTGCCTTCCAGGAAAAAATATTCACAGATGGGTAGGCAGTGCCCATTGGGTAAGGAGACCCATGGGCAAAAAGGGGCACTGTCCCCAGGAAAGATACCAGCAGGGGCAGAAGAGCACATTGGCCCCTGGGTCCCCAGATGGGGCGGGCACTGCACTGCCTGACAGGAGGGTATCTGCAGGGGAGCAGGCAGTGCCAAGCAGAGACGCAGCCACAAATGGAGGAGCGCTGCTCCCGAACACCTGGAGCCAGGGCCTGCATCCCTTCTGGCTCTTAAGAGTGTGGGCTCACAGGTCCCAGGGAGTGGGCAGGGGAGGAGTTAATGGGTGACCATGTTTGCTGCTGGTCACAAATGAAAACCCTACTCCCTATTCCCCCCTCCCCACAGCTGGAGGCAGCCAAGAAGGCCTACCATTTGGCTTGCAAAGAGGAAAAGCTGGCCATGACACGGGAGATGAACAGCAAGACGGAGCAATCGGTCACACCTGAGCAGCAAAAGAAGCTGCAGGACAAAGTGGACAAGTGCAAGCAGGATGTGCAGAAGGTGCTGGCGGGCAGGGATGGCAGTAGGGGGTCTGGGGGCCCCTTGCAGAGGGTGGTGGCTGGGAGCTGCAGGCCTGGCTAGGTGTCACCCTCTCTCCACTCTGGTGCCCACAGACACAGGAGAAGTATGAGAAAGTGCTGGAAGATGTGGGCAAGACCACACCCCAGTACATGGAGAACATGGAGCAGGTGTTTGAGCAATGCCAGCAATTTGAGGAAAAGCGGCTGGTCTTCCTCAAGGAGGTGCTGCTGGACATCAAACGGCACCTCAACCTGGCTGAGAACAGCAGGTACCTGGGCATGGCAGGCACCGAGGGCACAGGCACAGCCAGCAGATGGTGTGACTGGCATGCAGGGCATCCCAGCCCTCCATCACAGTGACGGGAAGGGGAGGCAGAGCTGCAGGGGTCAAGAAGGATGAGGCTTCAAACACAGGGGCTGTTGAGTGCAAGCTGACGCACACTGGGTACTCTAGAAACACATGCTGGATGATGGGTGAATGGCTAAGGTGGGAGGGAAAAGGAGTCCACCGAGCATGCCCGGAGCTTATTCTTGCAAAGCCCACATGATTCCTGGCTGGGCAGCATGCCCAGCACCCTGCTTCCCTGAGTGGACTCTGGCCTCTCACCAAGGTTGAGGAGGGGCCATGTTGAATCTGTGCCCTCCACCTCCCCCATCTCCCTGAGCACAGCTACATCCATGTGTACCGTGAGCTGGAGCAGGCCATCCGGGGGGCTGATGCCCAGGAAGACCTCAGATGGTTCCGCAGCACCAGTGGCCCCGGCATGCCCATGAACTGGCCCCAGTTTGAGGTGAGGATATGTGGGGATGGGAAGGGGAGCCTGAAGAGGCTGAAAGGTGCCTCAGGGCATAGTCCCCCAGCCTGACTGCTCCACTGGCCCCACCAGGAGTGGAACCCAGACCTTCCTCACACCACCACCAAGAAGGAGAAACAGCCTAAGAAGGCAGAGGGAGTGGCGCTGACCAATGCCACTGGGGCGGTAGAGTCCACATCCCAGGCTGGGGACCGCGGCAGGTGAGTGCCTCCTGTGGAGCTTCCTGGGGCCAAGAGGGACCCACACTCTGGGGCAGCTGAGTTTTGCTTCAGAAGACAAGAAATGGTCTAGATCATAGCAACTATGTCTCCTCTCTAAAAGATAGTGGTAGTTCATCACTCTAAAGCAGCCGTCCCCAATCTTTTTGGGACCAGGGACCAGTTTTGTGGAAGACAATTTTTCCACGGATGGGAGCGGGGTGGTTTTCGGATGAAACTGTTCCACCTCAGATCATCAGGCGTTAGATTCTCCTAAGGAACGTGCAACCTGGATCCCTCGCATGCGCAGTTCACAATAGGGGGGTTGCGCTCCTATGAGAATCTAACGCCGCGGCTGATCTAACAGGAGGTGCAGCTCAGGCGATAATGCTCCCTCGCCTGTCACTCACCTCCTGCTGTGCTGCCTGGTTCCTAACAGGCCACGGACTGTCTGCAGCCCCAGGGTTGGGGACCCCGGTCCAGATCACAGGAACCAAGCCTCCTCTCTAAAAGATAGTGGTAGCATATCCTTCTAGAGCACCTACTGTGTGTGGCACGGTTCTATGCACTTTCCATATGTTAACTCATTCATGCTCAAGTGCGTAAATATTACCATTTTACAGATGGAGAAACTGAAACCCAGACAGGTTAAGTGACTTGCCCAAGATCACATTGCTAGTTAGTAAACCTCAGAGCCAGATATGTTGCCCAGGAGGTCTGACTCCAGGATCCTTGCTCTTAAACATTAGGTGGTACTCCTCCTCCCGGATGAAGGCTCAGATGTGCCCTGGGGTCCCCTTCAATGCCCTCTCCCTCGAGGGCTGAATAATAACGCAAATGGTCCTGCATTTAAACATCGGTTTAAAGAGCTCATGAGGGTCACCCCTCCTATGTGGCCAATCCTTGCTCTAGCCTTGGTAGAATTCGGGATCAGGGCTCTGATTAGGAGGAGCGGTTAGCCCTCGGGATGCGGTACGGGGAGACATTGAAGCTGGCTCCTTCCTCCGCGTCTCAGTGTTAGCAGCTACGACAGAGGCCAGCCCTACGCCACCGAGTGGTCAGACGACGAGAGTGGGAACCCCTTTGGGGGCAGTGAGACCAACGGGGGCGCCAACCCCTTTGAGGACGACTCCAAGGGAGTGCGCGTGCGGGCACTCTACGACTATGACGGCCAGGAGCAGGACGAGCTCAGCTTTAAGGCCGGTAGGACGGCTGGGCGGGGCAGTGCCTGAGAGAGGCTTGGGCCTGGATTGGGTGTGTGGTGGTGCAGGGGCGGTGCCTGAGAGAGAAGCTTGGGTCTGGATTGGGTGTGTGGTGGTGCAGGGGCGGTGCCTGAGAGAGAAGCTTGGGTCTGGATTGGGTGTGTGGTGGGGCAGGGGTGGTGCCTGAAAGAGAGGCTTGGGCCTGCATTGGGTGTGTGGTGGGGTAGAGGCAGGATCTGAAGACGGGTTGCGAGGATTTGCAGGGAACTAAATGGGGCGTGGCCTGGGTTGTGGGCGTGACCTGGGCCCAGGATGGGAGTGGGGGCAAGATTTAGATTGGTTGGTGCCAGGGGCGGAGTCAGAACCTGAGAATAGTGTGGATGCGAGGTCTGGTTTTGGGGACGGACCCGACACCCAGATTAGGTGAATGGCTGAGGTAGGCCAAGACCCCTATGCCAAGGGTGGCACGTGAATGTTGGCGTGGGACTGGGGCTGGTTTCCAGGGGCGGGGCCTAAGAATCTAAAACCCAGTGCAGTAATCAGGAGGTGGGTATTGGAGGGTTCCCCTAGCAGCCGGTGCGTTGAGGGAGGGGCAGCCTTCTCTCTGAGCCCCTCCCTGTGTTCTCTTTCCCAGGAGACGAACTCACCAAGCTGGGCGAGGAGGATGAGCAGGGCTGGTGCCGTGGGCGGCTGGACAGCGGGCAGCTGGGCCTCTACCCTGCCAACTACGTGGAGGCTATCTAGAGGCCCCCTCCCTCCATACTCCCGTCACTCCTCCCCACTGCCGCCCCTCCCCTCCCACTCTCGTCTCCTTCCCCTCGCCATAGAGTTCCAGACATATTTTCCGATCAAGCTTTTATTTTTTTAAAAGTCAAAACAGAACAAAACAAAGTATGCAGAGACAGAGCATTTGCAGGGCCACCTGGAGGCTGGGGTGCTGGGGCTTGGGGTGGCCCCAGGGTAGGTAACAGTCTTAGGACTTAGCCCAACATCACAACATCTGCTCTTCGGGTTCCACCAAAGAGTCTCCTGAGCCCTGAGGGATGGATGTCTCCTGACCCTTCCACCCCGCCTCACTCCCTCCGTCCCACTCCACTCCAGGCTGCCGGCACCTGCCCCATTCCCTGGCCTGGTTTCCTAACCTCTTCTTCCTCCCCTGCCCTGCTTCCCTTCCTCCACCACCCTGCTCTCAAAGGCCTCCTCTCCAGACCCCTGGAAGGGAGGCTTCCCCATCTTTAGTTTTCCACTCTGCCCCGGGGAGCACCCTTCTACTCCTAGCCACGTCCCTTGGGACCGGTGGGACTGGAGGAGGAACGGTCACCCTCCTCCCCCATGGAGGTTTCCAGGGGTCCCCCAGACATGAAAGAGGGGTGAGCTGGAGGAAGTCATGGTGTCACTGGGGTACAGGAGGGTGAATGAAGGGCATGCAGGCCCTCAGCCCGGGCTGTGCCAGCCCTCCCAGCCCCAGGCCCATCTGAGGGACCAAGACGCTGTTACGCAGGCCCTTCTTTCCAGCTATCAGCACTTTCAGCATCGGCTCTTCAGCAGATCCAAACCCCCTCAGCAACTTGCAGAGGACCTGTCCCCTCTCAAAAGTCCCCTGGCCTAGGGTGGGGACCCCCAAACCTACGGCAAAGCCAGCAACAGTAGCAGCCTGCTCCCATTTGCTGGGGAGGAGATCATCTTGTTCCCCTGGCCCCCCACTCTCCCTCCATGTCCATCCAAAAACCATAAAATCACTGGGTTCCACATCAGCCTCCATGAGGCCAAGCCTTGTACCTGCAAGGCTCTTGGCCTAACCATTCCTCTGTCCTCTTCTCTGGCCTGCCTGGGGAGCCCGTGAAGGCCGCACGGGTGCCTCCAGCCTGAGACATCAGGGGAGAGCCTGCAGCTGAGTTCAGCAGAAAGGAGGAATCCTGGCCCTCAGGAAGAAGATAGTCACATGTTTTTCTTCCTTGTCCCCACGGCCCCCAGAACAACATTCTCCCTGCTGGCAGCCCTTCCATGTCTCCAAACCTGGGTCAGAGTGAAAGGACCTTTGGGGGTGGGTGGGAGCAAAGGGCCCACCTGCTGGTTGGTGAAAGCAGTGGTGCCGGAGTGCTAGGTACCGCACGAGAGGGTGCGGGGGCTTGGGAAGCAGACCAGGGTTGGACAAAACCCCATGAGGGCGGGGAGCTGGAAGAAAAGTCTCTTGGGGACCTCTGGGGCAAGGAGCTGAGAAGTCCTGCAGCACCAGGTGAGACTTGCTTACAGTGGATGCCACTTCTAGGCCTCTGGACCGCAGATGCCCTCCTCCCTCCTGCACACCTGGCCTCCTGGGCCTCCAGGTAAAGAGAGAGAGCCAGCCCAGCCCTGTTTCCCCTCAGTCCTCCTTTGCTCCTGCTGCTTCTCCCAACAGCCCACTGTTAGGAGGTAGTAGACCCCAGCCTCAAGGCTCTGACCTTCTTCATGTGGGCACAGAGGGTCCTGACACTCTGGCAGGGCCTGAGCTGGGGCAGGCCTCCCTCAGGGCCAGGGGCGATGGCACCCCGGGGACAGGCAGACCTCCTTCCTGCCGTCAGCACCCCCTTCCTTATCACTGTCTGGTCTCCGAGCTTCGGCTGCAGCCTGAGGTGTGTCCTGGGCTCCTCAGAGCCTGAAGCAAGCTTTTGGAAGCCTGCAGTCCTCCCAGCTCCAGTGCAGAAGCCTCTCTCTCCAGCCTTTCCCCAGGCAGGAGTTGGGGTTGGGGGCCTCTGTCCCTCATCGCTTACCTTGGAAAGGTGGGAAGCTGGCAATCTGCACCTTGGGGCCTGGGCTCCCCCTCTCTGTGCCAGCGGCTTCCCAGCACCTGGGAGGGGCTGCAGCCCCAGCTGGACTCCAGCCTGTCCCTCTTAGCACTCTAGCTGCCCACTCCAGGGCAGGGACTCGAAACCCCCTCCGTCCTGAGCAGCCACCTCCAGGGCCCTGTTTGGGACCACTCTCTCAGTCCCCAGGTCCTCAGGGCCCCAGAGCGGGAGGGTCTCCTACCTGGAAGTCCCCCTGAGCTCCAGGGCCCAGCCCTACCTGCCAGTGCTGGTGTCAGGGCACTCAACACCGAGTGTGGGGGCCACGCCCCTTGCCATGCCCACGGCCTCCTCCTGTAGCTCCTGCCTGCACCCACGATGCTGCACGGGCCCGCCCTGGTGGGGCTCGGCGAGTAATGTGTTTTGTCCCCAGTTAACCACCATTCTGCGGCCTGGTTCTGCAAGGAACCAGGGCTGCCCCACCGCCCGCCGTCTGCCGCCCTAGGCTTCCTGACTCCATTAGTTCCGACACTTGTGAAACTCCGAGAAGTGCTGTGGTCTCAGCAATGCACCTGTTTTGTACATGATTGTGTAATTTAAAGGTATATAAATACAAATATATATATATATCAGTTGTGATTGTATGACTGTGGATAAAATCCAGAACTGTGTCAACCTGGCTGCGCATTGTCATCTTGAGTCTGTGCACCTTCAGTCCTGGGGGTTTCTGAGCCCTCTGAGAGCTATTTGTGGTTGGGATGCAGGGGGGTAGGGGTGGTGCCCGAGCAGGACTGGGTGCTGTCCTGGCCCACCATCCACAGACTAGGCCACTGAGAGCCGGTCCCTTCGCCCTGCGGGGGCCTGGGTCTTGTCTGGACTGGGGAGGGTGATACTGGAGGCTCCTGGAGCTCTGGCCCATTCAGGTTCCGGGTGCCTGGTGACAGGCCCTGACCAGGAGAGCTGGGGCATTCAGGGTTCCACATTCATGGATCAAGAGTGAATGAGGTCCTCAAATAGGTTTTGCTTTTTAAAGCAGAATTCTAAAAGTGACTGCTGAGGCCCACGGTTCCTGGCTGTCCACAGTGCCAAGCTCCCTGTGCGGTGATGTTGGGCTGTGCCATGCCTTCCTGCGTCTCGCCTGGCTCTGAATGCATTTCTGTGTGGGACCCGTGGGAGGGCTCCTTGGGGAGAATTTCTCAGGGGCATGGGCAGGACCGGAGCTCTGGGTTCTTGGCTGTTCTGCCAGCCCCAAGCCCAGCCCTTGCTCTAGCTCCCTGACTCCCCCTGCATCCAGCCCCAGGGGATCTCTTCCGGGGTATCGCAGAAGTCCCAGGGCCGGTCCCAGTTCCGCTGTCAGCTCACTGTGTTCCCACCCTCACCTGGGCCTCAGCTTCCCCAGTCTGGTGAGATGTCTCTCTGAGGGTCCTCTGGCCCTGGCAGCCTGGCAGGGCCGTCACACAAGCCCATTACTCGGGGCAAATATACCCCTGTCCCTTCCCTGACACCCCTTGCCCCCAACCTCAGGGTGTGCCAGGCAGGGAGAAAGGTTGAGATGGAGATTGAATCTATTTGCCACCCCATCTTCCTTACTCCTCCTGAATCTATTTGCCACCCCATCTTCCTTACTCCTCCAAACTTACCTCTATGTGAAGCCCTGCTTTTAGCCAAACAGAGAAATCTTCAAATAAAGACAAAAGATTGTTGTATTGTCTTACCTGCACAGGCTGTTCCATTTAGTGATGGGGAGCCCTGAGGGTGGGGTCCCATGGAGAAGGGTCAGAGAATACCCAGCCAGGTGGGGTTCTGCTGGGGAGGTGTTTGGAGGAGGGAGATCTGCAGATCGCTGCCAGCTCACAAGGTGTCACTGGATGGGCGTGTGCCTGCCAAGGTTCATGGGCAGGGAGCTGCCTCACCCAGGCCCCCACATCTACCCTTTCCAGAGCTGCTCCAGCTTTGTACTCCTAGCCTCTACTCCCCATACCTATCCTCCTGTCCAACCCCTGCCTGAGATCTGAGGCCTTTCCAGGCCCAGGCCCAGCTGGGGACATACAAGCAAGTGTCTGCAGGGACTCAGTTGGGAGCAGGGCAGGCTGGCTGGAGACAAAACCAGTTCAGCAGAGCCTGGTTCTGGCCAGGGTCCCAGTCTCCCCCCCACCCTCCTCCTACAAGGGAGTGAGACACAGCAGGGGCCCAGCGAGGCACAGGCCTGGGGCAGGGCCCCCTCCTCCCTGCAGTACAATCCCAGCTGACAGATGCCAAGGTGCTATTTGCTCACTGCCAGGAGCAAACTTTCTTCTGAAGACAATAAAATTGCTGAGGGCAGAAGGCAGCAGTACAGGGTAGCATTTAACCCTTGGTGGTCTGGATAGTGCTGGCTCCCCTGCTGTTTCCTGGAAGCCAGGCCTCAGAGGATAAGGGTGATAGAGGACCAAGGGTGCTGAGCGGTCAGAAAGCCGGAGGGCTGGAGGGGCAGAGAGAGCCCTGTCCTTGGGGAGAGACAGGTATGAGTTATTCTGTCAATCAGCTGTGTGACCATCTGCAAGTCACTTAACCACTCTGAGCCTCGGTTTCATCATCTGCAAAATGGGGGAGTAGCCCCTACTTCATAGTTTTGTTGGGAAGATAAATGACAAAGCACCTAGCCCATAGTAGACCATAAGGACACTGAGCCGGGTGATAAATGTGAGGGAAGTGGGAGGAAGCTGGATGAGTTGCTTTGCCCAGGAGAGTGGGTGGTGGGTCCTGGTCACCCCCAGCATGCCCACAGACACCAATGCACACCCTCTTCCCATCACACACGGGGGTCTCACACCCACTCACAGGAGCTCACATCTTCACAGACAGCACTGCTGAGGCCTTCAGGAAACATAAACAGGAGCCAACCAACCTCTCTTCCACCCTGTTAGCTGCAAAGCCCTGCTCTGCAACAGAGCAAAAGGATGCGAAAGATGCCTTCCCCACTCCGGTCCTGCATGTAGCACCTCTTTAGCACCGGCCTTGCCGCCTGCCTCTCAGCCCGAACAGCGACAGGGAAGATGAGGTGGCTGTTCTAGCCCCTCCTTGATTTTGAAGCCTCACTATCTCTCTCCCAGAAGCATCTACCAATCAATTATCCCTTGCCCTTTAGGCTCAGCCCAAAGCCACCTCCTCCAGAAAACCTCCCTTGACTACTCCAGGCCCTGTGACCACAGCCGCATTTGACCATTGATGACCTCGGGGCTGTGCCATTCACTGCGCAGACACTGGGGACATGTCAGTTCTCTAGTATCTTTATTATCCATTCCCGGGGGCACTCCTGGCTGCCCAACTCAGGGGTGCAGATGTCTCCCTGCACCATGCCAGGTGTGGTGCAGAATGGGAGGCAGGGGGATGGAGCAGAGAGAGGCCTGGACTGCCTGTGGCCTTTGTCGAGTCACTGCCCTTCTGTAGGCTCTGCTCTGGAAATGCTGGGGTCAGAGGCAGGTGTTGGGGAGCAGCCCTGTCTCCCTCTGTCCTCCAGGGGAGCAGCTGGGCCTGAGGAGGAAGCACCCCTGCCCCAGGGTCCCGAAGGCCCCAGAGGACCCATATCCCCCTGGGGCAGTTGGTTGCCCCTCCCTGACCTTGGGCTCTGGAAGGTCAGAGCAGCAGAGCAGACTGCCCGTTTTCCCCCATCTCAGGGCCTGGCTGAGGCAGGGCAGGCAGGAGAGAGGCCCCTGAGGGCGGGTTTCAGGCCCTGGGCCAGGCACTCAGATGGGGTGCACGAACTGGTAGACGAGGCGCTGGGAGATGTCTGGCTTCCGGATGATGCCCTTCTTGTAATACTGGCGGATGGAGCGGCTCAGCTTGTCGTAGTTCATGGCGGGACGGTTCTTGCGGATGCCCCACAGCCGGGCCACCTGGGCTGAGTCCTCAATTTTGAAGATGCCTAGAGCAGGAGGGCCCCGAGAGAGCCAGTGGTATGAGTGAGGTGGCAAGAAGGAGAAAGACGCAGACCACCAGGTCAGCCTCGTGGCGAACCAAGGGACCCCGTGCAGAGGCCTCCCCCTGCTCGGGTGGGGCGGGGTGTGGGGGCCCAAATGCCTACTCCCAAGGTGTAGTTGCGGTGAGGTTAAAGAGACGTGTGCAAAGCAGGTGCCACAGGCCCCAGTGAATGGCAGAGAATACTCTGGAGTCACAAACCTCCCGGTACAGGTGAGCCTGTGTACCTTAGTGGGTTCCCTGGGGCCCTGCAGGCCTGGCCCTTGCCAACTCCTGCTTCTGTGTGGGGTTTGCATGACCTAATGCAAAGTCCTGTGTGGCTCCCAGCAGTGCCCACGGCTCACTTGGCAAGAGCATCCCTTCCCCATTACAGGTGTCTCTGTAGTTCCCAAGCCTGAAACAACCTCTTTGCTATTCTCAGGCAGTTCGGCCTGTGCAGCCCTCTCTGGCAGGATTAATTAATATGAGATGGTGGAGGGAGAGTGGATTTGGAGCTCGTTCCAGGTGCTGTGCAGTACTAAAACTCCTAAGTGAGACAGAGTCTAGCAGGAGACAGATGTGGACACAGATTGCACACAGACCCCAGGGCTGTCCCATGAGAGCTGCATATTTGGCATCTAGGACAAAGGTGGGGATCAGCTTCACCCCTCTGCCCGCCCCTGCCCCCATGCACCGTGCCTGGCAGAAGCCCCCACAACCTCCATGCTCACTGGCCCTGCAGCGCCCCTTGGGCACCCTGCTCACCCTTCTCCTTGTTGAGCCACCTAATGAAGCGGCCATAGCTGTGGGGCTTGAGTAGCAACTCCTTGAGGAACTGCCACAGGTGGATGGGCTGCCCGGAGCATGATGAGTCCACCTCGCTGTCGGTCCAGCTCTCCTCACTGGTCGAGGCTGGGTGGCCAGGGAGGGTGGCGGTGAGTGGGAATGGGAGGCCAGTCCCGGCTTCATTGGCAGCCACCCCTCCACCCCACCCGAGCCCCCGCCTCCACCCTGCCGCTGCCTGGCTCACCACAGTAGTGAATCGCCCCAGGTGAAGTCCGCTCTTTCATCCAGGCCGCTGCAGGGCAAGGAGAGGGGGTTGGGGACCCAGGAGAGGCCCCGAGGGTGGAGGAGGGGAGGCGTTTGGGTGGGACTGTGGGGCCACAGGAGCCCCTCTGTGGCTGGGGGTTGCCCCTGTGGCTCCCTGCCTCCTGCCAACCTGGGGAGGCAAGCTGGTTACAAGAAGCTGCTTCCTGGAAGAAAATTCAGGATTTCAGAGCTGGGAGGGGCCGTAAAGGGCTTGCATGCAACCCCTTGTTCAGATGAGGACATCTGACATGGGGGCTTGCCTGGGCTGGGGCGGGGCACTGGTCTCTGACAGGGTCCTATGAGTTGGTCCTGTTTCTTACTCCTTGACTCAGGCACCACCTCCTCCAAAGCACCTGGCCCTGTGCAGGCAGCAGTGGGTGCCCACTGAGATCAAGACAATTTAGACACTCAGGGGCTGACACGCAGCCATTAGAAATTTAGGGCAGGCCGGGCGTGGAGGCTCATGCCTGTAGTCCCAGCACTTCAGGAGGCCGAGGTGGGTGGATTGCTCAAGCCCAGGAGTTTGAGACCAGCCTGGCCAACATGGTGAAAACCCGTCTCTACCAAAAAATACAAAAATTAGCAGGGTGTGGTGGTGCACCTGTAGACTCAGCTACTCAGGAGATTGGGGTGGGAGGATCCAATGAAACAGGGAAGTCGAGGCTATAGTGAGCTGTGACTGTGCCACTGTACTCCAGCCTGGGCAATAGAGTGAGACCCTGTCTCAAAAAACAAAAACTAAAATTAAAACAGGGCCACTGTGGACACGGACAGGGGCAATACCCAAGACATACTGTGGTGTGCAGAGCAGTGTAATACTCTGCTACTACTTATGTCAAAAAAAAAAAAAAGAATAAGAACTGCATATATGTAAATGTGCTCGAGTATTCATAGACTTTCCCTGGAAAGATACTCAAGAAACTTGTAACAGTGGTTCCCTCTAGGGAGGGGATTGGAAGCTGGGGGTCGGGAGCGGGAGGGGGAAACTGTTCATGGTACACTACTTTTCACTGTGGTCTATTTTATAACATGCACATTTATTACTTCTTTAATAAAAAAAAACAAAGAAAACAAAGAAAAACAAACAAAATTTTAAAAGGAAAAAGGACTTCCTAGTATCCACGGTTGTCCCCAGCTCTGACATCCTGCATCCTCACAGTCTGACTTCTACCTTTTAACCTCCCAGGTGCTCTGTCCCAAAGCTCTGGGGCCTTGACCAGGGCTGGGAGTGGGTTGGGGTGAAGAGTGCACCAGGATCCAGGAGGCAGCTGAAACTGGGGCTGAGATTCAGAGTGGAGTCCAGTTGGGGGCCAAGGGGCTGCTGCCCTAGCAGAGGGCAACCTCCTAGCCAGCATCCTGTCCCTGGCTTGGAGCCTGGGAGGGGCTGCTCCCAGCCATGCCACATCCTACCTGACTTCCAGATGTCCAGGTGGGCGTGCAGCACATCCCCACCCAGGGGCGAGCGCTGGCGGAACTGCTCCTCCGACATGGCGCACAGCTCCTTGCCCGCCAGCTCCTGGAAGGCCTTGCCCATGGGGGGCAGCCGGTATTGGTGCTCTGTCCACAGGAGCCACTTCTGCACATTGCTGGGGCTCCAGTCCATGGGATCTGGGCAAGAGGCATCCCCTCAGCTCAGGGGTGGCCTGAGAGCACCACCCTGCTGTGATGGGGCACCCATGGGAACCTGTGGCCTGAGACCATGTGCTCTTGGGGATGGGGATAGGTCAGCCCCAGACAGGCCCCTGAGGGCCCCTGTGGAAGTGGGTACCCAAGAAGAGAGTGGGGCGAGAGGAAGGAACCAGGGCCCTAAAAAATGAACTTGGTTCAGGGCAGGGTAACCTGGTGCATCTGTACTGCCCGCCTCACCCAGGCCTTGGGTCCTCCCAGATCCCTCCAGCCTCTCCAAAGGACCTTTCGAGGGAGCCTCAGCCCTAGAGGGACAGTGACACTCTACCAGAAACACCTGGGCTTCTCCATCAGGTACTTCTTGCCTTTCCCAAACCCCTCAAGGAACCAGAGAAACACCTACCTGGGAATTAGTCTTAGAACCCCACCATTCTCTCCAGCCCCTGTATCTTACAGATGAGGAAACTGAGGCACAGGGCACTCCATCCCCTTGTCCTCCACGGAATAAAGGGCTAGACGCACAGGAGCTGCTCCAGGCACATGTGTTGAATAAGTAAATGGCAGGGCACAGGGTGGCCATGGGGCAGCCACAGGCCCCAGAGGCCAGGAGGGGAGCCCTTGGCTAGGTCCTAGATGTCCCCCTGGGGTGCTGCTCTGGGGTGAGCCTCATAGGCCTATAGGTGGGGGATAGGCTGGTGGGCATGGTCACAATGGGGCCTCCAAGTGAACACCATGGTCCAGCCAGTGTCCCAGCTGGGTGACCTGCAGGCTGGGCTGCCCCCACTTAATAAGCCCATTTTCCTCCCTGAGGTCAAAGCCATTTGTTTCTGTTCCCATTGTTGAGGGAGCAGGGCCCTCCCCTCCCTAGCCCTGTGGGTGGGGAGGAGGTCTGTGGGAGAACTCCTGGAGTCGGCCTGGCATGGGCATTGGGAAACTTGGGGCATCGGCAGGAGCAGCTTCAAATGAGGACGTCAACGGGGCAGCTTTGGGGGCAGGGGCCGGGCCTGAGGGATGCATGAAGACCCCTGCTTCCCAGGGAAAGCTGCACAGAGTTCAGTGCTGCAATGCCAGGGCCTGAAGATGAGGGACATGGGTCAGGACTGCCTGAAGCTGGAGAGGCGACAGCAGGACAGAGGACTAGAGACTCAGCAGCCCCGCCACCCACAGCATCAGCTCCATAATCACGCCTTCCAGGTCTGGCTGACAGACACATGTATGCCAGGCCCTAGGAGGTCCCCTCCTCATCGGGGCCTTCCGTCCCACAAGAACAGTGACACATTTCTCTATTTATTTGTGATCTGTGTCACTCACTATCATGTCAGCCCTACGAACACAGGGGCTGTGTTGTGTTCACCACTCAATTCCCCCGTCCTAGAATAAGGCTTGGCATATTAGGAACTGCTTTTCGGCCCAGAGAGGTAGCTCATGCCTGTAATCCCAGCACTTTGGGAGGCCAAGGCAGACGGATGACCTGAGGTCAGAAGTTCGAGACCAGCCTGGCCAACATGGTGAAAACTCCGTCTCTACTAAAAATATAAAAATTAGCAGGGTGTGGTGGCAGACACCTGTAATCCCAGCTTCTCAGGAGGCTGAGGCAGGAGAATCGCTTGAACCCAGAGGCAGAGGTTGCAGTGAGCTGAAATCACACCACTGCACTCCAGCCTCAGTGATAGAGCGAGACCCTGTCAAAAAAAAAAAAAAAAAAAAGAAGAGGCTGGGCGCGGTGGCTCACGCTAGTAATCCCAGCACTTTGGGAGGCCGAGGCAGGCAGATCACGAGGTCAGGAGATCGAGACCATCCTGGCTAACACGGTGAAACCCTGTCTCTACTAAAAATACAAAAATTAGCCGGGTGTGGTGGCGGGCGCCTGTAGTCCCAGCTACTCGGGAGGCTGAGGCAGGAGAATGGCTTGAACCCGGGAGGCAGAGCTTGCAGTGAGTGAGCCGAGATTGCACCACTGCACTGCAGCCTGGGCAACAGAGCAAGACTCCATCTCAAAAAAAAAAAAAAAAAAAAAAAAAGAAGAAAAAGAAAAAAAAAAGAAATGCTTATTATTGAACAACTGTCTATTGAGCATCAGTTATATTCAAGGTGCTATCCTAGCATCTGGGGATGGATTGATGAGCAAAACAAATGAAAATCCCTGCCTTTGTGGAGTGTACATTCTAGTGGAGGACACAGAGAGTGAGCGAGATCAACAGATATGGTGCGGCACGTCCGAGGAGTGTAAGTGCTATGAGAGGAAGCAGGTGAGAACAGCAGGTAGGGATGTGAGCAGAAATTTTTCTTCTTTCTTTTATTTTTCATTTTTTTGTTTGTTTTCTTTACCATGTCCTGTGCTCATGGGCAGCAATTTTAATGGAGGGGTCAGGGAAGGCCTCATGCGGATGGTGCCATCTGAGCCAAGACCTGAAGGAAGTGAGTCACACAGATATTTGGGGGAAGAGCGCTCTAGGCTGAAGAAGCAGCAGCGTAGCAAATGTTGTGGGAACAGCAAACAGGCCAGTGTGGCGGGAGCAGAGTGAATGAGGGGAGAGCGAAGTCCAAGAGGAGGTGGGGGACACAGAGCTTGAATTCATATCATCCAGCACCTACCAGTGGGGACCCTAGGCTGGCATGGTTGGGACACTAGAGGTGGACAGAAACCTTCCTGGCCCAGGCTCACAGCTGACTGTGTGTAGAAGTGCCAGCATCCCCAAAGCTGCCCGAGGCTGGGCCAGAGGTGGCCAGAGTCCATCCAGCAGTGCCCCGACCCACCCCAGCGACCTCAGCCTTGCCTGTGACCCATCTTACGGAAGCAGGCACATGGAGAGGGCTCACCTGCGGTGATGTTGAGCAGCTTGCAGGCCGTCTCGATGTCCTTGAGCACTTCGCCCACCACCATGGACTGCACCTGCTCCAGCGAGTGCTCCTCCAAGGTCAGCCCGCCGGGCACCAAGTCCAGGCTGCCCGCTGGGGCTTGGCTGTCAATGACCGGGCACTGCTCAGGCTCCTCAGGTGGCTCCTCCCGACTGCTGGCCCCAGGGGCCTTGGCTGCCCAGCTGCTGTCCTCAGGGTACAGCATGTCAAAGTAGGAGAGGTAGAAGGCGGACAGGCCCTGCTCGGGCGTGGCGGGTGGACTGGGACTCCAGTCCCGTCTCTCGAGACCCACTGCCCCCGCTGCCGCCTTCTCCAAGCCTGTCCGCGACACCGTGTCGGGGGGCAGCAGGAGGTGGCTGGGGGATACGCTGCTCAGACCCGGGCTGGCGCTGCCCATGCCGCTGCTGTTTGGGCTGGCGGCTGTGTCTACGGAAATGAAAGAGGACTCAGGTTTGACTGCTTCTCCATCCCTGTGGGGGCCGCTAAGCTGGTTATGGGGATGAGGGGCCCTGTGGACAGTGGGCTGGGCCTGGGACAGAGTTGGGGGCTTCCGGGTCATTGGGCAGCCACGACATGGTTGGGCAGACAGGCCTTCTGGCTGGGAAAGACAGCGAGGTGGGAGTGGGTGCAGGACTAGAAATAGATCGCTCCCTCAATCCCCAAGGAAGCCAGGCTGGCTGGGAGCAGCAAAGCTCCACACATGTACTGTGCTTAAAACAGCCTTCTGAGGTTCCTGACCTCATTCAGCCCTCACAATGGAAGGCATGATTGCGCCATTTGGCGGATGAGCAAACTGAGGTGGGAACAAGGGGCCCTCAGTGTCCAAATCTTTCCTGATATAGCAAAGCTTGTTTTTCTTCTGCCTTTGACAAGGATAGGAGTGGAAGTGGCAGGCAGAGGCCACCATCCTAAAGGTGGCTATCATCTTCACCAGCAGGGGAAAGACGAGAGGAACAAGGCGGGGTAGAAACCCTCCCACACGCCGGGGAGTAGGCCAGCCCTTGCCCTCCCACAGGGCTATCTGGGGGATCTAAGTAAACTCAACACTCTCAAGGTGGCCACTGAGCAAGAGCTCACAGGTGTGTGTCTCCCAATACCCCAGGCTGGGTGCATGGTACCCACCTCCCCTTACCCTCCCTCAGAAGGTGCTGCCCCCAGGGCCCCTTCCAGCTCCCAGTGCTCTCTACTTTCCCCGATGCCTGGAGGAGCATGCGGCCACCCGGAGGCAGTGCCACATGCCAGGCTTTCCAGGAGGAGCCAGGGTGGTTGTGAGATGGGGCAGGGCTCCAGGGAACACCTAAAACCCTTAGCAACTCAGCCACCTGCTCCTCACTGCTGCCCCAAGGCCCTCCGGGGGAACCATCTGGCCTCAACACAAGCAGTCAGAGGCCTTGCTCCCCACGGGCCGCCCCGGCTTGGTTTTGCCCAGGCCCTTTTCCCTGAAACCAATAGCAGAGTGCACAGTTTGGGTGAGAAGGGGGACTGGAGAGGTGCGCAAGCACTGAAACCCCAGGACATTCTGGGATGGCAGTGATGTGGGGGCCTGAGACTTAAGAATACATCAAGACAGGCTCAGTGCAGTAGCTCGTGACTGTAATCCTAGCTCTTTGGGAGGCCGAGGCGGGCAGATCACCTGAGGCCAGGAGTTCGAGACCAGCCTGGCCAACATGGTGAAACCCTGTCCCTACTAAAAATACAAAAATTAGCTGGGCAAGGTGGTGGGTGCCTGATTCTCCTGTCTCAGCTACTCGGGAGGCTGAGGGAGGAGAATCACTTGAACCCAGGAGGCGGCTGCAGTGAGCCGAGATCGTGCCACTGCACTCCAGCCTGGGTGAAAGAGCAAAACTCCGTCTCGAAAAAAAAAACAAAACACACGCACACACACACAAAGAATACGTCAAGCCAGAGGCAGAAGATTACCAACAGATATACGCTCCTAATAATACAGAGAACCAGTTAGGGAGGAGGAAAGGAACAGATAAACCTGTTAAGGGCAAGTTAATTTGTGTCCTTTCTCGAGGGTTATTTATAGTTTCAAGCAGTGGTTCTCCAAATGTGCCGTCTGGGCCAGCAGAACCAGCGCCACCTCGGAGCTTGCTAGAAACTTGAATTCTCAGGCAGTTCACAGCCACTGAATCAGCAGCTCTGGGGGAGACTCCGCAGTCTGGTTTAACTGGCCTCTGGGTGATTCTCGTGCATGTTCAAATTTGAGGATCTTTGCTTTAAAGGTAACTGGCCAGTTGGGGGGAAGGCTTTAATCAAAGCACTGAAATCCTCTCTAACAGTGACATTTATGGTGCCCTACTGGGACAGCAGGAGGGGAAGGGGGCTCCCTGATCCATCTCCAGTTACCCTGTGAGACTGACCCGCGCAGCCTCCGTATGCAGCTGGCATTTGCTTCTGCAGGTGGGACAAGGGAAAGAACCCAGTCTGGAAGACACCTCCACTTCGGTAGGGCCACAGCTAGCCCATTCAATTTCACACAACTCAGAAAATGACATCCCTTCCCCCTGGATAGCATAGCTTGACGAATGGAGCCTAGGTAGAATTTCAGCTTCCTCTGCCCACCCTCCTTGTGCAGTGCCCAACCTTCCCAGTGTTACATGGCAGCCCTGCAGCTTCCTGTGGTGGAGAAAATGCCAGCAGGAGGGAAGGGTGTTCCCTTTGATTTCAACTCTCCCATTCAAGGGCTCCTTTAAGTGACAAGGAAGGAAAGGTCAGGGTGGGGTGGGGTGGGCAGAGACCAAGGCGGGGCTGGGGATGTGGGGGACAGAGGGCAGACCTGGAATCATTTCAAGTCCTTCTGTGCAAACACTCGTGTGTGCTGTGGGCCCACATTATTTACTCAGGCAGTGCCAACAGCTCGCTCTGCCCCTGGGCCCCACCCTGCCTGGTGCCCATGCCCTACCCGCTAGGTGGCTCCACCCCTGGGGACCCCCCCCCGCAGCCCCCCACCCCTCCTTCATCACCCCCTGCCTGCCTCCTGCCCCGTCCACATCCCCAGAGCCCCCATGCCTGCCACGTTAGGACAGTCTCTGCCAACACCCTGGGCGCCATGCCAGGGAGACAGAAGCTTTTCCAAGAAGCAGAACTCGCTTCCCTTGTGGCCCTCCTGTTTGCTTGGCCTCAGCCACAGGTAGGACAGGAGGCAGCTGCTGTGTTTCAGGCATGGTTGTGTGGGGTCGGTGGGGATGAATGGGCAGGGCAGGTGGCAGCTTTTGCCAGGAAGGCATATAATGACACATCCTTGACACATTTGCTGAGTGCATGTGAAGCCCTCACATCCATCCCCTTGCCAGGAGAAAGGCAGCACAGGCCTTACTCTCTCTTTTTTTGAGATAAGGTCTCGCTCTGTCGAGTGCAGGGGCATGATCATGGCTCACTGCAGCCTCGACCTCCTGGGCTCAAGTGATCCTCCTGTTTCAACCTCCCAAGTAGCTGGGACTACAGGTGTGTGCCATCATGCCTGGCTAATTTTTAAAATCTGTTGTAGAGACATGGTCTCACTATGTTGCCCAGGCTGGTCTCGAACTCCTGGGCTCAAGTGATCCCCCTGCTTCAGCCTCCCAAACTGCTGGGATTATAGGCACAAGCTACCTCATCTGGCCCAGGTCTTATTCTCATCCCTACTTTGCTAATGGGGAAGTCAAGGTGCAGAGAGGTAAATCCCCAAATCCAGGTCTTTTGACTCCTGGCTCGGGCTCCTTCACCCTCTATACCCCACATTCCAGCTTGACCTTGCCCTATACCTAAATGCCAAGGAATCTACTCCCCACCAAGCCTCGGTCCTAGCTCCAACACTTCCCTGATGAAAAATAAGTTAATGGTTAACTGTGTGGTTGGAGGAAAGGTTCGACTCTCTGCAGATCAGGGGTGGTGGGGAATGCTCCGTCCCCAAGGCAGCCCAGGCCTAGAGTAGGGGGGCTTGGCTTACTGGTCAGGCAGCCAGGGCTGGTGTGCCCAACCTGCAACTAGGCGTCTCAAGGTTCTGGGCTGGCCTCAGGAGGGAAGAAGAGAGAACGGCACTGTGAGCCCCTGGCAGTGAGCACCAGTGCCACGCCCAGGCTTTCACCCACATCACCCGCTTTCCTACCCACAGCCAGGGTGACGTGGACTCCAGAGCCCTGCTTTATAGATGCGGACAGTGAGGCTCAGGGAGGCTGTGCAGCTTGTCCAGGGTTCTTCCTGGCCAGGTGTGGGTTCTGCTCACTGGACCACATTCTCTCTGAGGTGCATGCTCTGGCCAGTCCCATCTTCCTAGGGGATCTGCCCACCT
The DNA here is from genome assembly GCF_000001405.40 of Homo sapiens. Taxonomy (NCBI): domain Eukaryota; kingdom Metazoa; phylum Chordata; class Mammalia; order Primates; family Hominidae; genus Homo; species Homo sapiens. Next base: position 34,548,335 of record NC_000006.12, read on the forward strand.
CCTGACTGGGCTCCTTGATGCTCTAAAGTCTGTCCCCACCTCTTGGCTCTTCATTCCACCCCACTGTTCATATCCCTGCAGCACCCTTTCATCAGACACCCCTGTGCTCAAGAATCTCCCATGGCTCCCCATTGCCCCATCCCAGTGGCTGGTGCCTACCTCTGAGTCTACCTCCTACCTGGCCCAGATAATCAGAGCTGGAAGGGGCCATATATTATGTGATTGTTTCATAGAATGGGAACAATGAAGCCCAGAGTGGGGAAGGGATTCATGTGCTTATTAGCAGCAGGGTCCGGACCAGAACCAGGGATTGACATAGTGACCACAAATCCAAGCTCTAATGAGAATGGCATTTCATACCTGCCCCTGTGCTGTGGGCACAACATGGCTATTTTCTAAGATGCCCTTTCCTTCTCATCACAATTCATCCCAAAGCCCTCCTGCCCCAGCGAGCCCTCCCTAATAGCTCCCTCCTGCGACTTCCTAGGCTCGCCTCATCTGTGCCATGCAATTCAGCCCAGGATTAAATCCATCAGTGATGGTCCACCCATGGGGACACATGTGCACTGGAAAAGCTCAGGCTCAAAGAGTGGCAGGGAGGTGCCCACAGTCACACAGCACAGCCAGGGCCAGACCAGAGGCCTCCTGACACTCAGGCCACTGCTCCGTAGGCCAAGGGTCCTGGGACGTGCCAGGTGTCTGCCATGTCCAGGGTCCTCAGATGGCAGGACCCAGCGTTCCTGCAGCCTTGGCCTGCCAGTCCCACGGGCTGCCGTCTCCTGAGCGATGCCTCCAGCTCCCAAACCTCGAGTTGATCTCTTCTGGATTAAGCCACATGTCTGGATTAAGGCTCAGCGTGTCCTGGCTCCCTCCTGCTCCAGAGGCCCCAGATCCCACTCCAGACAAAGAAAGTTTGGTAACAGCTGGTGGAGGCCAAGGCCCAGAGACAGGAGCAGAATGGTGGGGTGGCGGCCAGGGGGATTAGCCACCTTGGGCCCCTTCTCTCAGCGCCTTCCATTCCCCCAGGAAGGAAGATTAAGGAAAGTGAGCAGAGGGACCCAAAAGGAGAGATTTAGTGCAGCTTTTCCTGCCACTACCCTGCCTACTCTCACCCCTCGGGGCTAGAAATGTGCCCCTTGAACCCTTTGCCTCCCAGGTTTTCACTCCCACACCCCAACTGGCATCAGCAAAAGATGCCCTCCCTGACAGCTCCCGAACCACAGTTTCCGGGAATGGAGTCACCTGGGAGGCGTTTGCTAAGGACCCAGGTCGCTGTGCGGGTTGGAGCCTGTCTTCCATATCCTGCTTGGTCCCGGCTCTCAGGCCCTACCTCCTGGGGAGATGGTGGTGTGGGGTAAATGTATCCTCACCCCTACCTCAATCCTGAGACCCAATGCCAGCCCGCCCAGAGCCCAAGACCCCAGCTTTAGTCCCCATTGAGAAGAGCACTGAGGGAGTGACAGAGATGGCCACTCTGGCCCTGCTGCTCAGCCCCCAGCCGGCCTCACTGCAGGAGGAAGAGGTCTGATGGGGAACAGACCTCCTCTGGCTTTCCCATGTGGCCTACTGAGCTGTCTGTCAGCCCCTCCCTCCATCCATCCAAGTCCCTGGGTCCCCTTAAATGGGCTGGAGTCAGGGGCTGTGGAGGTGAGGCCAGGTCTTGGCCAGGAGCCATGCAGAGTGGGCAGGGGCCACATGGGCCTGCCCTGGTCAGCACCTTGGAGAAAAGCTGGGCTACCCAGGCCTCAGGAAGTCCCAGCCAAAGCCATGACCAGGCCCAGCCGCAGTAGCATGTCTGGCTTCTCCAAACACCCTGACCCCTGCCCTGCCCCATCCCCTTGGGGCCCCAGCCTCTCTCTTGCCCTGCTGTTCCTCCCACCCCTTCTCTGCTCCTCCAACCCTTCCACAGGGAGGACCTTGCTGCAACCTCACCCTTCAAACTGCTCTTCAAACTAGCTGGACCCAAGAGAAGTGCCAGACCCCTTCCTTACGGCCCTCCATTCACTGCCCAGAGCACCACTTCTGCCCGCTGGACAGACCACCCCGCTGCCCAGGAAGGGGGCCCAGGCTGCCACCTCGGGCCAGCAGCTCCTGCCCTCTCTCAAGCACCCCATTGTGGCCATCTCCAAGCACCTGCTTCCCCAGGGTCTCCAAGGGCAGAAGAAGAGAGCAGGGAGGTGACTGAGTGAGAGAGATCTTGCTGTCTTGGACTCAGCATGAGTAGACGAGGTGGGTTTCTTCTAGATCTCCGGGCTTTCCCCACCTCCTCTGGGCACAAAACTGTCCAGGCCAACTGTCCCCCTAACAACTTCTTCAGGAGCCCTGATCTGTGTGAGTTTCACCTTGGGGAGCCAGCTAGTGGGCCCAGGAGCTGGGGTCTGTTGGGGGAAGTACAGGGGAGTGGGTGAGGCTTTGTGGGGCGGGAGGCAGGTGGAAGCTGGGGGCGGGGCCACGTAGCAGGAAGACGGGGCACTGGAAGCCAAAGTGGAGCGCCAGGGGAACCCAGTGGTTTTTCTCTTCCCACAGTTCCCACGGGCAGCAGGAACACATTGCATCAGTGAAGCCTCCTCTGTGCCCTGCTGCATGGGCAGCCTGGGTGTCCACACACACCCTCACTGGCACTACTTCCAGCGCTTTCTGGGACAGGAGGAAGGTCAAACTGAATAAACTGCTTTGCCGGGCCCTCCCAGCTGGGGCAGCCAGCATTATTCCCACTTGACGGACAAGGGCGCTGTGACCTGCTACGGGGCACCTGTCCATGCGTGAGTGAGCAGGGACTCGAACTCAAGACTCGGCTCCACCCTCCTTTCTGCTGGTGCTGGCAGACCCGGCATCTTCTAGCTCCTAAGGTTGCCCCTGTTGACCATCCCCTTTGCCTCTGCTCAGGCCACCTGCCAACCCAGCCCCACAGCAGTTGCCTTAGTGGGGTGTGGGTAGCACAGGTGCCCGCAGCCTGGAGGTACAGAGGCCCACCGCAGCCCCAAGTGGACCATCGTGGCTGAGTTTACTCCAAAAGGGGATGTGGACTGGAAAGAACGAAGACCTCCACTTCAGGAGGTGCAGGTGACACCCTGCCCTGTTCCCTCCATAGGAGAGACCCTGGGTGAGTCCCTGGTCCCTCCAGCCCTCAGTCTCCTGCTCTGTAGGCCAGGTCATCTCTGAGGACTTTGTTAGCCCTGGCACTGCCTGGATTTTACGATCCATGACCCTCATCTTGCCATCAGCCTGGCTTTGGGGACTTAAAGAAGGATGGTGGGGACGCAGAGGTGGACACCTGGGGCTCCCTTGTAAGCAAAGGCATACTCCATTTACAGCTGACACTTTTGGCAGGATGAGGGGTGTGGCTGTCCCTGGAGTTGATGTCTGGAGGCTCTGAAAGACTCAGCCCACCCTTCTGAAGAAGCAGAGCCAGCTTCAGGCTGTCCTGCACCTCACCAGCTGCCCATCAGGCCTGGCTCCCACCCCAGCAGCAGTGCCTCCCCGCCTCCTCCAGCCAGCAGGGACCCCAGCCCAGACAAACCTGGGGCTTGCAGTGAGTCATGCTGACGGGGCGGGGACAGAACCCAGTTTCCCACCATAGCAACTACAATTCCGCTCAACCTTCAGGGCTTTCCAGAAATTGCCATTCACGTCTTCCTTCAGCCCTGGTTGAGCCCATGTGTATATAAATACATTTCACTTCTCAGTGCCCCCGTCAGGCCTCTTAGCCACACCAAGGCTGCCATACCCCCACCACCTGCACATCCCCGCTTTGCCATGATGCAGCCCGGGTCACATGGCTGCCCCTCTCTGGCACAGTCTCGTCCTCACCCCCAAATCGCCGGTACACTCCTTGAAGGGCCGGCCACAGTACCTTCCCTCTTCCCTACCCTCCTCCAGCCCCGCATACGCCGTACCTCCCAGCTTGCCACAGGACAGGGGTCGTGAGGTTTCCTGGGTCTCTTGCTCCCCACAGCCCTGCCCAGCAGGGTCGTTGAGGGCATGAGAACACACGGATGTCACCGGAGCTCTGCTGCTCCTGCCTGAGGCCCCTTGGCCGATCCTCTTGGCCTCAGCCTCTTCAGCAGTGAAACAGGGACTCATAAAGACAGCTGTGTGTCTGGATTTTGAAGTCACCAGGCAGGACAGCGATGTGAGAAGGCTTCACTGTCTCCCGAGAGGTGTGTGTCCACAGTGGTGACTGCTGTCTCCATCTGCCGTGTTTCTGCGGCCCCTCCAGACCCAGCACAGGCCAGGGAAGGCAGAGGCCCTCCACACACCTGGTTGTTGGTCTGTAAAATCTTGATGGGCTGAAGGGAAAAAACATTCCTGCGCCCTGATCCTCAGGCCCTGGAGCACACCTCCAGGCTTGGAGAGGGGTGTTAGGACAAAGTGAAGGACTCCAACATCACAGATGAGAAAAGTCCAGAAAGAACTGTCCTGACAGGCTAAGAACAGAAATTGCTTCAAACAAGGTTGAGATGGGTGGGAGTGGGTTATTAAGGGGTTATCAGGACCGGTTCCCACCTGTGAAGTGTCAGCAGAGACACATCCCCCTTTTGTCCTGGCACAGAGGGTAGGGTGGGGCAGGAGGAGCTAGGTCCCAGCAGCCCTCAAAGCAACTTGCTACCCCAGGAGCAGAGAGGCCTGGGCCTTGCCCCGCAACCAGTCTCAGGCGCTGGAGCCCCGGGCTGGGCAGTCCCTCCAGCCACGTCTCCCCTGTGCCAGAGCTAGAGGGAGAAGGAGGGGGGTCTTTATCCTGGTGGTGCGCCGTCATAATCCTGGGGAGGTCCCGGTCCCATCCGACCCCCAGCAGAGTCACACTAAGGTCCCTGGCTGGGGAGGAAGGATGAGCCTCTCCCTCCCCAAGTCTGGAGGCCCCTTTCTACCCACCCCCAACCCCGGCTGCTGAGAGGTGGGAGAGCAGAATCTGGCAGGGGGCACCTCCCAGGCTGAAAACATGCAAACTAGCCAGGAGAAGGAGCTTGGCATTAAATGTCAGGAAGAGCCCAGGGCAACTCGGCTTGTGCAAAGTTTGCTTTGGGAAGAGTTGTTCCACCTGACAGGCCACTCGCTTGGCTGGGGGCACAGGGTGGGGCATGAACGGGGTGGGGGTGGGGACCAGGGGAGGGTCCCAGAAAAGGTTTGATCCCTGACTCTCTGCTCTCTAGCTCTGGGGCTGGGGCCAGTGACTCAGCCCCCTCTGAGGCTCATTTTTCTTGTCTGTTAAATGGGCTGTCAAGAGTATGTCTTAAAGGGGTTGTGGAGATTGAGATGGAGGGTGAATGGAAATCATTTATGATGGGTTGAGTGTACATGAGGGGGGCCCTGGGCACAGGTGAGGGGATCAGCTGGAGAAGAGGAAAGAGAGAGGGAATGGGGTGAGGAAGCCGGGGAGCAAAGGAAGAAGCGGAAGGTGATGGGGAGTAGAGGGAGTGGGCGAGAGAGTGGAGTCTGGGGGGAGCTGAGGATGGTGGTGAGGGAGGCTGGGGCCCTGTCCTGTTCTCTAGCCCAGTCCAGGCAGCTGCAGGCTTCACCCACCCTCCCTGCCCTCTAGGAGGAACCAGAACCAAGAATTCCTGCCCCACCCACTTCCCCCCGGCCCCCGCACCCGCCACCACCCCCCAACGCCCAGGAGACCGGCTGGCAAATCCAACTCCTACACAGCCTTCAAGGTCCTGCTCCAGGCTGTCTCCTCCGTGAAGCCTGCTTTAACAGGCAATAGCCTTGTCTAACCTTGTTTCACAGACAAGGTGTTGCAAGTACAGTGAGGAAAAGTGACCCGCCCACGGTCCCACATGGCGGGACCTCACCTGTTCCTTCTTGCCCTCCACCTTGAGGGTCTGTGTCCCCCTGTCAGACTAAATTAACTTCCCCGGGTTATACTCAGGCTGCAACAAGTCATTTAGCACAAAACTGCTCTAACGGTTTCAGGGCTATTCACTTTATACTCACAACGACCTCAGTGGTAAAAAGTGGGTTCTCCCGGTTTTTGCACTTCCTGCCAGCATCACACTTTCTGAGCATCGACTGAGCACCTACTGAGTGCAGCCCTATTCCCTCAGACTTGGTTGACAGAGAAGCCCTATCGAATTCAGAGGGTCCTTGTGAAAACCAAAGTGTTTTACAACTGACAGTGTGCAATAAGCAAGTCTGGTAGTTTTCAGCTCTGGATACCCCCACGGGGCCTCACTCAGAGGAAATGCTTGTACATGCACTGTCAGCCTCTCAAAGGCGAGGGTGGGTCCCCTACGCAGTGAGACCACCTCCTCCACACAGCCCCACCTGCCTGGGAGCTCCGAGAATGCCCCCCACCATTTGTCTGTGAGTTTGGGGTGGTGGGACTCCAAGCTGGGGGTCCTTGGCTCTGGCCCCTCTTGCAGGTGGGTGGAGGGAAGCTCAGCCCAACTGGCCTGGCTGAACCATGGCCTGGGCCTGCCCGTCTGGTGGGGCGTCTCCTCCCCATCCCTGCCCACCAGCTTGGGCCTGGGGCAGCCTGGACGCCTGTTTGCTTTGTTACTCAGCTGAGCAGCTGGTGATGGGGAGATGCAGCTTTATTGGGGAGGTTGCGGCAGGAAATGAGGCAAGTCCCAGCCCTGGCCGAGGAGGAGGAGAAAGCCCATGGCCATCATAAAGGACACAGGCTACGCGGGGCTCATGGCCTGGGTGTGGGCTGCTGGGCGGCCCCAGCTGATAGGTGAGGTGAGGGATCTTGGCCTGCCCCTCCCCAACATGCACACACACGCACACACACATGCACATGCAACACGCACGCGCACATGCACACACCACACACACACATACTTCCGCGCACACACACGCACGCACACACCTCCACCAGCCTCAGGGGCACCCAGTCGCCCAGGCCCTTCAGCTTCCCACCCTGTCATCCCACCACCCACTTCCTCTCTCCACCGCAGAAATCTGGCAAATCTTAGAAATGAGCACCTTCGAGGTACTGCTACTGTTGCTTTCCTTGTGTGCCAAGACCAGGACCCAAGGCTCTCAGCTTCCCCCAGTGTCCAAGGGCTCAGAGTGTGTGCTCAGCGGTGACCCCAGCCCCCTGGTTCCTGTGCCCATCCCTGCCCAGCCCAGCTACTGGGCTCTGGACCTGTCTCCCCTGTCCCGAACTGGACCCGGCCTTAGACTTAGCCCTGACCCATCAAGCTCCAGCAAGCCCCTGCCCACTGGTGGCCTGGCACCAGGGAGACCCTTTCCTCAGCAGAGCAGCTGGGTTGGCAGCAGCAGCAAGCCGCTTGTGTTTCTCCAGCCAAGCAGAACTGGCTGGGTCTCAGGGGCCGGGGCTCTGCATCTGCACGGCGGCCTCCCCTCAGGCTGGGCAGACTGGGCTCAGTGTGGGGGACCCCAGGCCTTGCCGGGCAAGGGGGCTCACCCAGCATGTAGAGTTGGCCCAGAGAGGCAGTCTGGGGAGCATGAGGAGGGGGCAAGGAATTCTGAGGGTAAAGGGATCCAGGTCACAGGGTCACTGATGACTGGGAGATGAGCTCTGAGCTGGCAAAGTGCGCCCCCTCCAAGTCCTGCCTGCAGTCGCCCACCCCCCAGCTGGCAGGGAAAGACCCCATGCCAGGGTACCCCCACCTCCTGTTGGACTCACCTGTTAGCTGCCTGGTGCCCAGGGAGCTGTCTGCTGCAGTGCCAACTTCAGGGGCCGGGAAGAGGTGTGGGCAGCTGAGGCCACTGGCGTGTCTCAGCCAGGCATCTGGGGGGCCAGCGGAACCAGGGGCCAGCAGGGCTGGTGGCAGAGGCAGCACTCAGGTTGGCCACTGGGGGCCTGGCCACCCTCAAGGGGTGGCCCTCTGAGGTCTCAGGGCTGCGTGCCTGTAGGGAGTCCCCTACCCCCAGCCCAGGGCTGCCTGCTGGCACCGTGGCAAGGCCCAACCTGAGGGGCTTGCAGGGAGCTGGCAGCAGGCTTGGAGGACTGGGTCTGTGGGGCAGTGTGGACACGGCAGAGTGCAGGAATGTGCTGGGAGGAAGTCAGACAGCCGCGAGATGAAGAGTTGGCCAGGGCCTGATTTCCCATTATAAGTAATCCTTCCTTATTTACCTGAACAAATACACTCCTTGCTTACCTCAGACCACAGGCAGGCTCCTGATTAACCCTTGCAGGTCTCCCCCTCCTTGCTGGGGGATCCATGCCCTGACAGCTAGGGGACTCATTCATTCACTCGCTCATTCACTCGTTCATTGGTTGCTGCATAGCCACTCAGCTCATATTACGTGCAAGGCGCCAGAGATACGTCGAGTGGGTCCAGGGCTGGGGTTCTAAGATGGATCAGCTGAGGGCCAGAGACAGACAAGTGAGCAGCAGTGGAGATCCAGAACCACCCATGCCCAGATGGAGGACTGAGGGGGCACTGAGGGTGGGCACCAACTAGGGAAATCAGTGAGGGCTTCCTGGAGGAGGTGCTGTCTGGCTACTCAGGCCAGGGATGGAGAGAGCTTCAGAGAACCCTGGGGAGGGATCCCGAGGCTTGTGGGCCAACCACGACCTGGTGGGAACTGTGTTCTCTGTGCCCCACAGGGTCCTCATGCAGACCTGTCACACAGTGGCGGTGAGGAAGGACTCCTAGCTCGCTTTCCCAGGCCCGTAATCGGGGGCCAGCCAGCAGCAACTTGCTCTCCCATAGCCCCAAAGGGTGATGGCAGGGATGCCACGCAGGACAGAGGTACCCACCACCAAGCACTTGCTGCCCCAGACCCTCCACCTCCTTGAGCCCTGCGGGGGCCACACAGTCCAGCTTTTGGCTTCCTCCATGTCCTGCCAGGTGGGCTGAGAGTTGTCCCTGGAGGCTGGGCCTTCCTTTCTCCAAATCATCTCAGAAGGGCTCCACGTACCTGCTACCTCCATTCTGACGGGAGAAAGTTCTAGATAATGCTGATTTTTCTCTTGTTTCAGGAGTAACTGTGTAACTGCCGAGAGCATGAGGATTCTGGGGCTGCAGGGGATCCCAAGGCCTTTAGAACTAGCCCCTCACCTTCACCAATACCCACATTCTCCAACGTAAGGTTGCACTTTGCACCCCCAGGGAGCCCTGTACTTGGCTGTTATCGTCACTGGCACCTTGGTTGAGGATCAGTTATCAGTCATTCCCCAGAGAAGGTTGAGGGAGGATGGAGCGGAGGAAGGGGAGGTAACACAAGGTCCTGAAATGGTACACTCGACCACTCCTAATCCCCAATGGTCCAGCCCTCCAGGGTCAATAAAGAAAGACACGCTGCGTTTCCAGGTGGATCTCCTTCCCCTAGAGTGCGTTTTTGTGCCTGCTTCTCTGGTGGCCACGCCTCCCTCCTCCCCACTCTCACAGAAGCCTGGCTTATATCACAGCATTCTGATGCATTAATACTAATGACCACTGCTTAACAGGCACCTACTGTATGCCTGTATGTTCGATGCTCATGAGATGCTAAGCTATTAATCATACTGTAAGTACTATAATGTGGGTAAGTACAAGGAATATCTAATAAATGTTTATTGAGGCTGGGTGCGGTGGCTCACGCCTGTAATCCTAACACTTTAGGAGGCCAAGGTGGGCAGATCACTTGAGATCAGGAGTTCAAAACCAGCCTGGGCAACGTGGTGAAACCCCGTCTCTACTAAACATACAAAAAATTAGCTGGGCGTGGTGGCAGGCACCTGTAATCCCAGCTACTTGGGAGGCTGAAGCAGGAGAATCGCTTGAACCCAGGAGGCAGAGGTTGCAGTGAGCCAAGATCGTGCCACTGTACTCTAGCCTGGGCAATAGAGCGAAGCTCAAAAAAAAAATGTTTATTGAGTGGATAAGGTGTCAAAGATAGCTGTCCATTCTCCCCTTTTCCTCAGTAAACAAGGCTTGATTTTTATTTTTTATTTTATTTATTTTTGTAGAGACAGGGTCTCTCTATGTTGCCCAGGGTGGTCTCGAACTCCTGGCCTCAAGCAATCCTTGTACCTCGGCCTCCTAAAGTGCTGGAATTACAAGCATGAGCCACTGTACCTGGCCAAGGCCTGGTTTTTAGCTGCGCACGTGGCTACCTAGAATTAAGACTATCCCAGCCTCCCTTGCAGCTAGATGTGACTATATGACAAAGCAGAAGTGTCATGTGCCAAGATTTCTAGGAATCTTTCTTAAAAGTAAGCTGGCATGTACCATTAACTCCATTCTTATTTATCCTTCCTCCATCTTGCTGGGTGGAATGCAGCTGTGATAGCTGGCATTCTGGCTGCCATCTTAGACCATGAGGACAAGATAGTAGAGTAGGCAGCAAGCTAGAAGGAGCCTGGGTCTCTCAGGATTATGTAAAACCTCCATACCAGCTGCAGACTGCCTGCCTTAGGACTTTTATGAGAGAAATGGACTTTTCACTTTTGTTAAGTGGGAATTCTTACTGGTGTGGCCTCACTCAAGGCCCAAGGGAGCATTTCACAGGGGTCTCCTGAATGGATGGGCCCAGCTAAACTGTACTGGCTGTGGACAGGGTCTCTACCCATTTAAGCCTGGAGTAGGGAAACAAATGTTGCCTCTGGAAGCTGGAAAAGGTCCACCAAGAGGGAGCAAGGGAGGGCTCCCCCATCTGCTCAGCTGGGCTCACACAGGCCCAGCCTCCAAGAGGCTGCTTGGGGTGGACATCAGTGGTGTGCCCAAGGTGGGTTGGATGCCCATCTAAGGCAATGCTGGTGGGCTTCAGGGGAGGAAAGGCCAACTTTCCCAATAAGGGAACTCTGGGTGACACACATCCTCTTGACCCCCTGATCCACCGGGCATGGTGTCTTGGCACCAGCTTGGGATTTGATCAAGTACATGTCCTGATTCTGTAATTTTCCAGCTTTGTGACTTTAGGCAAGTGTCTGAAATCTGCTGAACAGTCACCTCCCAAATCCAGAGAACCCTGAGAGTTACTGTGAGGAGGGAGAAAATGCTGGTCAAAGTGTTCCATGAACCTGGTTGCCCTATTCCAGGGCCTTGCTGACCACCAACCTGGCCACGTGTTTGACAAATGCCATCTTACTCCTCACAGCAACACTCACAGGTAGATGTTGCTATGCCCATTTCTCTTTTCTTTTCTTTTCTTTTTTTTTAAGACAGAGTCTTGCTCTGTCACCCAGGCTGGAGTGCAGTGGCGCAGTCTCAGCTCACTGCCACCTCTGCCTCCCGGGTTCAAGTGATTCTCTTACCTCAGCCTCTCGAGTAGCTGGGATTACAGGCACGCACCACCACGCCCGGCTAATTTTTGTATTTTTAGTAGAGACGGGGTTTCGCCATGTTGACCAGGCTGGTCTTGAGCTCATGACCTCAAGCTATCCACCTGCCTCGGCCTCCAAAAACGTGAGCCACTGGGCCAGGTATATGCCCATTTTTCAAGTGAAGAAATTCAGGCTTGTACATTTAAAATGTCATGCCCAAGGTCACAGCTGGGAAGCAGATTCAAACTCAAATCCCTAATTTCCATGACTGCCCCATGCCCAGTAAAACCCTATTGCTACTCTCACGTCCTCTCAGGGCCAAGTCCCGGGTCCCTGGAACAGGTCACTGGGTCCACTAGACTTCCTGCCTCCAGCTCCCTGGGCTGGACTCCTCTCTAATCCTCCTCTGGCCAGCTCTCATCAGGTTAAATGTGCCCCCTCCTGTTTGCCCTCCATCCAGACCCCACCCATCTGTTGTGGGCGATGCCTGCTCCATGTCCACCCCTTCCAGATCTGGGGTCTAGTACACAACCCCAGTTGGCTCAGTGTGACTCTGTCCTGGAACTTTTCTCCAGCCTACTGAGATAACAAATTATCTCTTGCCACTAGAGTTTCCAAGCCTTGACGTGTTAAGTCAGGAGCTGCTACCCCCAGGGAGAATAGGGACAGCCCAGAAGAGGAGGAGCCAGACGCCCTCCTGACATCGCCGTGGGAACACCTGGATGAAGCTGCCATTCCCTTTTTCTGTCGTTCAAATGGACTTGAGTCCCTCCTATTTTGGTGGAGAGAACCCCCATCCTTCGGAGGCCCATTTCAAGAGCCCTCTCCTCCAGAAAGCCTTTCCCTGTCCCCTCCAGTCCTTGCGGACCTCACATGTCCCAAGTCTTTGTTCTCTAATTCTTTCCCCACTATTTCTTATTTCTTTCTTCCCAAGATTTTAACTCCTTGAAGGCAGGGATTCTAGAGCAGCTGGCAGCATCAGACCCAACACACCAATTTCTGGAGCAGTTGGCCTGAGCTTCCTCCCCACATTGGTCCTCTCTGGCCACTGGCCCACCAGAGGCAAGCGTGGAGAGCACCGGGTGGAACTCAGGGCCCACATCTCGGTTTCTGTGCAGCACTGCCACTGACGAGCGGCGGGATCACGAGCGAGTCTCAAGCACTCTGGGCCTCCCTCGCCTCCTCTGTGAATGGCGATAACAACGCTTGCCCTGCTGACCTTGTGGGTGGAGCACTGTGATGAGCGAATGTCAAGTGGCAGCGGAAGTGGACACGCTTTGGAAAGGGCAGTCTGTCTGAGTCAGTCTGTTGGTCAGATTCCTGCCTTCCTAGCTTTCTTTCTGACTCCATCTGCCTGCGCTCCCATCCTCACTGCGTCCTGCTCTCTGATGAGCTAGACTGGGGATGGTGGCAGAGGCAAGGCTGGGATGTATGCCAGCCACAGGGACATGCAGCTGCCAGTTAGTTCCCGACTGACACAAGGCCCCACCCCCAGACCCAGGCTCCAGCTGCGAAAAGGCTGGACAGCTTGGGGGAGGGTGCCCCCTGCTGAGGCGTGAAGAGCCTGAGGCTGGTCACCTGGACAGGGCCAGAGGGGACAGGAAGGGCAGGACACTTGGTTGGTGGGATCCCAGAAACCACCCAGCCATCTCGTGGTACAAAGACCTTGGGACCAGAGAGGCTAGGGACCAGGCCCAAGGACACACAGCAGGGCTGGGATCTGAATCCAGACCCCGATCTGTGCTCCCACATGGCATGTGTTATCTCATTCAATCCTAGCAAGTCCACAGGGGGTCATTGCCTGTCTCACTCACAGATAGGGAAAAGAGGCTCACTGACATTCCCAGTCAAGCCTGGATAATGGCAGAGGAAGGATTCAGGCTGGATCTGTTGGAATCCTCTCTCCAGGACACCATGTTGCAGCTGGATGGTGAACAAGGGGCTGGGAAATAGCCCAGGGGGTGGTGGCTGTGTTCTCAGGGCCATACTACGAGGCACTTCCAGCAACTGCAGCATGCCAGGGCCCCTCTTGGGCACACTTGGGCCACAACACGTTGCTCTGCCCAGACCAGCATCTTACTCTGTGCTGCCAGGCCCTAAACGGGCACTGAGGCCAGGGTGGCCGGGCACAGGGGCTGGGCACAGCCTGCTCTTGAGGATAGTTCAAGGCCTGGTGGCCACAATTGCTCAGGGTCTTCTTGCCTCAGAGGGCAGTGATGACTCCCAAGGGTAGCCATCTGTGGGCTTACTAGTTTCATGAACACCTATTAGATGCTGTCACAGTGAGTGACCCTCTCCATTCTAGGGAAAAACAAAAGGTGGAAGAGCTTCAGGCCTCGTTCCATCAGTGCCATCTCCTACCCCTCTACAAACTGACTCCTCAGAGAATGACCCCAAGCTCCTGATGGGGGCCGAGCAAATGGACCCCAAGCTCGTGATGGGGGCTGAGCAAATGGACCGTTTCTTCCTGTAGCCAAGGGCTAGCTGTACCCACCCCCATTGCTGATTCATAACTGGGAGGCCATCTGAAGAGGCCTCATCCTATCCCAGGGCCCCAGCCCTTGGGGTCCTCAGAGTTCCCATGTGGACCCAGCCAGGCAGGGCTCGTGCCAGAGTTAGGCAACAAGCCTGAGAACCCTGCAGCCCTAGCTTGGGGGACAGACAGGACACACAGATGGCATCCTCTTTACCACCTCCACCCCGTGATGGGGAGCAGGGTGGCCTGCGCCTGCCCGCATGAATCCATTCCCTCCACAGGAATGTGCTGGAGGGCTACTGCGGGTCAGGCACGGGTCATTGCATACAGCAGAGCCTCATTGGGCTTACATTCTAAAGGACCAGCAACAGCAAAGGTGCAAATGAGTAAATTGCATAGTACACTGGTGGGTGATGCATGCATGACAGGAAGGGCCTAGGAAGCCTGGAGCGGTGGGTGGGGTGTGGGAGCAGCACTGAATACGGTGGTCAGGGCAGATCCCTTTGGGGAGGTGGGATTTGAGCAAGGCACGAAGGAGGCGAGGGTGTGAGCTCTGCAGGTCTCTGTGTGCATTCCGGGTGGCGGGAGGTGACATGAGGAGGCACTGTGGAGTTAGATTGTGGGGGCCTTGAAGCCCTGGCCGCTCATTTCCCGGGTCCCCTGGCCAAGCATCTCACCTCTCCCATGCTCACTGGGAGCCAAGTGCCATGCTGGTTGCTTCAGAACAGTTAGCTCATTTAATTATCTTAACGGCCCTTTGAGGTAGCACCCCTATCGTTAGCATCCCTATTTTAACCTCAGGGAGGAAACTGAGGCACGGGGCGGGAGAGGAGCTTAGTACTTTGCACAATGAGGGGAGGAGCCAGGATCTGGTGCAAAGCCCCACTCTTAGCCACCACTGCTTATGGTCTGGTGTGTCTGCTGCCCCTCCCTGACCCGCCCCCCCACAGAGCACCAGGTGCACCCCCAGCCCGGCAGGCCCGTCGTGGGGGGTGGAGGGGCCCCACATCACTGCTCACACCCTAGAGCTGACCGCTGCCTTTCCCCGATTAATGCAGAGCCAGCCGGGCCTTACAAAACCGCAGGCCCAGATAAGAGCACAATCGGAACCTGTTTTGCTCACAGGCCAGCTCAGGAGCTGGGCCCTCCGGTTGGTGGGAAGTTCGGGGGGAGGCTGCTGGCAGCACTCTGGCCCTGTTATCAGTAGCCTTCTCCCCCCACCCATTAGCCCCTTTGAAATTTACCCATCTTATCAGAGGTTCGAGCTTTCCAGCTTTTGGAGGGAGAGCTGTTATGCCTTTGTGTCCAGCCGCTGCCTTCTGCCTCTGCCCAGAGAAGACTACGTCTGAGGGTAGGGAGGGTAGTGGGGTGGAAGGGGTAGGGACTTGTAGGGGTGAAGGGCCTGGCCCTCCAACCCCTAAGGGGGCCCCTGCAGTCACACACATGGACCTCGGCAGCCCCATCACTGCCTGGGCACTTCCTGGGCACTCCTTCCCTCCTTGCCCTGAACAGTGCACACTCACCCTAAGCCTGCAGCACCCCCAACTCTCATCCTTCTCTTAGCCAAGCGGTGAGCACAGCTTCCTCCCACTCCTCATGACCCTGTCCAGCTTGCTCAGAAACTCAGGCCTGATCCTGGCACCCCCCAACCCCCGTCACACCTTCAGCAAATGTTTATTGAGCACCTACTACACTCCAGGCGGGGGGGCACGGCAGTGAACAGGACAGACCAATCTCGCTGTCCCTTGGAGCTGACGTGCTAGTGCTGGAAACAGGGTAAATAAACACAAATAAGTGGATATAGTATGTCGGGAGGTGGGAGCTGCTGCAGTGGGGCCAGAATGAAGCAGGAAAGGAGCATGGAAAGTGTTGAGGGCAATTTTAAGTGTGTTGGGTGGAGCGTGGGGGTGGCATTTGTTTTGTTTTGTTTTTTGAGACAGAGTCTTGCTCTGTTGCCCAGGCTGGACTACAGTGGCGCCATCTCAATCTCAGTTCACCGCAGCCTCCGCCTCCTGGGTTCAAGCGATTCTCCTGCCTCAGGCTCCTGAGTACCTGGGATTACAGGGGCCCGCCACCACGCCCAGCTAAGCCACCACGCCCAGTTAATTTTTTTTTGTATTTTTAGTAGAGATGGGGTTTTACCATGTTGGCCAGGCTGGTCTCAAGCTCCTGACCTCAGGTGATCCACCTGCCTCCCAGAGTGCTGGAATTACAGGCGTGAGCCACCGCGCTGGCCTTCAGGTGACATTTGATTCAAGACCCAAAGGAATCTAGCCCTGTCCCACTGTGGAGTTAGAATCACAAACACAGGAGGGAAGAGCCAAGAGATGGAGATCCACCAGTCTAACATGCTTCCTTTTTTCTTTTTTCACTGAGGCTCAGAGAGTGCAGTGAGCTGCCCGAGGCCACACAGCATGATGGCAGCAGAGCCAAGCAGGAGTTAGAGCCCAGGATTTCGGTGGCCCAAACAGGACTCTTCCCCCTATTCCTGCTGCCCCCAGGCTGGGGCAGTGCCAGGGCCCTGGGCAAGACAGTTCTGGCTGTTTCAGGATGAGGGGTGAGGGAACTGAGCATGGGGATGCAAATGTCCACAGCCATTTGACTGCCTTTTGCAGCCTAGTGGGGTGGGCAGGACTTGTTTGGAGCTGAGAGTTGGGGCTCAGGTGCTGGTGCAGGGACTGCAGAGTGTAAATGGATGGCGTTATGACCTGGGAGGCCTGGCTTCAGCACCCCAGCCCCCTCAGAGTCTCAGCAGCCCCTGCCCGGTGTCAGTCCTTTGTGCCCCTCACTTCTAGTCCACCAGTGGCCTGACCTCGAGGGCTTGTTCTTCCAGGAGAAGCTCCTTTCTATGGCCCCTTCCTCCTGTCTCCCACCCTCTCACTCCCAACATGCACCTGCCCTCCTGTGAAGGGAGAAGTGGCCTGGAGGGGAGAAGGGAGCAGTCTTGGGCATGGTGGAGGGTGGGGTCATGAGCCAGGATGGATGGGCACTCCCCAGGGGCCTGGCTCCTGCTGGATGAGCTTTAAGGAGACAGATGAGAAGTGGGTGCTAAAGGGAGCTCGCTACTGGGCTGCTGTGCGTGCTGTCGCCTCTGGGCCCTGGGGAGGTGGCGGTGTTCAGAGGCCCTCAGGACAATGTTCCTATTGAGATGGAGAAGCCTAAGGCAGTTAGGCTGTTGGGGAAAGAGCACTGAGTCTGGAGACTGAGTTCAAATCCCAGTTCTGCTGCGTTCTTGCTGAGTGTCCTCGGGCAAGTCACTTCCCCTCTCAGCCTTAGTCTCCTTTCTTGGTGAAAGAGGATCAAGGATCCCTTCTTCAAAGGGATACTGTAAGGAGGGAATGAGGAGAAGCACAGCGCCTGTCACACAGCCAGGACTCTGTCAACAGCGGGCTCTCTCCCCTCAGGGACCTCCGTCTCACCCTCACTTGATTATGGCCAGAGTTTAGGGCCATGCGGACTGGCACTCAGCAGGTGACAAGAACTTCGGAGGCTTTTTTCAGGACCTTGGGTGCACACTGGATTAACCATAACCCTTGGTTTATGACACACCCTCCCCAGGATCCACATGTGGACACCTCTTAATTTTTAATAATATAATGAATACTGGGAACCCACTGGCAACCCAAGATGATGATGATTACCAGTAATGTCACATGTATCAACTCACTTATTTTTCTTCTCAGTCATATAGTTTTGTGTCTACACTGTCACCATTTTACAGAAGAGGAAATTGAGGCATAATTGAGCGTTTGGGGCATCCTCTCTGGGGGACGATGCTGAGATGCACTGGGTACACTCTTCCCACCAACTCCTCCTGCTCTGGGCTCCAGGCAAACAGAACCCTGAGGGATGACATCATCATATGACCTCCACTGCGTCCTGCCATGTTCTGTAGCCCCTTCAAATCCCAGCCAGCCCCTCTCCCCGTGCAGGGCCCCACCTTCCACAACACTGACCCCTAGGGTGAGGGGGCCTCAGGGAGGAGCCTGCCTGGCCCTGTGCTCCCTGCCTGCCTGGGCCTGCCCTGGCTCCTCTCAGCCCCCCGGTGACCTCCCAACCCTGCTCAGTGACACAAGAGCTTGGTGCTCCTAACACTCTCATGTCTTCCTTCTAGGTGGCGCCCAAGAATAAATGAAAGTAATAAATGAGGGGCCAGGTGTGGCAGCTCACGCCTGTAATCCCAGCACTTTGGGAGGCTGAAGCAGGGGGATAGCTTGAGGCCAAGAGTTTGATACCCGCTTGGGCAACATTGTGAGACTCTGATCTCTACATAAAATTAAAAAATAAATTAGCTGAATGTGGTGGCCTGGGTCCCCGCTACTCTGGAGGCTGAGGTGGTAGGATCATTTGAGTCCAGGAGGTTGAGGCTGTAGTGAGCTATGATCACTACAGAGCAAGACCCTATCTCAAAAAAGAAAGAAAGAAAAAGAAAGGAAGAAAGGAGGAGGAAAGGAAAGAAAGAAGGGAGGGAGGGAGGGAAAGAAACAAAACAAATCAAATTAATGAACAAATGAGCCAGGAGCGGTGGCTCACGTCTGTAATCCCGGCACTTTGGGAGGCCAAGGCAGACAGATCACATGAGGCCAGGAGTTTGAGACCAGCCTGGCCAACATGGTGAAACCCCATCTCTACTAAAAATATAAAAATTAGGCAGGCGTGGTGGTGCGTGCCTGTAATCCCAGCTACTCAGGAGGCTGAAGCATGAAAGCTGCTTGAACCCAGGAGGCGGAGGTTGCAGTGAGCAAAGATCATGCCACTGCACTCCAGCCTGGGTGACAGAGTGAGATCCTGTCTTAAATAATAAACAAACAAACAAACAAACAAACGAATGAGGATGGTGGAAGGGGGAAAGGGACATTAAAGGAGAAAAATCACTGCGTGGCTCTGAGCACTGGGGTGGGCAATGAAGGAAGGTGGGACTCAGTGTTGAAAGACGCCCCTCTGCCAGCTGCCACACTCAGGGAGCATCTGTGCCCCTTTGGTTGTGTTGGTCTGACCCACTGATCCTACTGCCCTTGCCCTGTCCCTGGCCTGAGACCTGCCCTTCCCCCACGGCGACTTCCCAGACAGAGAGACAGCCAGAGTTCCCAGGCACCATCCTAAGCCGATACAACTAAAGCTGCCCCACAGGGCCTGGGCTGGGCATCGCCTGCTGCTGGGAATGGGGTAGGGTTGGGGTCCACACGCAATGCCAGGGAAAGCAACCTCTTCCCCACACATGCGGGTCTTGACCTGTATGGGTGGGTGCTGGTCACTTCAGAATCTGCTTAAAAGCTATGGAACCTCAGAACACACATACACACACACACACATGCAATCCCAGGGACTCACAGACTGCCCCCCCGCCCAGCCGAAGCACCTCCACAAACCCCAGATTCAGAGTCCCCGTCCTGGATTGTGGGTAATGTGTGGGCAGGACTGTTGGCCTCACCTCCAGCTCACAGCACAACAATGGCATGCCGTAGGTGTTTACTATGTGCCTATTTCAACAAATCAACAGATACCGACTTGTTGGATGAAGGAAAGGACAACTGGGAGGATCATGCGCTGGATCAAGTCACAGTCAGGGGAAGGGAATGGAGGGTGAGGTGGGGGCTGCCCCTCTGCTAACCATCTCCCATGGCTCCCGCTGCCCCGTGAGAAAGCACGAGGAGTCTGTGGGGCGGGAAGGCCTCGTGATCCTGCCCCAGTCGCCCGTTTTGCTTCACTTTACAACCATGTGTGTTGGTTCAGCCCTAGAGGCTGCCAGCAGCTCTCGCCAAACATTTACTTATTCTAACATTTACTGAGATGTTCTAGGCACTGGGGATACAACCATCAACAAAACAGGCCCTGCCATCATAGCGCTGACAGCGGCTCTTGCTTCCAGACTTTTTTTTTTTTTTTTTTTTTTTGAGACGGAATCTTGCTCTTGTCGCCCAGGCTGGAGTGCCGTGGTGCGATCTCAGCTCACTGTAACCTCCGCCTCCCGGCTTTAAGCCGTTCTCCTGCCTCAGCCTCCCAAGTAGCTGGGATTACAGGCACGCGCCACCAAGCCCGGCTAACTATTGTATTTTTTTTTAGTAGAGACGGGATTTCACCATGTTGGCCAGGCTGGTCTCAAACTCCTGACCTCAAGTGATCCACCCGCCTCGGCCTCCCAAAGTTCTGGGATTACAGGCGTGAGTCACTGCGCCCAGCCATATCCGGCATTATGAAACAGTCCTCCTTGTCTGATGGCCTCCTGATCTGGGAGCCCACAGGGACAGGGTTCTTTCTCACGTGCCTGGCATCCTTGGACCCCAGTGCAGTGCCTGGCAGATAGCTGTGCGTGGACTGAAGGAATGAACAGGATGGATGGACTTTGCTGGGGCCGGGGGTACCAATGGTGAAGCAGGAGGTGAGTCAAGGCTGGGGCTGAGGTGGGTCTGAAAATGTCCCTGAGGAAGGCAGAGGGTGTGGGGCTAGGTTCCCATGTAAGATCTGATTGCCTTGGGCAACAATGGCCACAGGCTTGTGGGAAGGAGGAGGATCGGGGAGGGGTGACGGGGAATAGGATTTGCTTCCTGGTGCGGGGTTTCTAGCCACTTCCACCTCACCCTGGGGTTCCAGTCAGGGGCACCACTCCCCTGAAGTGACTCAAGCCTTGTGGAGTAGGAGGGGCAAAGGGGAGGAGGGTGATGCAGACCACCCAAGTCAGGCCCTGGGGCTGGGGGACACTGAGCTCTTACCTCCCTGGGTGGTGACTCCTATCACCAGCTCCACAGGAGGGGCTGAGACACGGCCTGCCCTGTGCTCGGACCCCAAGACAGACTCAGAGAGAGTAAGGGGTCTGCCTGAAGTCACACAGCAGGGTCAGGGCTTGACTTATAGACTCTTTTCATTCCCAGGCAGCACCTGCCCAGCTCTACGGGGCCAGGGAGGGGGAGACAGTTTCTCTGAGGGTCCCCCCTCCTAAGGGAGGGGCAAGCCAGGCCTGCCTGTGAGGGCACCACCCCACTTGCAGATGAGCAGGGGCCTGGCCCAGCTGTGAGGACAGAGGGTACTAGTGGAAGCAGGAACAGGACGGAACGCTGGTAAGAGGAAATCCATCACCTCTCCTCTCCCTCTCCCAACCCTACTGTCCCAACCGTACGACCGACACCCACTACCCAGCTCCTTCACCACCAGGGAAGCCTCCCTCCTTCAGCTGCCATCCTTAAGGAGGGGAAAGGAGACAGGGAGAGGGAGGACAGAGACTGCGGGGGACCCTGTCCTCAGGCATGTGGGAACTGTAAAAATAGGAGGGGGCGTGTGCACCCAGTGTGACTCCCCTCCCCAGAACTATGGACCTCAGAGCCCGGAGGGGCCTCAGGCTGAACCTGTCTAATGATTCATTTTACAGGGATGTGGTGGAGGCCCAGAGAGGACAGAAGCTTGCTCAAGGTCACACAGCACTGTGTCTGTTGAACCTATGGAGTGTTTTCTTTGTACAAGGTACTCTTCCACGTGCTTCACACATACTAACTCCAGAATTCTCCCCACAACCCTATGAGGCAGGTGCACTACTATGATCCCTATTCTACAGATGGGGACACTTTGAGGCACAGAGAGGTTAAGGAGGTTGCCTGAGGTAACACAGCTTGTGAGTGGGGCAGAGCTATATGGGAGCCCAGGCAGCCTGGCTCCAGAGCCTCGTGCACAACCCCATGCTTTGTTGCCTCTAGCTGGAGTCACCAAGTAGGAGTCTTGGTCTCGCCTTGACTTCTGCCTGCTGAGTGCCTTCAATTTGGTCTTTCATGATCTGTGTCTTTATTAATGTAATAATAATATTACTATTTGAATTTATCGAACCCTTTCTGTGGTGCAGGCACTGTGGACTCATGCTTTTCTACATATTACTTCTCATAATAACCCTATAGGGTAGGTATCATACTCCCATCTGCAGATGAGGAAACAGGCCCAGAGAGGTTCATTAACTTGCTCAGGGACACACAGCTAATAAGAAACAGCCAGAACTCGAGGCCAGCCAGGCCATGACTCTGTCCTGCCCATACAGGGGCCAACTTGAATGAGGGGTCCCAGGGTCAGTCGGCCCCAGGAAGGTTGTTCTGTCCAGACATTTTCTCCACTTTTGGAGATCTCTTGCCATCTGTGCCCTTCATTTGACCCAGCAGTCCTGCGTGACCACAGAAGCTGCCCCCACCAGCCCCTGCCGGCTGGTGACCCTTAAACTCTTCTGCCCTCTTGACACGGCTTTTGCGTCATGTCAGAGAAGCCAGGATCCCCGCGCCCAGTCTGGGACGCAGTTGGCAGCAGCTGCAGGAAGCATGACCCGCCCAGCATCTCGGGTGTCACTCACGAACCTCCCAGGTGTCGCTACTGGCAGGTGAGGAAACCTCACACAGCACCCCACCCTCCTCCTTCACCCCCTCGCTCCCTCACTCACATAGTCATTCGTTACTTCCTTTTATTTATTTATTTATTTTTGAGCTCGGGTCTCACTCAGCCACCCAGGCTGGAGTTCAGGGGTGCGATCATAGCTCACTGTAGCCTCCAACTCAAGCGATCTAACGATCCTCCCCCCTCAGCCTCCCAAGTAACCAGGACCATGGGTACACATACGTGGCTAGTTAAAAAAAGTTTTTTTTTTTGGTTTGGTGGAGTTGGGGTCGTGCTACATTGCCCAGGCTGGTTTTGAACTCCTGCACCAGCCTCCCAAGTAGCTGGGACTGCAGTGTGAGCCACCATGACCTTGGGAGCTCAAGGTCTGACTAGGGAGCTGAGAACAGCACCTGGCACCCGGCAAGTGTCAGGGAAACAGGGACAGGGATAGACAGGAAGAACTCCAGGAGTAGGAAGAGGAGCCACGGTGGGGTTCTGAGAGGCTGGCAGGCTGGGAGCCGGGCTGTAAAGACTGGGCCAAGCCTTGGAGAGGTGTGAGGAAGGGGAAGGAAACAAGCATGTGCTGAGCGTTCTGTGCAGTGTTTCTCACCTGTGAGGCACATACATGAATGAGGCAGGGTGGACAGACAACTTCTGTGACCTCAGGAGAGCCCCTTCATCTCCCCAGGCTCAGTTTCCTCAGGCACAGAGACAACAACAGTGCTGACCTCTTAGGTTGAAGATCAACCTTTGCACGAACACATGGACAGCAGAGAACACATAGTGAGTGCTGTGAGGGCTGGGGAGGCCTTGTATAGCCTGCCGAGTTCTCACAACAACCCTTTTTTTTTTTTTTTTTTTTGAGACGGAGTCTTGCTCTGTCACCCAGGCCGGAGGGCAGTGGCACGATCTCAGCTCACTGCAACCTCTGCCTCAGCCTCCTGAGTAGCTGGGATTACAGGTGCACCACCACGCCCAGCTAATTTTTCTATTTTTAATAGAGACAGGGATGTTGGCCAGGCTGGTCTTGAACTCCTGATCTCGTGATCCATCCACCTCGGCCTCCAAAAGTGCTGGGATCACAGGCATGAGCCACTGCGCCCGGCTGTACGACCCACTTAGAGACAGAAAAATGGAGGCAGGGCAGGGGCTGTGCAGTAGCAGAACTGATTGGCCTGCTTGACCAGGCGTCCTAGAGCATTTGGGGCCAGAGTGGGTGGGAAGTCTGGGGATCAGAGTGTGGTAGGGCTGGAGACCTCGCAGTCCAACAGCCTGCCCCAGGGGGGTTGAAACCTGGCTTTGGCCCCAGCTCTGCCTCCAACTTGCTGTGCAACGTCAAGCTCCTTTCCCTCTTCGGTGTCAGCCTGGTCTTCTAAAGGCCAAGAGGCTGTGTTAGACAGTCTGTCATTAGGTCCCTGATTGGCGCTCCCGGCACATGCACACAGGTGCCCCCCACTGTGGGAAAGCCCCCACCTGCCCCTCGCAATCTACTGTCTATCACTGTCCCCTGCAGCACTGTCACATCGGGCAGGCTGGACAGGCTCTTTACATACGTTGTCTCATTTCATCTGCACACACCGTTGTGAGGGAGGTCTCATTTCTCACTTACCGATGAGGAAACTGAGACCCCGAGAAGGTAAATGGGCAGCCAAGGCCCCCAGAGAACAGGTGAGTAGGCAGAATGAGGGGCCAAAATCTCCATGCCCTTGCCTCTCCCAGGGTAGGCGGCCCCCTGGCCTAGTAGAGACCATGGCTGGCTTGTCCTTCAGCCCCCACAGCGGGAGGGAGGTTTCAGAACGGGCTGCCTCTCACTCTGCCGGTCACCCACACACCTGCCAGAGCTGCTCCACCTGGCTGGGATCTGGGGCCTCTCGGCGCCGTCTTTCCCTGGGTCAGCCTTTTCCCACGACGGGGCTGCGCGAGTGCATCCCGAGTTGCAGCAGCCGTCTCCTCTGCACTGCTCCATCAGCGAGCTTTTCTGGGCTCCTCCAAGGAGCATGAGCCCTGCCTTCTGGGAGGCCCCATTCTCTCTAGGTGAACATCAACCTCGCATCGATCCCAGGTGGTGGATGCTCCCTCACTTTACAGGTGAGGAAACTGAGGCAAAGGGGCATTTCTGTTACCTCTTGGGTGGCACAGCACAAAAGCAGAGTGGAGAACCACGTGCTCGACTCTCTCCCAACCCACATGAAACAAAGGAAAACAACAGCAGACAGAAGGGAACTTGTACAGGACAGACCCTCCACACCAGAGGAAAGCAGAACACAAAGGGAGAAGAAAGCCCGAGTCCCTGGGACTGAGGTGTGGGCAGGGGGTGATCAGGCTGAGGCACAGGTCTCCTGGGACAGGCTTTTGATCCGCTGCAGGTCCTACCGCACAGGGGGCAGGCACTGTACCCAGCCCACCTCCAACCCCCTCACCAACCCTGTTGTTCCCATTGCACAGATGGGAAAACTGAGGCCCAAGCTCCATCCTGCAGGGCCCTCGGAACAGAAGGGTGAGGTGTATCTGGCTGAAGGGACAAGTGAGTTCCTGGCAAGCCAAGAGGAGGGGACATGGGCCCTCCAGGCTTCCTGCCCTTGCCCACCGCAGGAAGGATTAGCCCCCTCACTCACACAGTAGCGGGAGGCAGTGAGAGGACAGAAGGCCACCCTTCAGCTGGGGCCTCCCAAAGCATCCTTTCAACCCTCACAGCCAGCCAAGGAAGGGGCTGCCAAGTGCTTATCCCCATTTCAGAGGGAAAAACTCAAGCTCAGAGAGATTGACCTGCCCAAGGTTGCACAGCTGATTGGAAGTGGGTCAGTTTGCCTCTCCAGAAGAGAAGGAGGACCAGAGAACTGAAAGGAGAGACAGGAAGGAGGCCGGGCGCGGTGGCTTACGCCTGTAATCCCAGCACTTTGGGAGGCCGAGGCGGGTGGATCACGAGGTCAGGAGATCGAGACCACGGTGAAACCCCGTCTCTACTAAAAAATACAAAAAAATTAGCCGGGCACGGTGGCAGGTGCCTGTAGTCCCAGCTACTTAGGAGGCTGAGGCAGGAGAATGGCGTGAACCCGGGTGGCAAAGCTTGCAGTGAGCCAAGATCGCGCCACTGCACTCCAGCCTGGGCGACAGAGAGAGACTCCGTCTCAGAAAAAAAAAAGAAAAAAAAAAAAAAAAGAAGAGAGAGGAAGGAGGATGAGGAAGAGAAAGGCAAGAGGGTGGCCGAGGTCTCAAGACCTCCCAGCTCTCCCAGTTCCCTGCCCAGACTGGCTTCCCTCCCCATTCCCAGAAAGGAGGAGCCCGCTCTGAACTGCTGCCCCTCACACCTGTCCCCAGGAATGAGGCATCCTTCAAGGGGAACGTGCTACTGTGGTCTCCGGCAGGGTGTGGCCTCCTGGGAGGGGCTGTTTGTTCCCGGGTAGGCCAGGTTTGGGGATGGCTTTATGGTGCCATCTGGAAGATGAGGCCTGGGCGGGCCTAGCTGGCATAGGGCCAGGACAGGGAAGGGGGTACCAGGCACAGTGGGGAGCTGCCCCCTCACCCCCGAGCTGTTGCTTGGCCCCCAGAGGAGGGCGGGGGCTTCAGTGAGCCTGAGTCCAGCATAGTGTGACCCTGTGAAGCAGGAAGTAGCTCCATTTCATGGGTAAGAACACTGAGGCCCAGCAGATCAGCAAACTGCCCAAGTTCATACCTGGCCAGCAGGTATGAACTCAGGCCAGGTATAAGTGACATTAGAGCCTATGTCCTACCCACCTCTCAGCACTGCCATACATGGGTGATGAGGGCAAAGGGCAGGTCTGGGGCAGAGGACCTAGCCCAGACACCCTGAAACCTGGAGCAGGGTCTCAAGCTCCTTGGCACTCGGTTTCCTGTACTGTAAATGGGGGATAATATACTACTCCTTCTGGACAGATGAGAGAAAAGTGGAGATTGTATTTGTGCACACTCTCAGAAGGATAGACAGTAGTCCCAGGGACGGATGTGAGGGTGTGAGAGAGGGCTGCTGGTTTTTATCATGGGGATGTGTATGATACCCCCACAACACTCACTGCTGCCACAGGACAAAGTCCTCAACCGATATCGATGACCCTTGGCTGCAGGATCCAACCCCAACCCCCACAGCCACTGCCCCTTTCCCGAGGCAGGGACAGGGGGTTGAGCAAGTTACCTCCCGTCTCTGAGTCTTAGTCTTCTCAAGGGTCAGGTGGTGATGAACGTTCTCTATAGACTGTCCGTGTGAAGCTCCAGGGAGCTCCTGCCTGAGAACACGCATGGCCTGTGCAGGTGAGGCATTAATACGTAATAACAGCATCAACACCTTCAACACTGAGTTCATTCCATCTTCTTAAGGGCCTCAGAGGTACTGTGTCCAGAGACAAGGTCGGGAGCTGCAGGACTTGCAGGAGGAGAGAATTCAGGGAGCCGGCCAGTGTCCTTCCTTCCTCAGCACCCTGGGCATCGTTCTCCACCAAGAAGGATGCTCAGGGCATAGCGGCTGTGCCCTGGTGGTGAAAGGGCTGCTTGTCCCACATAATCAGTTTGGGTTTAGGGCTGGTTTCCCTCCAAGCCCAGACAGCTGCCAGGAGGATCTGTCCCGGGCACGGAATGTTGGGGTGTGGGGCGCCCTGCCTGCCTTCCCCATTAGATCTTGGAGTTTACCACTCATCTGCACACCCAGGGCCCAGCCCACTAGGGAAAACTGTGAAGGGGGCCATAGTCCTGGACCCTTGGCATTTGCTGGGTCTCTGGACCCAGCAGCTCCTCTGAGCAATCCCGGTACTAGGGCAGGACTCCCCCACACCCTGGGATCTCTCCTCTCTTCTCCAGGCTTGGGCTGGGCCCCAGGCTGAGGGCCTCAGTCCCTGACATCTGAGTGTTCCATCTGAGCTGTGATCTGAGGGGTCCTCCCCTGCCCCTTGAGGGTCTACAGCCCTGGGTTTCCGGGCCCCTTTCCTGAGGGCTACCTTCAGTACACATTTCCCGAGTGCTGACTGCACACCTGGTGCTCCCTAGCCACCTGCTTTATCTCTCCCATGCTAAGCTGTTCATCTTCTTGGCACCAAGAGCCTGAAATGATCTTTAGGTTTGGTCTGTGCAATGCCTGTCTCTCCCCCATCAGAATGTCAGCACCTTGGGGGCAGGGACTGGGCCTGGCTCATTCACTGTTGTCTCCAGCTGTGGGCAGCAGTGCCCCTCAAATCAGCTTCCTAGAGAATCCATACCTGCTTCCGGTCCCTGCTGAGTAGGGAGAGTGGGGGCGGTGGCAAGGCCCCACCCCTCCGCCCCCCTCTGGGGGATACCATAGGTTGGTGTTCTGAGTTCTCCAATCTCCTCCTTTCACCTGAGCAACCCTGGGGAGTTTCTGTTACTGGCAACCCCAGCAGGTTAGATAATGAGCTATGGGCTCCTTACCTAGCTGGGGTGGGGTGAGGGTAGAGGGCCCCAGAGGTGGAGAAAACAGCATGAGTTTTATTTTTGCTTGTTTTTTTGAGACCGAGTCTTGCTCTGTCGCCCAGGCTGGAGTGCAATGGCGCGATCTCAGCTCATTGCAACCTCTGCCTCCTGGGTTCAAGCTATTCTACCTCATCCTCCCGAGTAGCTGGGATTACAGGCATGCACCACCATGCCTGGCTAATTTTGTATTTTTAGTAGAGACAGAGTTTCTCCATGTTGGTCAGGCTGGATGTGAACTTCCAACCTCAGGTGATCCACCCACCTCAGCCTCCCAAAGTGCTGGGATTACAGGCATGAGCCACTGTGCCCGGCCAGCATGCACTGGTTTTTTGTTTTTTTTTTTTTTTCCCCACCAGAAACACGTGCACTTTATTGAATGCCATTGTAGAAAAGTGCGTGAAGATAAAGGGCTGATACAGGACTGGGCTCCGGGGGCAGGGCGAGGTGGAGTATGTGGGATTCAGGTCATGGGCAGAGCTCCTGGCCTGGATGATGCCTCCTGATCTATCGATAGGCTTGGAAGATCAACACCCGGATGATGATGAGCAGAATGGTCATGAGGATGTCCACAATCAGGGCTCAGATGTTCAGGCACTTGGCGGTGGAGGCATACGCCTGGGCCCCAGTCAGGTCACCAACCATCTTCCTGTCCCTAGACTTCACGGAATAAGCAAATGCTATGAAGCCCAGGCAGCAGGGGTTCACGAAGAGGGTGTTGAACAGGGATCAGACGACACGGTCGGGCACGGAGGTCTCGCTGCGGCTGTGGATCATGGTGGATGTCGGGGAGCAGGGTTGTGGGGTGCCCTCAGCACAGCCACCTCGTGCTCCTCCTTGAGCATCTCATAGTTGGGGGGGATGGCCGCTGTTGACAGGAGAGGAGAAGGTTTGGACAGTGTGGTTCATGGTGTCCAGCGAAGACCAGCGGTGGTCGGGTTACTCGGATGGTTCTCAGTGGGCCCTCCCTTTCCCCAGTAGTTTCGTTTTCTCAACAGTTTCCTCTTCCTGGCATTTGTCCAGCATGCAGTTTTTAAGATCAGAGATGGAAGAGTACAGGGCATGTGTAGGGAAGAGAGTGCTAGTTGCCTCCCCAGTATCTGTTTTCTTCTACTTTAAAAAATTATTTATTTTTTTAGAAATGGGGTCTTGCTCCATTACCCAGGCTGGAGTGCAGTGGCACCATCATGGCTCACTGCAGCCTCTAACTCCTGGGCTCCAGTGAGCCTCCCGCCTCAGCCTCCTGAGTAGCTGGTACTACAGGCATGTGTCATCCCGTCCAGCTAATTTTTAAATTTTTATTAGGGATGAGGTCTTGCTATGTTGCCCAGGCTGGTCTCAAACTCCTGGATTCCAGTGATCCTTCCTCCTCAGCCTCCCAAATGCTAGGATAACAGGTGTCAGCCACCACACCCGGCCTCCTTTTATGGATATAATAATGACAGCATTTCTTGCAGATGGAAGGAACAAGCAGCCAAGTTCTGGCCCATGGGATATACATGAAAGTCATCAGGTGGGGATTCTAAGACAGTTCCTTATAAAGGGGCTGATTCAGTCTTTCTTCTGTGTCTGGAATGCGGATGTGATGTCTGGAGCTGCAGTAGCTGTCTTAAGGATGGAAGCCAGCCCTGTACATACCCTCAGACTTTATATCTAATGAGGGAAAAATAAATCCCTATCTTGTCTAAGCCACTATTGCTCAGGACCATGCTACTTGCAGCTGAATGCAATTCCCAAGTGACTCAAGAGGGTCTGTCAGGCCGGGCGTGGTGGCTCATGCCTGTAATCCCAGCACTTTGGGAGGCTGAGGCGGGCGGATCACAAGGTCAGGAGATCGAGACCATCCTGGCTAACATGGTGAAATCCTGTCTCTACTAAAAATACAGAAAGTTAGCTGGGCGTGTTGGTGGGTGCCTGTAGTCCCAGCTACTCGGGAGGCTGAGACAGGAGAATGGTGTGAACCCAGGAGGCGGAGCTTGCAGTGAGCCGAGATAGCGCCACTGCACTCAAGCCTGGGCGACAGAGCGAGACTCTGTCTCAAAAAAAAAAAAAAAAAAAAAAAAAAAAGAGGGTCTGTCAGTATCTCCTTCTTTGCCCTCTCCTTTGCTAAGATGGTCTTAGGTGACTATTTCTCCTTAAGGGAGGCTTCTGAGAAGCAAAGTGAACAAAGGGAAGGGAAGTGGCTGAGATATGGAGCCAACCCTTATGAGGAGATCAGGAGTACTTAGGAGAGAGGTCCTCCAGAGATGACCCAGGCCTCCCACTTGAGTGTACAGGAAGGGTGGAGGGACCCCAGACTCAGCTGTCATCCACTATTCCCCTCAAAAATGAATTTGCAGATGAACATGTAACATACGAGGCACAGTCAGATCTCCAGTAATGTTACTTATCCTCCCAAGTACACATAGCCAATATTTGAAAATGCTTGGCGGGATGTGGTGGCTCAAACCTGTAATCCCAGCACTTTGGCAGGCAGAGGCAGGTGGATCGCCTGAGGTCAGCAGTACAAGACCAGCCTGGCCAACATGGCAAAACGCGGTCTCTACTAAAAATACAAAAAATTAGCTGGATGTGGTGGCGCATGCCTGTAATCCCAGCTACTTGGGAGACTGAGGCAGGAGAATCACTTGAACCCAGGAGGCGGAGGTTGCAGTGAGCCGCGATCACGCCACTGCACTCCAGCCTGGGTGACAGAGCAAGACTCCAGCTCAAAAAAAAAAAAAAAAAGAAAAGAAAAAAGAAAATGCTCAAAGGTCCATAAACCATGCCAGAGTTTCCCCTATTGCCACCCTTGGGTTAGAGCCCTGGACTGATGCTGTGGCAGCCCTGGGGTGAGGGTGACCAGGCCAGAGGCATTGCTGTGGAACTGTCAGGCCCTGTGACCAGACCACAGAGGTGGTCTGTGGCTCCCCACCTCTGGGGAGGGATGGCCACAGAGGCTCCCCCGCTGGTAAGGACAGGCCTGCGAGGACAGAGAGGGCTCAGGTGGACAGGGCAGCTCTTTATCTAAACCTCATATCATGTGGGTGAAGAGACGGCCCAGAGAGGGTGAGTGGCTCCTTCAAAGTCACACAGCACTAAAGGCAGGACAGGTGCCAGAATCTGTATAAAATCCATAGTTGGCATCTGAATACAATGGACACCTGCTTTTTTGCTTTGTTTTGGCTGTTCTTCTTGCCTGAAATGCTCTTCTCCCAGATATCCACGATGGTCGCTACCCTCAGCTGCTTCACACACCACCTCAAACATCACCTTCTCAGTGAGGACCTCCCTGACCTCTCATTTAAAGTTGCACTCCCAGCCAGATGTGGTGGCTCACTCCTGTAATCTCAGCACTTTGGGAAGCCGAGGTGGGAGGATTGCTTGAGGCTAAGAGTTCAAGAGCAATCTGGCCAACACAGTGAGACCCCAACTCTGTTTTTATTTTTTAAATTTTATTATTTTTTGAGATGGAGTCTCACTCTAATGCCCAGGCTGGAGTGCAGTGGTATGATCTCACCTCACTGCAACCTCCGCCTCCCGGGTTCAAGCGATTCTCCTGCCTCAGACTCCCGAGTAGCTGGAATTACAGGCGCGTGCCATCACGCTCAGCTAATTTTTGTATTTTTAGTAGGGATGGGGTTTCATCATGTTGGCCAGGCTGGTCTCGAACTCTTGACCTCAAATGATCTGCCCACCTCGGCCTCCCAAAGTCCTGGGATTACAGGCATGAGCCACCACCACCAGCCCGACTCTATTTCTTAAAAAGGTAAAATAAACGATTAAAGTTGCACTCCCAACTCCCCTTTTCTTATCTTCTCTTGTTTCTCCCTATCATCTTTCATCACCTGATTTGCCATATGTTTTACTGAACATCAGTTCCATGCTGCAGGGATTTGTGTTTTTGTCTGTTTCACTGCTGTATCCCCAGCACCTAGGGCACTGCTGGGCACAAGGTAGGTTAAGTCCGC
The DNA here is from genome assembly GCF_000001405.40 of Homo sapiens. Classification (NCBI taxonomy): domain Eukaryota; kingdom Metazoa; phylum Chordata; class Mammalia; order Primates; family Hominidae; genus Homo; species Homo sapiens. Next base: position 34,579,698 of record NC_000006.12, read on the forward strand.
AATATATATTTATTAACAGAACAAATAAATGAGTATCAACCTTCGCCAATAGTGTTACCACAGGTGAAGGGCACAATGAAAATGCTTGAGTGGCTTCTTCTAGTGCAGAAGTGTCCTTGAACGTATAACCCATCCCCGTGGACACACTGTGCTGTGTGTGCCCGTCGTGTCCTGTACCCGCTGCCCCAGGACAGGAGCTGCAACCCCTGAGCTCACAGACCTTGCTGATCCTTTATGAACCAATATGCACCCTCAGAAGGGCACGGTTGACAAAATATGTGCTGCTGTTAGGTGTCTATTCATTGTCAAATACTCAAAAGTAGCTATGAATTCTAAAAGAAAATCTGCTTAGAGAGGAACTAGCAAGACATCTTTGCTCAGGAGTGAGGCCTATAAGGAAAAATCGAATATCCCGCTCTAAAAACTAGAAACAAGCCTTGCGTGAAAATGCTTTGTGATGTGCTGTTTCATATCACAGAATGGAACCTGTGTTTTGATTCCAAGGTTCGCAACACTCTACAAAGCTTAAATTTTCTCTGCTGCTTTCTTTGTAGAAAAAACAAAGGCTGCTTTTCCAAGCCTTTGTGATCATGGCCCTCTATTACTGTGAGGCGTGCACACGTATGTTACTGGATATTTATGTTATGTAGTGGTCTGAAGTCAGAGAGCTTCAGTCTGGCCACTTAGTGGGTGACTACGGAGCTGAGCATCAGTTTTGCTAACCTAATAAATGAGAATAACCATGGCACTTACCTTATCAGAATAACAGCTCCTCTTGTGTGAGCTGTTGACCAGGAGGGCACACTCAGGAGCTGCTGGGGCTCTGGGCATGCTCTAGATCTTGACCTGGGCAATGGTTATGCAGGGCGTGCATAGGAGAGAAGTCATCAAGCTGAGCCTGTAAGTTCTGTGTTCTTTACTGTATGTAAATTATACCTCAGTAACAAGGAAAAATTAATTCTTACTTCTGGAGGTTGTGAAGATGGAATAGAAAGAACGTAAACTATGCCTTACGGAAAAAGTTTTAAAATGACTATACAGTGTGAATGTGTCCATGTATGAATGTATGAGCTTCTGTGTGGTTGGTGTGAGATTATGTGACCCTGTGGGTGTGATGTGTCTGCGTATGAACTAAGGTAACGGTAATGAGTGTGCACCTGGGTGTCAGTATGTGGATGCACATGTATTGCATGTGCCTATGTCCCCATGTGAGGAGTGCACAGAACTGCACAGGTATGCTGGATTACATGCTTGTGAATGGCTGTGTGCATGTGCAGGTATGTGGAGGCTTCTGTGCTCTGAAACCACACGTTCTACACAAGACAGAGCCTGAATCTCAAGCCAGTGGTTCTGGGACCCAGCTGTGCTCCTCACATGAAGTAAAGTAGGGGCTGGCTAGCAGCAGGGTGTGCTCCCCGCCTCCCCCTCACCCAGAAGGAAGCAGGAGACTGAAGGCCTGGATAAAGGTTCCCAGCTCCCTCTCCCTTCCCACAGCTGCAACTTCTCAAAGATGCAAATTACCCTCTGCTCCATGGAAACCAGTCCTGAGAGCCAAGGTTGCTTCCCCTCAGGCCCAACCACTACCACTATGATTGGACCCCACTGGACCCTAGCTGCCCAGCCTAGGGATGGGAGCCAGCTGGAGTCAGTTCCTGTTTCCCAACCAGTCACTGATGTTTTTCCCCCTGGGGTGCCTTGGCTCTCCCTGCTGGCTCAGGTGTTGTGGAGAAAGCCTGGGCTAGGAGTGGTCCACATAGACTGTGGGACTCTGGGGAAGGTAATGCTGTCTCATCTTTGGGGATGCTCTGAATAGCGACTGTACTATCCCAAAACACTGGAGCAAGGCCTGGCTCTCCCAGACCCTCCTGCCTGGCATATTTGCTGTGGGGCTCACTCACAGGACCCTTAGCCTACCTGGATTCCCTATTGGTGCTCACTTTTCCCATCTCCTAGGTCCTGTCTCCCCATCAGGGACATGTGTCTTCATCAGCCCTGGATGACGTACATCACGGGGCCCAGCAGCGGTTCAGCACACATAGAGATTCCCTCCCAACCCACCCTGACAACTCCCCCAAACCCACCACCTCTCTGCAGGCACCCCCGACCCCAAGCCTTCATCTCCATGGCCATGGGCCCATGGTTAGAGTGTGCTCAACTATCAGGAAGCTGAAATGTGTGGGAGAGAGGTGGGAGAAAGCAGGAGGAAAAGTGAAGAAGGCTGGGCATATTGGCACACTGTCTGTAATCCCAGTGCTTTGGGAGGCCGAGGCGGGAGGATCACCTCAAGCAAGGAATTCAATACTAGCCTGGTCAACATAGTGAGATCCCGTCTCCATAAAAAATTTTTAAAAATTAGCTGGGCGTAGTGGAGTGTGCCTGTGGTCCCAGTTACTTTGGAGACTGATGTGGGAGGATTGCTTGAGTCAGGCGAGGCTGCAGTGAGCCGTTTGAGCTGTTTCATGCCACTGTACTCCAGCCTGGGGTGACAGAGAAAGACCCTGTCTCAAAAACAAAAACAAAAACGGAAGGAAACAGCACGAAATCAAGAGCTGGAGGTGTTTGGAAGGTCTGGGTGCTATTCGACACCAGCAAATATCATGTTGGTGGTGCCCACCTGTGGCCCTGGCCTCCATTCCTGGCCCTGGTACTTACACAGGTCCTTGTGGACACCTGGATGCAGATGTGTTGGCTCCTGTACTCCACTCTCAGAAGTGGTAAACCACAGTGGTCCAAGCAGTTCTCAGGCATAGGTTTTTGGGCTTTTTTTTTTTTTTTGAGAAGGAGTCTCGCTCTGTCGCCCAGGCTAGAGTGCAGTGGCGCAATCTTGGCTCACTGCAACCTCTGCCTCCCGGGTTCACGCCATTCTCCTGCCTCAGCCTCCCGAGTAGGTGGGACTACAGGCCCCCGCCACCATGCCCAGCTAATTTTTTGTTTTTTAGTAGAGACGGGGTTTCACCGTGTTAGCCAGGATGGTCTCGATCTCCTGACCTCGTGATCTGCCTGCCTCGGCCTCCCAAAGTGCTGGGATTACAGGTGTGAGCCACCACACCCGGTTGGGCTATCATTTTTATCCACAGGTGCATCTGTGACCCCCACCCCTCTCCAGGAGCCCCTGACACTATCTGGGGTCTGAGCTGAGCCATTTGAGCTGGGGTGGGCAGTGTCCACCTCCAGAAATCAGGACAGTACTGCAGAAGGCAGGCCCCCAGTCTCTTCTTCATTCAGCAAGCGTGTATTGACAGCCCACTGCATGCCGTTGCTGAGTGCAGCCTCCTCTCCTTAAGAGTAAATCAGATCTCCTCAACCCTCTTCCAGGATGCTCCTTTCCCGCATCCCTGTATGCCAACTCCCACCCCAAACCAAGAAATATTCATAAAGCAAGGGTCTGCCTCAGATAAGAGCTGTGGTCCGGAGAGAGACCCCTGAACAGGCTACAAATTTTTTTGATTCTGCCTCCCAAACGCCCAATGTCCCAGTCCCCTCTCTTTGGGGGCCCAGGCCTTGACATCTCTGGCAGGTCATAATATAACAATGGTCACCCCATACTGGATACTTACCGTGTACCAGGTATATGATGATAAACATTTATATGATGGTTTTAATTCTTATGACACTTCTGGGGTAGAAACTATCCTCATTTTACAGATTAGGACATTGAGGTTCTGAAGCCTACATAAACTGACCACAGTCACATGGCTAGTAAGCAGCACAGCCTAGATTCAAAATGCAGCTCACCCACCTGGGTGGAGGGCAGAGGCAACACTTGTCCTTGAGGAGTGGGAATTTGGGAAACCCTTGCAGGGGAGGCCAGGCCAGGGCAGTGTTCATCCTTTTCAGGTGAGGTCTGGGCCTCATGGTGACCTCTGCTGGCATAAACACACCCCCACACCAGCTGAGGCGGCCATGTTCCTAGCACCCCAAGGACCACTCATGCTCCCACAACGTGGCTCGGGGCAGCCATAGCCTGAGACAAGGATTTCCTCACAGCTCGGCTGAAATTCCTCCTTGGCCCTTGCTGTGTCCCACTGCCCCATGACTGAGGTGGGAATAGGGTGCAGAGGGGGATGCCTTGGCTGCTCAGAGGCACTGAACCGTGGCACCCCAGCCCATCAGGGATCCAGGGTGTCTCGATTGTTGACCAGGGCTGGGGCTTGGTGCAGGTGAACATGGCCCCTGCAGGGCTTCTTTCCTTAGGCCCCAAGGCAGACACAGTCCCCCTGTTTTCTCAGGCTTCTCCCTCACAGCCCAGCAGGAGGAATTTCTAGGATTTGGCTCCAGAGCCCCAGACTGGATCTTGGGAGGAAGGACCACAGGAATTAAACTAGGCCCTACTAGGGCTCTGGCTCCACTCCTCCATGCACTTGCAGCCTGGTTCCTGGGTGGTGTCACCCCTGGCCTGGACACCATCCATTCCCTCATCTACTCCATAACCGTCTGCTGTGACCAGCAGGGAGTGTGTGGGGGCAAAAGAGTCTAAGGAAAAGGACAGAAGAGAGGTCAACTACAGCCAACACAGCTCTGAGTCTGAGGAGGGGTCTTCTTGGTCAGAGATCCTTGCAGAAGGAGTTGGGGCAAAAAGTAGGCTTTGAGGGAGCAACAGATAAGGTCCAACGTTTCACTCCTTTGATAACCTCAACCAGTGCTGAGGCTTTAAATTCCATCTCCGAGGACTCCCCCACCCCGCCCCCTGAGCTGCAGCCTTGTATATCCACGCTGCCAGCCCAGCCCAGCCCCTTCCTTGGATGCCTGCTGAGCATCTCACACTGAACAAGTCCAAAAAGAATTCCTGATTTCTCCCCTCAAGTCTGCTCCCCATGTGGTCCTGCCTCTTAGCTAACAGTAACTTGTCAATCTAGTAAGTAGATCTTAGTTGCTTGGGCCCAAATCTCAGGGGTTGTTTCTCTCTCTCTGCTCATCCTCTACATCTAACCCATCAGCAAATACTGTTGGCTCCACTTTCAGAATGTAATGAGGATCCAACCACTTCTCACATCCTTCGCTGTCACTCCCCAGGAACCACCTTACTAGTTTATCTGCATCTACCCTTTCCCCTACAGTTTATCCTCAACATGGCAGCTAGGGGAATTCCAGATGTGCTCCTCCCTCTGCTCACAAACCTGCAATGGCTCCCATCTCACCCAGGGTGAAAGCCAAGGCCACTTCAGTCACCTCAAAGCCCCATACAAGCTGATCTCTTCAGCGCTCTGACCTCATCTCCTGCCCCACCCAGGACCTCTGCACCCGCTGCGCTCTGCCTGGAGGTTCGTTCCCACTCAAGGTATTCACAAGGCTTAGTCTCGGCGTGTTAGTTAAGGCTTCCCCGACTGTCCCGTATCAAATAGTTATCCTCTCTTCCTCATCAGAACTCCTATCCTTTTTCTCCATAGTACCTGTCACGTCCTGACACACTATATTTGTGTTCCTTGTCTGTCTACTACAACTAGAACACAGCTCCATGACGGCAGGGGTTTTTCTTTTTTGGTTACTGCTATATCCCAAGCACCTGGAATAGTGCCTAGCACATAAATGATGTTCAATAAGTGAATGAATTAACTAAGTGCCAAGAGGCAAGGATGGCAGAGCTCTCCCAGGCCGGGCTGGGGCAGTAACTGGGAAGCCCCTATTCCCTGAGGCACTGATCTCCTTTCAGCCTCTCCAGTACACTGCCCTCTCCCATCTTCCTGCAGGCTGTTTCCTCCAGCCCTGTCCCATCCTCCCATTCTTCAGGTCTCAGCTTCAGTGTCATTTCCTCAGAGAAGTCTCCCAGACAGCCTTGGACTAAGTTAAGGTCTCCTACTCCATGCTCCCCAAAGCAGCTTTACTGCCACTTGTAAGGAGTCCAGACACTTAGAGGTGTTAGTTGCTCACAAACTGAGCACCAGGCTTATCTGCTCTTGATTGCCTCATCTGGACGGCTGTGGATTAAATGAGGTGATTCATATAAATAAATTGTTGAATAGGAATTGGCCAATAATGGTCAGGCAATATTGCCACAATTACAGTGGATACTCAGACATTTGTTGTTTGTGACAGAAGGGCAGCACACCAGAAATCATGGTTAAGCCAAAAAATCACAGCCTGAATCAACCCTGGGAAATGCTGGGGAACCACTGCCCACATTTTAAACAATACTGTTCCCGGTGACTTTGGCTCCTTCAAGTCCTAGTGGGCCTGGCCAACACACCCCTGGCTAACGTCCCACAGCCTGGGTGGATTCTGCGGGGTGGGGTGGGGGTTGGACCTCCCATGTGTTTGGAGGACCAGCAGCATCCATGGGAGCTTGCTAGAAATGCAGCATCTTGCTCCCTTCCCTAAGACCTGTTAAATCAGAATCCACATTTTCACACATTCAAGATTGGAAAGCATTTCCCCAGATCACAGTGTCTCAGAACTAAGGGCTAAAAAGGATATATATATGTATGTATTTTTTAAGTTTCAGGTTCTGGTTTCTATACTAATACATCTTCAGTCAGTCATGCTCACTGGCCAGAATCCATTCTCTGAACACCCTTGACCACCAAACTCACATATATTCTTTCCTATCTCTAAGCAGTCTTGCCTGTTCCTTCCCCATTTCCAAAATCTGGGGCTGCCATGAGTGCCCTCAGTGCCTGTTCTCTTGGCAATCAGACAGGGCTGGGCACCAGGTGATGTCGGGGAAATGGTTGGGTCACAGCAAGCAGGTGGCCTTCTCAGGAACCTGCGTGAGAAGGGCCTGAGGGAGAGGCCTTCTCAGGAACAGGGTGGGAAGCACCCAGACACAACCTGAGCTGAGGCACAGAGGAGACTTGAGAGTGCCTGTTTGCTCTGCCAGAAGGGTTGGGCCCAGACCACTGCAATTGCTTCCCTGCCATCTCCCAAACTCAGCTGAGAGCCCCCTCCCTGTCACCCAGCCCCCGTGGGAATGGCTCAGGCCAGGAGCTACCATCAAACTAGCTCCTTTCTCCCAGGGCCTGGTGACTCCTTGACAGGTTACAGCCCCAAAGACAAACAGATTCTGCCAAGCAAATAACTGTTCAGCAGTGGGGGTGTTGGGGAAGGCCTAGGAGTGGGTCTGAAGCTGCCAGAAGAAGACCCAGGTGAAGTGGGGGGTGGGCTCCCCTGCAGAGAACAAACAGCTGTGGGCACCTGGAAAGAAGCACGATGCAGGTACACTGTCACGGGTGAGGGCACTCACCCCAGGGGTCTGTGGGCCAGTCTCCCAGGCTCTTTCACTCTGGGCTCTGTATCAGGCTGCTCCCTGAGAAAGAAGAGTCTTGCATGCAGGCCCTTGGGGGCAGGGAACCAAACAATGCTTGCTGGCTGATCAGCTAACTTGGCTGATTTTCTTTGTGCTGGAGATACAGGTCATTTGGAGGCAGTTTCCTTACCTTCCTGGTCACTGGGCACCAGAAAGGGCAGGAGACCCCATTATAAACCCAGGACTAATTTCCCAAACATATAATGAACCTCAGGGTCTCAGTTTTCCCATCTGCAAAAGGGAAAGGCCCAGAGACCAAACAGTACACATCACAGAGCCATTATGGGGCCACACAAGTTTACAGGAGGCTTGAGGGTGCAATAAAACTCACCAACACACATGAAAACAGCTTTTTTTGGTGTGTGTGTTAATTTAATCATACAAATATTCATTTATACAATAAGGAAAAACCTCCTCATCTTTATCTCCTCCTAGGCACCATGAGGCCCCACCACAAACATCCAGCTGGCTTTCTACACACACCACTGTCCAGGTGGGAAGGGCAGCCACTGCTGCTCCTGCATTCACCCAAGGAAACAAAGGAAAGGTGCGGCGAGGCAGGGTGGGGTGAGTAATCAGCTTGCACTTCTGAGCCCTGGCAACCCTACCATCCTCTCCTGCTGGGCTCAGATTGAATTTGGGGAGGTATTTATTCTCATGCCCATTTCCCACCATGGCCACCCTCAGGCCACACCAGCTGTTTGGTGAGGTTCTCTCCAGGCTGGAAGTAACTTTGATGGGCTTAAGGTTACAGCCAGTCCTTATGGGGGAGAGAAGGCTGACTGCTTCTTGTAGAAAAATGCCCCAAATTCAACTGTCCTCACGGCAAAAAGAAAAAAAGCATGCACACGTGCACATCCATCCACACACACACACCTCACTCCATGCACACTGACAGATTCTTCCCAAGTCTGAACCCCTCTGTCTCCCCAACTGGGTTCAGACCCTATCACCTAACCATGGTGTCTGCCTCACCTCCTGGGTGCCAGACGCAGGTGGTCCTGCCCAGAGGTGGCCTGCCACTTGGTGAAGATTCTAAGAGGAGCAGGGACTATTGGGGCTGAGAGGTAGCCACTACCACCCCACTAGGCAGGGGAGCAGAGAGGGGCCCTAGGCATTGCTCTGAACCCATACCAGTGAGGGGAGAGAGAATGAATGATACTGATACCCTCCCTGGGCTGGGGAAGCCATGGACCCCTCTGCCTGCACTCCATGACTTGCACTTACTCTGGCCCTCTGCAAGGAGCTCATCTCGCCTCCAAGGATGTGCACAGAAATGGTTTGTTCTTGGGAAGGGAGACAAGGTGCTTGGGACATTTAACTTGCCAAGTGTGGTTGCCTAGAAGCAAGAGGAAGAGCAAGACGACTCTGGCAGGCCCAGACCCACTGACGGTGGCCCATGAAGCCCCTGCTGGGAAACTGGGAAGGGGCACCCAGTGTTGGGCAGAAGAGGAAGTCAGGAAAGCAGGGGTTGTGAAGCCTCCCACAATCCTGCCAGGGACAGTGGAGATGTGCTGCTTCAAGGCTACTAAGCAGTAAGAACAGCTGGGCATGCATGGGCTCCAGGGAGGCAGTGTCTCAGGAGACTGGTACCAGCAGCAGCAGTCTGGGCCTAATGAGGCCCTCAGACAAAAAGCCATCCTGAGGCCTGTGGCGTGGGTACCTGGCAGAGACTTCCCTCTGCTCTGCTAGGGAGTGGAGCACTCCCATGTGCACAGAAAATAGGTGCTCCAGAGTAAGCTCTAGTGAAGTCCCAGACCCAGCTGCACCACGCTTCTCAGCAGGCTGGCTCCAGCCACCCCCAGGGCTTCTCCAGTGGAATAAAGTTTATGCCCCCTTTTATTTTTTGGGGGGTGGGGAGGTGAAGAGGGAATTTCACACAAGCTTTTCTCCCACAATCAAGCTCTAAAAAAACAACAGTCTCAGAAGAGGATGAGGAGGAACAAACAACACACATTTTTTGGAACTCAGACACCCAGACAGAAACAGGCAGGCAGACCCTCACCCACACCCAGGCTATATGACTCCTTGCAGCCACTCATTACCTGGTCTCCCTGCCTGTCTCACACCCTCACCCACCACCCAGCTGGATGGGGGTGTGGTAACAGGCAGGTGACCCTGCAACAGCACCCTGGATCCATATCCCTGGCTCTCAAACCAACTAAGACTTGAGGGAAGGAGGGGGGTAAGAGGGACTTTGCATATTCTTGTATCTTTGGCAGACAGCTGTTCTAGCCTGGTTCAAGCTTCCCATGGAGATATCCACATCTCAACCTGCTCAGAATCTACAGGATGCCAGGGCAGGCCACCTGCCTGAGTGAGCAGCCAGTCAATCAGCCTCTTGCTTCAGCTGGGCTGCCACTTGCCCACCTCCCAGCCAATAATCTAGCATCCTGGCAGGGAGGCGGGGCTGTGGAGGTCCTCTCATTTCCATCTAAATGTGGTCTCCAAGATCAAGTAGTCAGTGGCTGGCCCTTCCCCATGACAAATTCCCCCTTTGGGGCTGTATTTTCATACCTCTACAGATCAGCCGCCACTAACAGGCTGTGAAAATATCAGAGGACAACTGAAGAGAAACAGGGAAAGGTGTTGTGTGACAACAGAGAAGCATGGGCCACCTTCAAGCTTGCCTACTGCACACCTGCTGGTGAGTTGCACCAACACCCGTGTGTGCACATGTGGTGCATACATATAACCAGCACAGAGGCACTGTTCCCAGAGCAAATGGGAAGCCACTGCATGAAGAATCCAAAAGAGCAGTAAGCATGATGGCATTTCTCTCTGCCAAGAGAAACATGGAAGAAAAGCAATTTTAATTGTTACAAGGGTGTGCAGAAGGACACCTCTCAGGCTTAGAAAATCCCACGTCACCCGAGATCTATCCTCAAGGCTTCCTCTGCTGGCCACACAGGGAAGTTTGGTCTTCAGAGAGGTTCTGATGCTAACAAGCCACAGGGTTGACGAATACAAATGTCAAAGGTGTAAATCAACAGAAGATTAAAGAGAAAAGAGGAGGAAAAGGGTGATAACTCATTGGCTGATGCCATTAAAAACAAATGGGGTCAGAGACTTCTGGAGTCATGTGGCAGGGCAGATGTACTCCTGTAGCACTGATCCGCAGAGTCCTCAAACATGCCACGCCAACTTTTCACCTGAATCTCTTCCAGAACAAGCACTATTCTATAAAGAATATGTTATCCCTTATTTAAAAAAATAAAAGTGGGGAAAGAGGGAAAAAAATTAACATGTGCTCAAAACTACAACCTTTCTGTAGGCAAAATAATTTTTGTTTAAAAAGATGGCTTTTTTTCCCCCATTTTAAACTTTTTCCCCCTTCCCGAGTGACCTAATGACTTGTTAGACTGATGCCTATAACAAAACCCAAAGTGGCTGCATGGATTTCTTCTTGGTAGCCTCAACACCATTCCTGTGATTCAGCATTCACACATGCATACTGAGTTTACTCAAAACTAGTCTGTTCTGCTTCTTCCTCTTCTTCCGGGATGAGAGGGGGTCAGAGCCAGGGGTCTGTGCGATGTGGTCTGCAATCCAGAGGAACCCCTTGCCCTAACCCCCCAAAGTCAGGCCTTCTGTCTTTTGTTAATTTTTCTTCTTGCTGACACCCGTTTAAGACTGGCCGAAGGGGTAAGGCCCATGGAGCCCCTGGAAGAGAGTGAAGATAGTCAGTGATGGTACACATAGCAGTGCAACTTGACAACCAAACCAAGTGCAAGATCTATGGTTCCCAGTGAGTCACAAGGAAGCCCCAATCCACAGACAAGGCCTGAGGGTCTTTGCCATACAAAACCTCGGCAGGCCAAAGATCAGTACATTTCAAGTTGCTAAGTTTCTCACTGAATCCAAAGATTTCTCACATCATCCAAAGAGAGGGGAGGGTAGAGATAACTCCCCCATCTTTCAGATGGTAGATCAGTCAATGCCAACCTTCCTCCACCCAGGTCACAAAGCTTTCCTATTTCCTTCTTGACAAAAATGTCTCAACCACTCTGCTAAAGATCCTTATATGCCATTCTATGCACCTTAACTTCAGATGTAAGGCTACTGCTAGCTAACAACACATATATCAGCAAAAACACAGAAATAGCAACTATTTACTTAGCACCTAGGTCCCAGGCACAGTACTAGGGGCTTATCCTACATTGCCTTTAATTCTCACCTCTTCCCTAAAAGCCAGGTGAGTATTATAACACCTATTTCACTGACACCCATTTTACTGCAGAGAATAAGACTTGTTCAAGGTCACCTGGTTAGGCCAAGTGTGGTGGCTCACGCCTGTAATCCCAGGACCCCATAAGGCCAAGGAAGGAGGATCACTTGACCCCAGGAGCTCGAGACTAGCCTGGACAACATAGTCAGAACCCACCCCTATAAAAATTTTTTTAAAAAATTAGCCAGGCATGGTGGCACACGTCTATGATCCCAGCTACTTGGGAGGCTGAAGTGGGACGATCACTTGAACCTGGAAGGTCGAAGCTGCAATAAGTCCTGATTACGCCACTGCACCACTCCAGGCTGGGCAACAGAGCGAAATCCTGTCTCAATTTTTTTTTTTTTTTTTGGAGATGGAGTTTCCCTCTGTCGCCCAGGCTGCAGTGCAGTGGCACAATCTCAGTTCACTGCGAGCTCCGCCTACCAGGTTCACGCCATTCTCCTGCCTCAGCCTCCCAAGTAGCTGGCACTACAGGCGCCCGCCAACACGCCTGGCTAATTTTAGTAGAGACGGGGTTTCATCATGTTAGCCAGGATGGTCTCGATCTCCTGACCTCGTGATCCGCCTGTCTCGGCTTCCCAAAGTGCTGGGATTACAGGTGTGAGCCACCGCGCCTGGCCAATCCTGTCTCAAGCTTTTTAAAAAAATCACGTGGTAAGAGGCAGAGCCAAGATTCAAATCCAAATTTGATGGACTGCAGTATTCCTTCTTCCCACGCTAGCTCTCCCTTGCCACATGATAAGGTTTATTCCAACTTGCCAAAGGCACTTTCTATGCTGCTTGGCTGAGTGGAAGAAGCTTCACAGTCTTGCTTCCCCTTATAAGAAAGACACACCAAGATGTGCCAACATCAAAAGCAGCTACACAAACCACGAACACGCTGGACCATGACGTGTGCTTCCTCCCCAATCCCTGCTTTTTGTTTTTCCATATAAAGCCTCCCAAAACCAGAAGGACATCTCTAGCTGCTTGGTCGTATCACTAAACTAAACAAAAAATCCTCAGGAGATGATTTGGGGAATGGACAGGCCAATACCAATGGGGCATCCACTACGTGCCAGGTGCTGCAGTAGCACCTAACATGTTCTCTTTAGCCCTCACAAAGATCCAAGGAGACAAGCATGGTCTCCAAGCTCAGACAGGTGAGGCAACCTGATTAAGGGAGCAGCACTGGTGAGGGAAGCAACTGGCATTTGCCAAAATGCCACATGGCTGTCAGCCCGAGCCAACCACGCCTCTAGCAGACGAGCTATGAACCATCTCAGCAGCCACAGCATCCACCCACTCAAGCAAGTGTGCACTGGGGCAGCAAAGGGCTCTCAGATTCCATTTTGCAAGTCCTGGTAGGGGGGGTCCCATACATCAGAGGTATCAAGTTCACGCAAAAGTAATTGCAGTTTTTGCCATTATTTTTATTTTTATTTTTTATTTTTATTTTTTTCAAGACAGAGTCAAGTGCTGGGATTACAGGCATGAGCCACTGCGCCTGGCCTTTGCCATTACTTTTAATGGCAAAAAATGCAGTTAACTTTTACACCAACCTAATAGAACGTAAAGCAGCTTAAAACAAGCTGCCCTGACTCAGCAGTTCCCAACAACAATCATTCATCTAGAACTACCCAAGGAAAGCAACAAAAACTTTAATTCCCTTAAGGTTTAGAACCAATACAATGCTCAAAGGTCTCTGTGCAGGAAAAAAAAATGCACAGCAAAAAGAAAACCTTGCTAGGTACGGTCGCTTATGTCTATAATCCCAGCACTTTGGGAGGCCCAGGCGGGAGAACTGCTTGAGGTGAGGAGTTAGGAGATCAGTATGGGTAACACAGTGTGACTCCATCTCCACGCGCAAATTTTTTTTTAATTAGTTGGACATGGCGACGCATGGCTGTAGTCCCAGATACTCAGGAGGCTGAGGCCAGAGGATCACTTGAGCCCAGGAGGTCGAGGCTGCAGTGAGCTATGATTGTGCCACTGTACTTCAGCCTGCGAGACAGAGTAAGACCTTCTCTCTTAAAACAAAGTCACAGGTTCTGAGGGTTAGGGAAAAAATAATAAATTTAATAAAGAAAAAAGAAAACTCAAAAAACAAACAGCATTTGCTTCCTATGAAATATTTACCCCTTTACCCTAAATTTAACTGCTTTCCAGTCCAAAGCTCTACACACTTCATGTGGGCCTTTATAAAGCAACCACTGGCTTTATGATTTGTCTAGAATACTTGAAGAAGGAAGTTTATGACTTTGTCAAAAAGCTGTTGTATATTCCCACTTAACGGATAAATAAAGCAGGTTCTATTCAATTGGAAGAAACAGGAATAAAGACGTGTGCATTTTCAGATTTCCTTTGAGTGCCCTGGCCTTCAGACCATTCAGTGTGGCATTTAACTAGTTTAGATTATGGTTATTGTTGATCCTCTATTTACTGATGTTCCATGCCTTTTATGAAGAAAAATAGCTACCTAATTCTCTTTCACCCAGTGAACTATATATTAGAGTTGTTGTTGTTTAATTGGAACAGAAAAATAGTTTGATGAACAAGCTCTATTTTTCTTACCCCCAAATTAATTACCATCACTTCAAGGAAGAGAGAGGGCACCAACTCTATTTGGAAGCTATTTTACGATCTAGACTCCCCCACACACAGTATCATAGGTGTCTCATGTGGATCACAGAACACAGGCAACATAACACCAGTTGTAGAGGAAAAGCCTGGCAGAGATTCCAAGAACAGCTTGTCTGGGGAGTCCTATGGCAGTAGGCCAAGCAGGAAGACCATCGCGGTACCTTCTGGATGGAGGTACTTTCAAACCGGGAGGCCCATCCACATTTCAGATTCCACTGGAGTTCTAAGACCTGGTGTAACAGGTTCTGGTAGCCAACGACAATCCCAGCCTAAAAGTAGGATTTGGCAATACAGATAACATTCACTCTCTTCTGGGGCCTAGCAACTCTTCAACTTTTATCTGTAGTAAAAACAGATGCCAAATATTTTAGCTAACCTGGAATCAATGAAATATCTTCTCTTACACTTGTACCACTACTAATAAGGAAAACAGATAAAGGGGCATATGCATTAGATGGTACCACAGAACCCTGAATTCAACTCGGACCCAAGCAAAAATTGAAGCCATCATCCTGATTATAAAACCCAGTGAGCTTGATGCAGAAAGCCACTCCTCTCTAGGAATAATCATGTCCTATCACATAGGGACTAGCAGCAAGACTGATTTATCCATGCTAACGGAGGGTATAAATACTCAAACCCAGAAAAAAACTCTGGTATCTGACTCCAGGTCTAAAGGCCAGTTGCCCAGGGCATACACCACTTACACAGAAATGGGTTTCCAAAGGCTACATTGAACAGCCCCACATCTGCTAGGGGATATGAAACTGTTCAGGTCCATAGGGGCTGAGGTGTTGCTTGTTTTGCCTCAGCTTTCCCTAAGCTTTCACTGACCAGCTATCATAGGTATGAGCGTGGGGACCTAAGTTCAACCTGGCTAGAGAGCAGGCAAGCCTTCTTAAAGCGCAGAGGCTCCACAGTCATTAGCTAAGGCAGCAACGCCTCCTGCTCACCAGTGTTGGGGAAGAGACTTTTGCCTTAGGCCAGCTGATTGATTACAGTAGTTGGGCCAAGTCCTGAACTGCATTTCCACAATGCAATAATAACTACTGCAAGCAAGCCATTATCTGGCTAATTTCCTAAAATTAAAAAAAAATTTTGTTGTTGGGTGTGGTAAGGGAGGGGTGGTCCTCACTATGTTGCCCAGGCTGGTCTTGAACTCCTGGCCTCAAGTCATCTTCCCACTTTGGCTAAGTGCTGTAATTACAGGCATGAGCCACTGTGCTCAGCCCTAAAATATTGTTAGAGAACATTTACAGACATAAAGATGAGCTCAGTCTCATCCTTATCAATCTCCTAAAAGGAAAATTTAAGATCTAGTACTTATAATCCTGTCCTCAAAGCAAACCTAAAAATAACTGTCTCTCTGATTTGTTTTACAGAATCATTTATAGTTGTGTCTGTCAAATAGCAAGAATCATTCCTAGCCAGTGATGTGGTTATCACTTATCTTATGTGAGGGTAAACCTGCAATATCTTAGAGTCCTTTCTAAAATTATACAGAAGTCAAAATAACCTTTCCAAAAAGGAGTACTAAAAAACTGTCACTGATAGAAAACATCAACTGTATGCCAAAGTACTAAAAAACAGGCAATCATTCCATTTCAGTTGTATTCACCTATTTTCATCAGTAGGCAGGGCAGTGCTATCAGAAGAGTAGGCTGCCCTTCTATGACGACAGAAGCTGTTCCTGATACTTAGTTCTGCCTTGCACATAGTAGACTCAGGTATCAGTAAAATGAATGAATGAATTATGAAATACACTGACTGGTGAGTCAGACGTTTTTTAACATTCCAGGAAAAAAAAGAAGGCTGAAATTCCTAATGAAAAAAGGATGTCTCATTGAGAGATTTTTGCATTACTCTTTCTGTATACGAAAGCTTGTTGTTTAGATAAATTACCACAACACAGGACTTTCACATACCTGTCTTTATTTTGCTTTTATTTGTGATTTGATTTAAATAAATAAGAAGGTTCACACAGGTTAATAAAAAGACAAGCAAGTTTGTTGTATGGCTGAGAAATAATATGCTCTCTTGGTGTATACTGATGGCATTATCGGATAACACCATGAGGACCCTCCTCTTCCTCATTTCCTGGGTCAGTCCTGGTCAGTGCTTCTTCCGCCTAGTGCTCCTTTTGTATCACTTATGTACACTGAATGCAAACACAGAAGAATACAGGGTTTAGTACTAAGTCCTGTCCTGATTTATACTGCAAACATTGTGTGGTGAGGCCCTGCTCACAGGCCTGGCCTGGCTGGCAGGGGCCAGAAACTGACTAGGACCTGATCAAACCCATTAGTCTCTCATTAACTAGAAATAAAATTAAGTCTGTACTGGAGTAATGAGCAGGGCAATGGGCACTCTCTCAGTAATGTGCAAACCAGCGCCCTTTCCTTAATGCCTTCTGACTACTCCGGGAGGCTTGCTGGTGGCACAGCAGGACCCGTCAGCATGAGAGAAGGACTTCTGTAAGATGATTTAACATTGGTCTCACTCTGTCGCCCAGGCTGGAGTGCACAGGTGCGATCTCGACTCATTGCAACCTCCACCTCCTGGGTTCAAGCGATTCTCCTGCAGAGGCGTGATCTTGACTCACTGTAACCTCTACCTCCTGGGTTCAAGCAATTCTCCTGCCTCAGCCTCCCAAGTAGCCAGGACTACAGGCACCATCATGCCCAGGTAGTTTTTGTATTTTTAGTAGAGATGGGATTTCACCACGTTGGCCAGGCTGGTCTAGAACTCCTGACCTCAGGTGATCCACCCACCTCAGCCTCCCAAAAGTGCTGGGATTACAGGTGTGAGCCACCGCACTTGGCCTGTTCAAGTCTCTTTCATGTGACAGTTTCCCAAAATTCAAAGATGTATTTGATGCACTGGCTGAGAATGAGCGTGAGAACCAGCCAAAGAATAGGAAAAAACCCTACTTCTACACTCAAGGGCTGATGACAGGGCAAGCTCAGTTCAACCAGGCCTTCTGATTGTGCCAAAACATTTAACTCAGTTATTAGTGTGCTGAATGTATTTTTAAAGCTCTGTAAAAACAACTTGTTGTATCTGCCTCTGTAATAGTTTTTCTGTTGCTCTTAACTAACCTCTACAGTCCTGTTGAGGAACTTCTCATCTACCCATTTATCCTCCCTTCACCCATTCATCCAACCCTTCATCATTCATCCCTCCATCCTTCCTCTATCATCCATACTTCCATCCCTCCTCCCTCCATACATCCTCCCTGTCAACCATCCTCCTGTCCATCCAAAGTCCCCCATTCCAAAAGGCAACTCCCACAGCCTTCACTCACCCCCTACTCCCCTTACATATTTTTTAAAAACCATGAAGAATAAAACTCAAACATAACTGTGAATGAAAACACATTATTCAAAGTTTCTACGTGGAGGTAGAGGATCCTAGCTGAATCTGACTTCCCCTTTTAGTAAAGATTTCAGAAAAAAGCTATTTGTTATTCAGAATTCTAGCTCCAAAGATCTGATGTAACAGCAAGTGTGCTAGAATCCAAGTGGGATGCTGTTATACAGAACTCTTTCATGGTCATCTCCTAGGGTAGAGGAGATTTCCAAAGAGGAAGAACGAACAGTAACAGTCTCACTGGGGAGGACAACAACATGAGAGAAGCTTATTCAAGTTCCTAGTCAGGTAGCCACCCTGCTAGGACACAGGATAAGGCTGCTGGTCCAGCTTTCTCTCAGAATTTCGATTAAAGCTCCTGTAACTTTCTGTCAACTACCCTTTCCTTACAAGCCATCATCTCCCCTGTGTGTCTTACAATTAATTGACAGGCATCAGCTTGCATAATGGCTAGTGGATTAAGGGAAGACAGTAAGTTGTCTCTCTCCTTCTTGGTTCCTTTCAGCTATATTTGGTTTTGTCTTGCCACTCCCCTACTCAAAAGCATTGCTGGCACTCTCTCCTTTCATATTAAATGTGAACTCTCCTTTGCTTGGCTTTTAAAGGTCTTCCTCCAAAATGCACCCCACCCTCTTTAAGCACACCTCACTCACCGCAGCCAAGCTGGCCAGTGTCCTGTGAACACACCCTGCCTGTGGTTGCCTCTGAGCCTTCCTGCATGTGGTTCTTCTTCCCTCCAATTCAGTTTGAATCCATCCTCCATCAAGGGATCAATTTCTTGATTACTCCAAGTCTTACTGCTTTGGCCGTCCCCAAATTCCTATTATCACTTAAAAGTCAACTAGAATTCAACATACTTCATCTTTACTGGCTCTTATTCTTTCCTATGGATTGGTCACATCTACGTTATCAGATAGTAAATGCTTTGAAGATAGGGATTAGTGGCTGAGCACCCAGGAGACCTCACTTACTGACTGAATAATATCAGTCAGTATTATTGACTGTATACTATCAGTCAATATTATTGACTGTGTAAAGCAAACAGCTTTAACTGGCCCTTAGGCAGTGAAATCACAGCAAAAAGTTCAAGACCCTCAAACCTTTGCAGGGGAACATCCCAGCTCTAAGGAAGCTCCCATTTATCCTGAGATACAACAGTTCTTAACCTTACATTTTGTTCTGGTCCTGCTGGTATACAATTAAAGCAGACTTAGCTGAGAACAAGTCATTTGAAACCTGAGCATCTATACCAGGAGCCATTCTTACACTTTTGAATTATACTTTATCTGTTTGAACCTATAAATTTCACGAGTCCTACTTTGAGAACTTTCATCAGAAATTAAAATGCTGAATTCAGAGTATGGGGAAGAGAATGGGCCCTTATAACCAAAATAAAACATGCTGGCAATCTTGGGAACATTAGCTCTGCTTCAGCCACAAGAGTGCACAGCATCAGAACAACCTCAAACAATGCTCAGAGCCCAAAGCAAATAAAATGGAGCTGGACAGCTTTGAAGCTACTGAGGTACAAAAAGGAAAGTTCCTGGAGATACTTTTTATTCTCAGTCAGATAGTAATGTTACAAACAACAAAAGACATTTTCTAAGGCCCATAGTTATGTTTGCTTAATTTATTTAAAAAATGCACACAACATTCATGCCAATGTAAACACCAGCAAGGCTGCGAGGACTTTACTGGCTCTTCTGGGTTTTCAAAAGAGAATCATCAAAATATTAAGCCCAGAGTATCCTGGCAAGTCCCTTCTGGTACACAGTGTGCTAATCTGCCAGCCAACTGGGACAGGTCCCTTGGTTGCTCTGTGTTGCTTCTTACCGGCCACACATTCTTTTGCAGTTCCCACAAATGAATGAAGAGGTCTCTACGACCTGACACTAAGTGCATAAACTACCTTCAGAGAATAGCCAACAAACTTCACTTGCCAGCAACCTCACTGTAGTGTGGTCTAGAACATTAGACTCAAACTGGATCCCTGGGTTCCAGCCTGCAGCCCACCTTCAATTTGCTGTGTGAATGTGAGTAAGTTACTTATAATACTTCCCTATTATTTTTTCAAATGAGGATTATAACTACGAAATCACAAGTGTGTTGTGAATGAAGAATAAGAATAAAAGCAGTAAAGGTACTGTGGATAGTATGAAATGGTTTACATGTTAGACAGATAGTGTTAAACTCAGCCCTTGGACCTCTAACTATGCCAGAGGTTCACCAGTGGGGGAATTTTGCCCCCCAAGAGACATCTGGCATGTCAAGAAACATTTCTGGTTGTTACACTGTGGGGAGGGAGGGCAGTACTATTGGCATCTAGTGGGTAAAAGGCCAGGCATGCTGCTAACCACTGTACAATGCCTAAGACACATATACCCTTGCCTTGTTTAAAAAAAAAGACTTAACTGGCCCAAAATGTCAACAGTCTTAATCAGTCAGCTAAGAAACCCTGACCTCCTCTCATCATTTAGGGAATCACATTCAGTCTTACAGCATTAGATGCCATCCATGTGACATAACTCTCAAATTTATATCTCCACCTAGACTTCTCTCCTACACTCTATATCCAACTTGGATATGCAACAGCCCACTTGACACCTCCATTTAGATGTTTATATAAATATCCAACATATCCAAAATGGAACCCTGTTCTCTCCCCACTTCTACTGCATCCTTTCCCCTATCCATTGATGGTAGCTCCATCCCTCTAATGGCTCAGGCCAAGAATCCTGGTGTTATCCTTTCTTCTCTTTTACATCCCCTTCCAACCTATTAGCAAATCCTGTTAGCTCTAGCTACACAATATAGATCCGGACATGGACCACTTCTCTTACCTCTGCTGCCACCAACCTGATCTGAACCACTCTTACTCTTTGCCTGGATGACGGCATTAACTTCCCTGTTGGTCTCCTGTTCCTACCCTTGCCCTGTATTTACCACCCAAGAGCTAGAGTGCTCCTTTTATAGCATTAAGTCACATATATCACCCCTCTATTGAAAACCTTTTAAGGCTCCCCTTTTTCCTCAGAGCAAAAGCCCAAAGCTTTATAAGGGCCCGCAAAACGCTCCACAATCTGGTCTCTGTCCCCTGACTTCATCTTCTTCTACTCTCTCTCGTGGCTCTGCTCCAGGCACTGGCCTCCTTGTTATCCCTTGAACACAACAGGCAAACTTCCACTTCAGGGCTTGTACTGGTTGTCCTCTGCCTAAAATATTCTTTCTCCAGATAGGCTTTACAGAAACAAAACTCGATTTTAAAGGAACTGTAGGACAGCCCCTACGTATGTTCTAATTCTAAAATACTCAGTATATTCAAAGGGAGATTTTTAATTTGTCCCAGAAAAATAAGACCCCAGAGACTGTATCTTGTGGCCACTATCAAGGAATATAGACAGGTTTGGTTTTTGTGTGTGTGACATCAAAAAGTACAGATGCTGCTATAACAAGAGTGAGTTAATGAAAATGTCAATGCCAACAAAAACCTAAACCCAAGTGACTATGAAGGTTTCTAGGTAATCTTTTCCCTTCTTGGAGGCTAGAGAGAAAGCAATAGCTGGTGGGGGGAAGAGGTTTAATAGTAGAAAAGTCACATAATATTTGGTCAACAATTGCCTTGATCCTCATTTAAAACGTAGCTGTACATTACAGAAAGCCCACAGATGTCAGCCCAGCTAACAAAAATGTGTACTTGAACACTGCAATTGGGAAGCAATGCAGTGCAATGTTAAGAGAACACAGCATGCTTAGAAGTCAAAAATAACTGCTTTTGTTGGTATCCTGGTCTTATCACCCCGGTACATGACCTTGGGCAAATCACTGAACCAGTCTCAGTAACTGTAAAGGAGTGATAATAACAATACTTTTATCATGGTACTGTTTGTGGACTACATGAAGTAATGCATGTCAAGCACTGAGCCTATTGTCTCTGCGGAATAAAAACTGGAGGCTGGGAAGCAGGGAGGTGACTGGAGTTTTTTGTCATAAGCTTGGTAGAACTATTTGGTTCCTTAAACTACGTACACTGATAAATTTTAATAACAAAAATTAAATTTAAAAAAGTCCTCAGCACAGTGCCTGGCGCATAACTGCTCAATCAATGATAGTTTTACAGCTCTGATTAATGTTCTTTCATTGGCATGAGAATAGTGTGTTCTCACTACCTGTTCCTTGCCAGAGGGCCAAGTTACACCGATTTTCCATCTAGCTTCTCTTTGAACCATCTTTAAACCTTTCATGGAGAGGATCTGCATGTGAGAATGAAGACAACTCTAGGGTTTCATGGCAGTGGGAAGGTTACACTGGTGCCCTCTTAATGCCTCACATAAGCACTAGCCCAGTTGAGGACACCAACTACCTGCCTTCTGGTCAAACTGCCTGGGCAAATGTTGGTCCCAATTCCACAAAGTCACCCCAAACTCTTCCCTTATTATTATGTTAAACTTTTTGGCCATTTCAAAGTAGATAATAGATCCACAAGCCATTACATCGCCAGGCCCATAGAACAAAAGATCTGCCTTTTCCAAACCTCCTCCAGTACCCGCCCCCCCAACTACTGTTTCTAAACCCTCACCTGGATGGAGAGAAAAGAACTCTTCTATGCCTTAGTCAACATAGATAGCAGCAGGTGAGAAAAAGAGCTGATTTCTGATGTAACAGAAGCAGACTGACTCCTGCTAGCTCCAGATACAAAATGCTCTACAGGATGACTGTCAAGAGAGGAAAGGGGTGGGGGTGGGGGAAGAGAATAAGCACAAAAGCAAGCCAGCAAGCACGAGTGCGCGAGCAGATGGCACTTGGCAGGGATGGCTCTGGAGGAGCGGGATGAACCTCCCCACAAAGATAATAATAAGTTTCTCCTTCTGAACCAGCATTTGATGGAAGTAATAACAGTGGCTCAGACTGTAATCCAGTTTAAAGTGGGAATATATGGCATATACCAGCCTCGAACACTTTTTTTTTTAAAGAAAGAACAAACACAATATAAGAGCCATATTTCAAGTAACAAAATAAGTGAATTTGGGGTCCTCTTCAGCTCCCAGTGTAAATCATTACTCCTTTAGTGAAAGAAAGCAAAGCAGGTAGCTGTCCTAAAGAACAGCCCCTCGATTCTGCCAGCCACACTCTTATCCCCAGCTGTCCTGAATCAGACCACTTGGGGTCTTATTGCTCTGTAAAGGCCTTCTTAGAAAACAGTGAAATTTTAAAAATTACTGGCATATAAGAAAAAGGCATACGTAACTTTAACAGGACTTTTTTTTCTCTTTCCACATCTCTGTGAATTGTTTTTCATCAGTTTCGCACTGTCCAAACAGAAGCTACTCTGGCCCCCCAGAGATGAGTCAGAGTGCTAGAATTCACAGCAAGGTTAGCCTTGAGTCAACGGAGTGAGCACCTATGCTACCCTAACTTGATCGTCAGATGCTCTTCAGCTAATCACATAAAAAGGGATCATTAAAACACTTTCTAGCCTTCACCAGTACTTGATCTCACTGTTCACCTGGGACAGACAGTTCAGCCACAACTGAGCTGACAATGAGGCAAGCCAATTTCTAACAAAAGCAGGGAGCCAGATTTATGAATCTTTGAGGCGAGTCAGCATATATTTACTTTTCTGACTCCTTCTGACAGCTCTCCCACAGGGAGAAGCCCCTTTGCGTTGTGGGATGCAGCTAGGGCAGGCGTTCCCCCCAGGGACGGAGCACTGAGTTCAGGGAGCTTACGATTCAAGAACAGCTGGGAAGGACTCCAGGGTGTCTGTTTCCTGGCACTGACAGATGTGCCATTCTGTTGACATATCCACCCAGCTCTCATAGTGCAGGTGCCTGAAGCAATCTATTACCTTCATCCTACCAACCTTAGCAAGTTAAACTGTAACTATGGAGGCAGCAGGAAACTACCTGCCTACTAAAACTGTGGTCATAGGCTTCCAGAGCATCACGTTCTTTCCCAGCCTTGATGGCAAGCAGAGATCTCTCTGGAGTTAATCAGATCTATTGCCAACTCAGTGATCCCTGACACTAGCACCTTAGGCACCCCTCCTCCCTAGCCAATAAAGATGGCAACTGAGCCGGGCACGGTGGCTCACATCTGTAATCCCAGCACTTTGGGAGGCCGAGGTGGGCAGACCACTTGAGGTCAGGAGTTCGAGACCAGCCTGGCCAACATGGTGAAACCCTATCTGTACTAAAAATACAAAAATTTACTCACGCCTGTAATCCCAGCACTTTGGGAGGCCGAGGCGGGCGGATCACGGGGTCAGGAGATCGAGACCATCCCGGCTAAAACGGTGAAACCCCGTCTCTACTAAAAAATGCAGAAAATTGGCCGGGCGTAGTGGCGGGCGCCTGTGGTCCCAGCTACCCGGGAGGCTGAGATAGAGGATTGCTTGAGCCCAGGAAGTCAAGGCTGCAGTGAGCTGTGATTGTGCCACTGCACTCCAGTCTGGGTGGCAGAGTGAGACTCTATCTCAAAAAAACAATACATACACACAAACACAAAACCCAAAACACAAATTATATATTAGGACTGTATTGCTCTCTATTGAGCAAATTCATACTTCATTTTGACTGAACTGCTCTCTAATTGCTTTGTGCATGTTTCATTTCCCCTACTGTACTGCGGGCTCCTAGTGGGTAGGGATCCTTTTATTCCTCAAGTCTCCTAATGTACGATGTACACTGCTCTGAACAGTGCACAGATGTATGAATATTTACTGATGACTACTTCCTACACCCTATTCTAAGGAGCCCTAAGAGCTAGAGTGGAGCTGACTCAACTTTAGCCAGAAATGCCTTCAGGGAACCTGCTCGATGCTTCATATAAATTGCTTTCTAAGATTCTGCTTAGATTAAGAAAAAAAGGAGACCCCAATTTCTCTTTGGCATCTAAGTTTCACATTTTCAACGCATTATAGTCAACAGTCTATCTCTAATGGGAAGCTTTTCTCTACAGTTCTTGCAAATGCTACTTCTAAATGATCCTACAAAGTCCAGGAAAAAAATTAGATAACATATTAATACTAGTTCATCAACTCCAATAAATAAGTCAATAACCTCACCATAGTCCAGCCCTTCCAAAAGAAGCAAACCCTGGTAGGACCTTAATTAAAGCTGGCAGAAAATACCAGCCCACCATTCCCAACCGTCTGTGATGACTGTGTGCAACCATCACAGAGGTGGTTAAAAAGCATCAGTCCCTAAAGGAGAGGAAAACAATTAATGGGCTCTCAATTCAGGAAGACAAGTACAGTGCCCTGGCCAAGAACAGCAGCCCTCTCCTAAAACTGCAGCGATGGCCAAGCCAGAAAGCTCATAGGTGGGTGAGGCAGCTTCCATTAGAGAAAGCACAGGAGCAATTGGTTGTTTTGCCTTAATGTTCATCTTCCCATTAAACCCAACAGACTGAAGTTCTCATTCTAACAAAGCATGCTTAGCCCAGGGCTGGCCCATTTACCACCCTGAACAGTCACAGACTCTGGAGGGTTAAATTCAAGAAAAAATACTAGAGAAATAGGAGCTTAGAAGAAAATATTTTATTTATTAGAGTGTTAAGATGTGAAACGTCTTTCCTCAAATACAGGCAATTTACTCTCTTGCCAATTTACTTCTATCCTATACAATTAACACTAATCCACAAAATCCTTTGTAATGAACATCTAATCAACCAATAAATTAATCCTTCATTTATGCTATTACTACTGAAGTCTTTCCTACTAGACCATGTGAAAGAGGACTCTAATCCTTCATTTATGCTATTACTACTGAATGAAGTCTTTCCTACTAGACCATGTGAAAGAGGACTCACATCACCAGGTTTCTTAATTTGTCTCTTGATCTAGACCACATTTAAACTACTGGTCAGGCTGGGCACGGTGGCTCACGCCTGTAATCCCAACACTTTGGGAGGCCGAGGCGGGTGGATCACCTGAGGTCAAGAGTTACAGACCAGCATGACCAACGTGGTGAAACCCCATCTCTACTAACAATACAAAATTAGCTGGGCGTGGTGGCACATGTCTGTAATCCCAGCTACTCCGGAGGCTGAGGCAGGAGAATCACTTGAACCCGGGAGGCAGAGGTTGCAGTGAGCCGAGATTGCGCCACTGCACTCCAGCCTGGGCAAGAAGAGCGAAACTCCGTCTCCAAAACAAAAACAAAAAAAAAAAAAAAAAAAAAAAGGAGGGCTGGGCGTGGTGGTTCACACCTGTAATCCCAGCACTTCGGGAGGCCAAGGCAGGAGGATCACTTGAGATCAGGAGTTCGAGACCAGCCCAGCCAACATAGTGAAACC